>NC_000005.10:168488596-168791627 GCF_000001405.40 Homo sapiens | reverse complement strand
AATATGTATACATTTTTAAAAGACTAGTTGAGTACAGTAGTGAAAAAGGAGGAAAGAGTAGAACAAGGAGTTTGATCTGTAACTGACTGTGAACAATCCATTGAGAGAACTCACTACCTTTGAACCAGCCTAAATATGCAGTTTTTATAATAATAAAGAAAAAGACAAAGTGACCAAGGTCAATTCCCAGCTAAACTGTCTATCACTTCTCCAATTCCCACTCTCCAGCACCTCCAAACCGTGGGGCATCTCACCTCATACTGTAGGGAGAGATGGGTCCAGAAGTCTAGTTGTGGACTGAAAACCAGTTTGCCCTCCCAGAGCTAAAGCAGAGGGTTTCCGTGCTGGCCACATAGCTTCCTCTTGCAACTAGAGGTCTCAGCACCTTGAAGGGACAATTCATAATCAGGGGAAAAAAAGACAACACAGGCCTTCCCGCTAGTCCAGTCTAAACAGATCCTTCGTGTTTGTCTGGAATGCTTTGCATAGGCAGCCATGCTGAGGGCAAGTGAGATTAGGATAATCCAGAGTATTTGCTTGTTAAGACCCTTAAACAAAACCGGAGCGCGGAAGAAAAGCCCGGTGTAAGCTGACGAGTTTGTGAGTGCAATCTGCGGATTTGTCGGAGGTGATTTCGCCAGCTAAAGGGATAAACTAGACAGCTGTGCCGAAGAGCCTTAACCTGTGAAATATCGTTCAAAGTACAGGCTTTGGAGGCAGGGAGGGGAGGAAGTAGAGGCCTCAGCAAAGGTTGTGGCATGGTTCTTTTGAAATCTATTAGAAGAAGGAAGGAAACAGGCTCAGAGAGATTCCCACTGCATGTGCTTAAGAGGCTGGAGTGTCTGGCTTCGCTGGAGTCAATTGCTTAAGAATCTGCTCTGTTGTGCTTTTTTTTCTCCACATTCTCTCTTCACCTCCTTGTTGACCTTCCAAGATCCCAGCTCTCCCACTTCTGCACAAAAGCAAAGACCCATTTATTTATTTTGTTAAAGAAAAGGAACTGGAGAGGTTTGATGTCGCAGGAAATTGGAGCATCTCTCCTTCCAGTGACAGGATCCCAGAGGCCATCCCTGAGCTAATGACTCTAAGAGAAAGAATTTCCCCTCAGTGAAGGGCCATTAGCAAGAGCTGGTGTCCAGGTTCTCAGAAGTCACTGGGATGCCCGTAATTGAGCAGCCTCAGGGCCTCTGGGAAGGAGCCAGGGTCGAGGAGATTCCTTTGCACCTGCAAAGCCTGGTTAGCTGCCCCAGACCCCGGGCCCAGCATTAATAGAATCCTCCTGGCCCACAGCATCCCTCTTGCTCTCATTATCCAAAGCCTGGGACATTCTTATGCCCTGGACTTGCTCCCAGATGAGGAACACACTGCCAGCCAGTGACAAGCCCACATCTCCAAGGCGTCCCCTGAGAATCCCAGGATGTGCTTACATCACACAGCCTAGAGTTTGCACCAGACCAGACAGAGACTTAAGTCACTGCTCAAAAGCTCCTTTCAGGTCAGGGAGGAAAAGTCACTGGGGAGGTGAAATGACTCTGGACTTTCTGGGAGAAAAATGAGCAGCTGCTGAGGCATGAGGCAAGAAGATGATGCCTACAGGAACCCTGGCTTGTGGTTGGTTGGGTGAAGCCGGTTCCTGTTTCATCTGTGTCGTTAATTGCTTGGTAATGAAACGTAAGGCCCTAATTTGACTGGGCTCAATTTTCCACCTACAAAGTGATGGTTCACGTGTTCACAGCCTCGTGTCCCGATGAAGATGCCACGGGTGAGTATTCTTTGAAAACCAAGAAGAGTGATGTAAATGTGGTGCACTTTATCATGAGGTAGTTGAACTGAAGGCTCTTTAAGCTCCTTCTCTTGCACTATGAGTAAATGAATTGCTTGATTGATTGATTAATCCTTACCATTTTGAATGTCTGAAATGCTTGATTCACACTTAGGAGTGACCGTTATCGCACCTTTGAGCCATGTTCTCAGACTTTACCGTTAACGTTTTCAGAGACATCAGCAAGAATCAGATATCGGATATTGCTCCAGATGCCTTCCAGGGCCTGAAATCACTCACATCGCTGTAAGTGGGGCCCGAGTTGGGGCCTGAGGTGAGGGGAGGGGGGGCGCTGGAGGGAAGAGAGACGCAACCATATTTCTCAGGAGGTGTTTATCAAGACTTTATGTTCCCTTACACACTTGTGGCAACCTGGTAAAAGAAACAAATATTTCTTCAGGGGAAATTGATCTTGGGGAATATTTCTACAACCCAAATGCATTATTTTTATTGATTAAGCGCCTGGCAGCTTTCCCAGTTATTGGCTTCTAATTCGAATGCATCTTCTACTCCAACCTCACGTCCCCCTCCCACCCCACGTCCCCCTCCCACCCCACATGCCACCGCAGCGCTATCTTTCTGGTGTAAGGAGAGATGGTGATGCGTGTTTATTACCGCTTGGCCTTGCCAAGGGAAGAGCTCGTTTTCTTCTGCTGATTTTCAGGCTTTCTCTCCAGACCACCCTCATGGCCATTGTCCTAAGAAAACATCCACCCCATCCTATAGCCCTTCCTGTCTTTGATTTTGAAACCCATAGGCAGCCCACTGGTTGGAACCAAAGCTTCACCCACCAGGGGTTCCAAGACCCCTGCCGGCAGGAAGGTATAGAATGTCCTCATTCTGTCAGTCACTCATGTGTGGCATAGGGAAGTCACTTGAGCCTTTTATGGATGCTTCTTAGTAGGCAGGATGGGGACAGTGATCCCATTCCCTCCTAACACATCCAATGATGATCACGTGTACAGTAAAACAGTAATTAGTAGTGTTTACTGAGCATTGACTGGGTACCAGGTACTGTTCTAGGAGTCTGTCAAGTTTAGTCCTCACCACAACCTAAAATATAAAATATATTGTCATCTCATTTTTACAGCTGAAGAACTCAGACAATCTAAGCTCCACCGAGACAGGGATTATTATCTGTTTTGTTCACGGATGTATCCCTAGTACCACAAACTGTGTTTGGCACAGAGTTAGTATGTCAAAAAAAAATCTTGTTTTGTTCAACCATTTACTTACTCTAAAATGTAACTTATCCAAAGTCCACAGTAACAGGTAGAAAAGGCAAGATTTGAACCCATGCTGTCTGGCTCCAGAACCCACACTCTTGATCAGTCTGTCTATATTTTGCCTCTCCGTGCAGCTATGCAACCTGTTTACCTAATTTGAGTGGGCAGGTAACCAGATGCACATATTCCCCCCACCTGGCCCCATCCCACCGGGAAGGGGATGAGGACTGGGAAGTCTCAGATTCAGCTGTTGCCTGCTGCTTGCAGAGTAAATTAGTTTCATTTATCGAATAGAACATCTGGCTGGGATATCAAAGATGGGACCATGTGTGAGATTAGTGTCTGCTTGTGCTGAAGATCACAGAGGAGAAGGGAGAGGAGCCGTCTGCCACCAGGAACCTTTCTCTGCCCCCACCCTCTCTCTTCCCTTGTCTGGTTTCCCTCAGCCAGGATTTGGAGACAGTCTGAGGGCAGTGAGGTGCTTCCTGTCTCGTAGGAAAAGGAATTCAAAATCTAGTTGCCAAACATGAAATTGGCATGCTGCTGCCCGATTCTGAAATATATGTGAGCATTGTTTAAGTGAAGCACCTCTCACTCCCGATTTATTCATTCATTCATGCAGTAGATGCCTACTGTGTACTGGCAGTATTATAGGCACTGCGAGTGTGGCAGTGAACTGTACACACAGGATCCTTGGCCTGACAGAGCTTACAGTTGAACACAAGCACACACAATCCCAGCTCAGGAGAAGCCAAGGTAAAGGGCTGGAGAGCCTTTACCCCTTACCTGTGCGTGCATTCATTCATTCAACAAATATTTATCGTGCTAGACTCTTCTATTTTGGGGTCTAGAGACCCAGTCATGAACAGCCATGTAACGTTACTACACTCATGGGGCCTACATGCAAGGGAGCTGGGAGGTGCGGGGGAGGGAGGCAGAAAAAATTAAAATTAAATACATATTTAAGCAACATAATGTGACATAAAGATAAGCGATATGAAGAAACTAAAATAGGGTAACAGGTGATATAAAACATTAACTAAAATATTAAAGAGACACCTCCCAAGGAAGAGATGTTTGAGCTCAGACCTGAAAGGCAAGAAGAAGGTAGTCAAGCCAAGACCTGGGGTGGGAAGCCAGACAGGGGTACACCCAGATGCCTGAGGAGACCACACAGGCAGGAGAGCCTCAGCCCGCCTCCACCTGCCAGGGAGTGGTTTTGACGCACTGGGCTCAGAAGCCTGCTATCCCAAGGCATGGCGGGTGGTGTGAGGACCCCTCTTGCCCCAAGCCCCGTGGCTTCTGCTACACTAGAAGTCCTGACATCAGCTGACACGGGCAGACAGTGACATTACTGCATTTGGCACAGTGAGCGGTGGGGCATTAATATGAATTACAAATGTGTGCCTGAGCTATCATGCTGACTTTTATTTAGTCATTAATTTGTTGAAACATTAATGAAACACACCCGTAGGCTGATGGAGACATTCACTCTTCACTCCCAGTGGCGTCTGGAAAAGGGGGGTTTGGTTTATCATGCCCATTTACCATTTCCGCATCCTAATATTTTGTCTCCTCAAAGAAGGATTACAGCCTGGATTGCGATCCGAGTGAAAATTGAATATTGCATGCATTCAGTGCACTTCAGGGCTCTGGAGAGGACTTAAGAAAAACAACCAAACTCTCCTACGATCAGTTCCCTGGGTCACAGAGGAGGCTGGACCCAAGAGACAGCAAAGCCCGTGCTGTGGTTGGGAGCAGAGAGAGGCCAGCCGAGCTTCTCTAGTGCCTTTGAAGAGCACCAGCAAGGGCCAGGCATAAAGACGCCCCTGAGCACTGTGCTGGAGTGGGAGACCCAGTAGCCTTCCTCCCCAGGCCTCACCAAGACACCAAAGATGAGGCCCATGAATCAGAGACACCAGTATGAGGGTCACTGGAGGCCCGTAAGAGAAAGGGGTAAAAGGGTTCTGAGTTCCTGCGTTCCTGGAACTCAAAGAATAGGAAAAGCGGATAGAAAGTAAAAGCTGCCATTACTGTGAGACAGCAAAGCTCCCTGGTTTTTCCCGAGAGCCAGTCCTTGACTCAGCAGTCCCTGCACCATCTGGAGATGACCCCAGATGCACAAAGCCCTGTCTAGATGGATGATTAAATGACTCAGCTTAGGAATTCCTAAGATGCAAAGGGATATTAAAAGGAAACGTCCTGTAGGCTGGGCTCAAGCTGATCAATACCCATTGAAGACACAGGGCCAGTCTCCCACACAGTGTATTTATTGCTGGGGTGTGAGTCATATTAGCAGCTTAGGGAGATACCACAAAGAGACCGCTTCTTCCTGTTGGGGATTATGTATTGGGCTAGGTTGCCCAGGAATGGAGCAGGATAGAGCCCATTTCTACTCACCTCCCAGACAACCTGCCCTTCCAGCCCCTGGCTGCTCTTGGCTGCCTCTGTCTCGCTGATGAGAAGGGATTAGGCAGGCCGTGGAAGGGGTTGTCCTGAGATCTCATACCCAGAACTGGCCGAGGTGATGGCTTCCTGCAGGACTGGGTTCTGGTGGCCTCACATCCACAGTGATTGCTGTCTTCTCCTTCTCTCTTTCAGGGTCCTGTATGGGAACAAGATCACCGAGATTGTCAAGGGACTGTTTGATGGGCTGGTGTCCCTACAGCTGCTGTGAGTAGGAACTTTGTCACTGTTGGTGTCTTTGGTACTGTCGGAAGGCTCCCACCTGAAAACGTTGAGCCATGCTCTGGAGAGTTCTTTTGACTTTCTGCAGACAAAAGAGAAAAAAATGTTTGAGCTGTCCACGCTTCACCTCCGTTTCCTATTTTTATGAAAGGAGAGTCAGCGAGCGGGCAGAGGAAGACCGAGGTCAGTGTGCATAAACCCAAATGATACAGCCGAGGGCCCTGGCCCAGGCATGAAGATACTAAGCACAGGGTCTGGGGATAGAGATTAGGAAAGAGTCAAATCCAACAAAAAGAAAAACATTTTTCAGTAGTGTGCTAAGAATGTAAGGAACTAAAACATCCACACACCAAATTCCAGTACTAAAGCTGAGACACAGCTGCTGATGGACATGTGACCTTGAAGAGGGGTCGGGGCAGAGGGAATAATTCGAGAGGAGCATAATCAGTCACCAGTGTGAATCCATCTGGGAAAGACAGGGTGGAGAGGAGTGTTTACTTAATTTAAAGGAAGGGTTGTTGCTTCGAATTTTAAGCTCAGGGATTATTTGTTTGCATTTATTTCATTCTGGTCATTTGAGCTTAAATGTTTGAAGAAGATAATTGAACTCTGATGTGGAGAAGGAAGGAAAAGAATTTAGCTCATAGTATAGTTTAATTTTTGTGCTGGTAAAATCATCTCTGATTTGTGACAAGGCAGCTATAGCATCTACACACATGTACTATGGGTGTGGGAGTGTGTGTGTGTGTGTGTGCATGCATGTGCACATTTGCTCTGTCACCATTACAGTTCTTCTGGATGTTAGGAACTGATCTTGAGTATCCTTTAAGCAGTGGAGAAGACCAAGTCTCGGAGAGATACATGACTCTCCCCCAGTCACACAGCAGAATAGGTATGGAAACTGGAAAAGAATCTACATGGCCATGCCCTTCATTCAGAAACCTCCCAGCCCTCTGAATAGCACATGATGTATGTTTGCAGAGGTGTGCAGGTGTGTGTGTGCGTGTGTGTGTGTGTGTGTGTCTTTTTAAAATCACCTCCAAGTCACAGGCAGTGAGGAAGAGGCCTGGCACCTCCCCACCTCCTACGTAAAGTTCAGAGGACCCACAGCATGGGTTTGTGGGCCAGGACTCAAGCTGGGGCTCTAAAGGGGTGGCAGGCACAAGAGCAAAGAAGGAGAGAGGAACAAGGGACACATCTTATGTGGTTGATGCCCAGGAACTCTTCAAGAAAGAGGAAGTGAGACTTTTCCTCCAGCCCTTTCTTACATCTTTCCTCTACCCTTCCCATGTCCTTTAAGACTCAGCTCTGGACAGATTCTCCCAGAACACGCACTAATGTGAATTATGTAGGCGTGCGATGCCCAGCAAGTTTCCAGGGAGCAGATCTATCATACCAGCAACCAGGTTTGTTTCAGTGAAGCTGAAAGCAAGAGAGAGAAAAGTCTCTCTTTCTCTGCATCTCCCCCATCTCTGTCTTCCTGTCTGCCCCACTCTGTGTGTGTCTGTGTGGGCAAATTCCTGTTCAACGGTCCCAGCCTTTGGTGGGCTTTTAAGGCTATGTGTTAGAATGACAGGCCAGGGCTCTGCAGGGAGCTGGGTGTTTCACAGATGGTATTCTTTGCTTGTAGCAAAGAAACTGTGCATTATAACTGCCACCATAAGGCTAGTTAACTGTAGCTATTAATCCCTTGAAAGAAGAGTATCAATAGTATCCACCTTGAGGTGGATTTGGCAGTGTTGTGTTCCACCAAGCTGGTGTGATTTTCCTTTTATAATCTGTGTGTGTGTGTGTGCAGGAAGGAAAATGGCTTTGCACACATTAAGGATACACAGAATGTGTATCACAGTGCCTAGCACAGTGCATGTATACTTAAAAAGATGTGTATCTCAGCTCCAAGCTAATAGCAGCCATGAGGTTAATAGAACCAACAGGACTTTGCATGGGTCGCGAAGGCAACTCCAGTTTACTGTCACCATTTTGAGCAGATGGAATCGAGTAGCTTGGGGTAAAGAGGAAGCAACTCTCCTCTCTTGAGACCAAGAGTTGACACAACTCAGGCAGGCCTTACCAGAAAGAACCAGTAACTGGGACTCAAGTAGCTGTCATTGGGTTTTGACCTGCCATTGAGTGGTTGGAAAGCAGGCCCTGATTCGATCTAATTTAGTGTTCAGCCTGCTGTAGATTGGACTTCTCCCTGTTAGACTGGAGACACTGATAAGAAGGCTCTGATTAGAATACTCTGGTAGTCTGAGTTATTTTCTCTCCTTTGACTCAGAGTCTCTTTGTGAGAGGATTGCATTTTTTCTTCTCATTCCATCTCTCAAATTATGGGTACTCGCAAAGCTGAACTGCCTCTGCCACACGAAGTGGCCCTGGACATTTCCTTTCTAGCACTTGCTGTGATGCTGGCGGTAATAAAGTGGGTACATTGTAGTTGGTTCTCCTGCCTGCCTCCCATCTTCCCCCACTCCTCTGGACTTTTTGGCCATCCTATCAAACTTGCCCAGTCCAGTATGTACACAGCCAGCCTCCTGGGAGCTTTTCTCGGTGTGTTCCTTTGGGCAAATGCCCAAAATTCTTGGCCATTCTGGAGAGAATGTCTCCGTTTTTTTAGAGGCTGCGGCAAGTGCATCCACAAGGAACAAGCCCCAGCTGTCCTAAGCATGATATTCTGTCCTTGGTCCCCTGGAGCCTCACAAGTTACCCCCTTCAGTTTAAGTTCCAAAATCTTAGCGTTCAAAGGAACATCAGGGCTCCAAGCACAGCCTCCTACCTGGCTAGGACAAGAATCCCTCTCATGCACGCTCTCACAAATCCTTCTGTCACTCGTTTGCTGATGGTTCCTCTGATAAGTCCTCACTGCCTAGTTGGAAGGTTAGAAAGCTCTTTCTTATACTAAACATCGTAATGGTTTCTAGAAAACTCAGAAAAGTCTGTTATCATTGTCTTCAGATGTTTGAAAATAGCTAGTATGTCTCCCTATAATTAATCCTAAACACGTTCAGTTCCTGCGGCCATTCATTGTATAAACACGCATTTATTGTTTATTACTAGCAACCCTTATTGTCTTTGGGGGATGCAAGGTAATCTGTCAGCTTCCCTCCTTAAAACTGGCTGCTAGGAAGTGAGTTGGTGCCCATTTGGATACTAGGAAGTATGTTTAGAATTGAAATATCCCACATGGAGGCATCTCAGAACCCAAGGTGAGAAAAGGACATATCACTGGGCACATGATCCCAACTCCAGGGGTGGGAGCAGCTCAATTATTAGAGAAATGACCTGTCTTCCTCCTCACTGGAAGCTCAGGGTGAATGGTCTTGCTCCTCTACCTTCCCCTGCCCACCCAGGCTCATAGGCTCCTGGGACATCTGTGGAGATGGTGATCCTCTATGGGCAGCCAGCCCTCGTGCCCTGAGATCCCTCACCTTGTAGCTCAGAGGTCCCTCCTCCCAAAGCAGGAAAAGGCTGTCATTTCCTCCGCTGATGGACAGCTGCAAGCTGCGTTGTTACACCTCCCCTCCAGGGAGTCAGGAGCATTCATTTAGTGCTCATCGATCACATGACATGCATAGGAAAGCCACTTAAGTCGGGAGGGCAGTCATTTGAGGTGGAAGCTTTTAAACCCGCTCCAGGTGGTCTTAAACCAAACCAGACTGTCTTCGGGCTGGAATAAGTTAAGACAACTCTAGCACCTGTTGTTTAATTTTCTTGGAAGGCAGACAAGACCATTTGAGGCTCTCGGAGTTTGCCAAGCAACATGCCAATTACAGAGCAGTGAGCAAAACTTCACTCCCTATAGTTCACTTTTCCCCACCAGCTGTTTCACAAGAACTACTTACTACTGCTAATAATAGCAGCTAACATTTATTGAATACTTAATATTCTTCAGGACCCGAAACTGCTAAGCAATTTCATGTGCATCATCTCATTTAATCTACCACAACGCTAAGAGGAAGGTGTTGTGGAAAGGCCCATTTTACAGAGGGGGAAACTGAGGGTTAAGTGACTTGACCATTGTCACTTAGCATGATGGAGCCAGGATTGGAACCTGGGTAGTCCATGCCCTTAACCACAGCACATCCATCCAGAGACATCTGCTTCACCCAGTCACAGGCAGATCTGCAGAGCCGGTTTTTTGATCTGCAGAGCAAGAAATTCTCAATGGATCAAGCCACAGAGAGGGTGCTGTTGAACTGCAGATCAACTCCTTTTGTTATGGCTCAGCATAATTCACGGCTCTGTGTCCATGGAACTTTCTCTGGTTCATTGTCTTCAGCCCACTAATGTTTGCTCTATGAGAGGATAGTCAAGGAGCTGCTTGTGTTTAGAGACCCAATCGAGGTGGGACAATGAGAATTGTCTCCAGCAGAAGAAGCAGACTGACTTGGCGATGCGTTCTTGAGGGAAGGGTTCTTCCCTCTCTTGTGTACCTGGAAAGCCATTGGGTAGACTTAAATTCTGGAATCATTCCATGCTAGTCATTGAATGAATGGTTCACCCCACTTAAAGGACTGATTGGTAACCATGTGGCAATCAGATAGGAAAGTTACCACCCTAATAGTCCTGAGGGAAGGAATGGGCAAGCCACCACAGGTGAGGTCACTTGATCTGGTAACCAAATAATAGTTCTCCCTCTCTGGTCTCTAGGAATCTCAGCTTTCATCTGTTTCCCTTAGGAAAACCCAGTGGCTTACAGCCCATTCCTAGCACCCTCCTATGTCTCTGGGGTAGAAAGAGGTCTTGTTTTTCAGACAGGCCGCCCAATGGTGTTGCTGCATGCCTGGTTACTCTTGCATCGGGAATCACCATGACAACCCACAGCCATTGACAAGCAGTGCAGTCACCAACAGGAGAGAAGGGAAGAGCCACTGTTGCCCCTAGTTGGGACTTGGAGGGCTCCTCCTGTTTCCCCTTGAGTGTTTAGCAAGACGTGGCCTACAGCACCCATTTTCAAGCACAGAGAAGATTCTGGGCAGGGTCAGAATTCATGGCATCAGCTGTCATTGGGTTCTTCCCCACATCCAGCCTCAGTAGGTTGCTGAAGGTCTAAATTAATCCCCATATTTTATAGGGAAAGGATGATAACATAATGTTCTAAGGTGGGAGAGTGGTCCCTATTACAATTAATGGATAAAGAAATTCAGGATGACAGAGGGTTAATACTAGAGAAATAAAAAGAAGGAAGGCATATTAATGCGGAAGGTTTGGCTCTATATCCTGTAGCTTAATTAGGGGTACAGAATAGCTCCCCTAGTTGGTGTCTTCACTAAGCGTTCGTGCCAATGTGTAGAGGTGATAACTACTTCCAGGGACACACAGAGCACTTTTTTAAATAACAAAGAGCCTTCATAACCCACTTTTTGTAAATTCTCCTACTAAAGGAGCTAGAGAAAGGGTTATGCCAGACGCCTATTGGCGCCATCTTTCTCCTGTTGTATATCTGCATCTGAGTGTTCATGAAACAGAAACAGACTCCCCATCCCTGTTTTAGGAAAAGAAGGCCCACAGAGTATCTTTCTTGGCAGGAGCCTGGGCCCATCTTCCTATCCCACAGTCTTTTCTGGAAGAGCTTCATCCATTCTCCTGGAAGGGCCACTGCATTCTTTCTTGGCACCAGTTTTCTGAGGAGGCCTTGCTCTCTGGAGTTTGGAATATGCTTTCAGCATTTCCAGACAAATACCATAGAAGTGGGAGGGGCAACATAACCCATGTCCTCCACAGACCCTTGGTCAAGTGTGGACGCCACCAGAATGATTGCACTGGGCCACTGAGTCAACATGTGAATTGCTGGAGTTGCCAAAGTGATTTTTGATGCAATTGATCATTAAGCCTGACTCCAGATGTCTGTGTTTTCCAAACTTTGCAAAAAAGGCCTGTGGGCTCCAAGGGCAACCTTCATTGAAGAGCGGATCAGAGCAAAGGCAGTAGCTAACAGTGGGGCTCAGCGATCTTCTCCCCATGGGGCTTTTCAAAAGCCTGGGTGTAGTGGGTCCTTTTAGTGGATCATAATGGACCTGGTTTTCCCCCTGTGGGCCATCTCCCCATGTTACCTGGACCCCAAATGAAAGAAGCTGGAAGCTGCTACTAGTGATAAGAACACCTGGGACTTTTCTGCACAGGCCAGCCCCGGTCCCCTAGCAGAAAGACTTGAGTCACGAGGGTTCTCCCTCATCCCGACACAGGCATTTCATTTCCCTCCTCCAGCTCTAGCTTTTTTGACTCCCAGTGGCTTCTGTTTTCTGCTTTGGTTTTCCTGAAGGCCACAGCTCCCAGAAAGCAAGAGCTCTCAGCAGCACAGCTATGCTGGGTAGTCAATGGGCTGAGTGCTAATACCTCTTGACATGGAACATATGTGGCAGCCAAAAGTGCTCCAAGGAAGGGGGTGGCAGAGGGCCTCCTAGAGCTCACACTTGGAAATAAATTTAGAAGGTGCTGTACATGCCCTCCCACTCTCCAATGTGCCACTCTCCTTAATTTCCTCTGATGGGAGCATGGCTCTTTTTGTTGTTGTTCTGCCTTATTGTAAAATCACCCGCTGCGTTGATGGAGTGGCTACAAACAGGGTACCTCCACCGCCTCCCATCAGCCTCAGGTGGCTCCCTTAGGCTCTTAGTGAGAGGGGACTGGCTCTCACAGCAGCATGACGATTGGAAACAAAATCTTTGGGCTATGATGTCGTGAGTCCAAATACTATCCTACCTCTTACGGGTTGTGGAACTTTGGTCAAAGTTATTTAAGCTCTATGAGCCCCAGAAGGGTCACCTGTCAAAGGGAGATTAAATGGGAGTACCTGGCCTTGTGAAGTGTGTAATATGCATTACCTGTTAGGCCATGTGGCCCCTGCTGTTCACCTGGTGGCTGTGGTTCACCTGGTCGGATCATCTCAGCCTTCCCTCTCTTTTCATTTATATGATCTCCGAGGGTCCTTTGAGAGATAGATCTGGAGCAGGTGGCCCCAAAAGATCACTGGATCTGCATCTGGGGAAATACCGATGAATACAGTATTCACCAGGCAGTCCAGCCTGACTCACTGGATCCAACAGCAGATTGGGCTGAAGTGAGATCTTTGGCTGGGATGTCACAGTTGTCAGTTTGAGCGCCAGGCAGCCTCTTGAATGAGGCCAGCTGGGACATCCCACCTTGTGTGCTATTGCTGTTATCTCTGTCCTACGGTTGTCCCTGGCCTGCTCAGAGTAAGGGGATCACAGAGCCAGGCATATCAGCTCCCACGTCGGCATTCGGTCAGTGATCCTGAAGGGGGAAGCCTTGCCTCGTACAGATGCAAGCCACTCAGTAAAGAACCTGCCACCTCGTGCCAACGAAGGCTTGATCAGCATCACACGCTGAAGCTCCTTCCTGGGAGTCAGGAGGACTTCTGATGCCTCTGCACTCCCAGGAGGCAAGCAGGGTCTTCCAAACCCAACCAGACCTTTGTCCATCTGAAGCATACCCAGGTACAGTGAAGGCTAGCAAAAATAGCCACTCCTCACACATAGGGAAAATGGAAAAGAGAATATAGACTTTAAATAGTAGATAAGAGATGGCTTTGGAGTGAAACAGGCTGGAGCTTCGCTTATTGCTGGGGGACCTTGGTTGAGTCCGTCACCACTCTGAACCTGTTTTCTTATCAGAAAAATGAAGATAATCATAGTGCTGTTGTGGGGGTTACATAAGATAGTGCCTGGAAAGTGCGTGGGAAAAGCACACAGAGATGTAGTCTGTAGAGAGGATGCTGCATTATTATCATTTCACACAGCAGTTACACCAATGCTCCTCAAACAGGGATGAACCAGGACGGAGCAAGCATCCTGGAATCTCTGCTGCAAAAAGGGGGAATCCATCCCTCCGGTGAAAGAGGGAGGCCTGTGTTCAGGATTCCTTATAGAACTGCTAAACCTCATTTCAAATGTTTGTTTACTCTCTATTTGCTCCATAATATGGTGCTTTTAAAATTCCCCTCCAACTCTTGTCCATGTACCAGATAGCTAAGAGCTCCTTTCATGGAAGCCAGGCTGAGTTGACTAGCTGCCAGCCTTCCTCCCAAAGGAAAGAGGGCACAGGGACAGGCTGTTAGATCTTGCTGATGCTGGGGACCAGTGAGGCTGTCCTCAGCATCTAATTCTGGATAAGCAGCTTAATTTTATCTCTCCCTGCACCTACACACCTCGCCTGAGGGAGCCAAGCATCCTGGGAGAGAATGAGTGACCAGGAGACTCTGCCCTTTTGTGTTTTCTTTTGCTCCATGCTTCATGAGCTCTGCACCTTGGGCTATCTTTGCCTAGTAATTCTGCCAGCCTGGGTTGTTTTGATGCCTTACATATTTGAAGTAACATCCCATGCTGAGAGATCTAGGAGCAATAGGAAACAAAGGAGCATCTGGATGAGAAAAAAAGAGCCTCAATAGACCTGATGAGTGAGAAGGATTGCCAGCGTGGCATTTAGTTTTTATGAAGGCAAGTCAAGTTGCCATTTCTTTCTCCCCATGGCCATCGTCCTTGTCTAGTGCCTAATATGCGCTAGAACCAATTGCTACAATTGGGCTTATGAATCTGCACTGGGGTTTCAAACCTAAATGACCACTAAGGCAAGGAAGGTCAAGTAAACTAGTGAAGGGGACACAATAGGGAATAGTGAGGACTGTGGCAAATAGAGAGCATATGTCCTATCTAAAGGGGGCAGCTACTCCATGGCTGCCTCCAGGGAACCTAGGGTTGCCTGAGCTCCTGAATTTTGTTTTTCAAGAGAAAATAGAAATTTGATGTGGTGTGGTGTGGTATGGGGGGTGTGTGTGTGTGTGTGTGTGTGTGTGTGTGTGTGTGTGTGTTGTATGAAATTTTCCAATTTTTAAAACAGAGGAGGATTGAAAAAACACATATATGTGGCATGACGCAAAATGCTGCAATAAGGATTCCATCCTCAGGCTATCAAATGGGCACCTCTGACCTGTTGTGTACTGAATAGTTCAGTGTTTCTTGACAAGATGATGTACTCAGAAGGCCCTGAATGTCAAGGTTTAGAACAAAACACTCACCATGTGTGTACTTTAAAAAAAATCAAAACACTGTGTGTGTGAAGGGTCCATTCCTGAGCCCTGGTTGCTGGACCCCGTTGAGTCCTCCAGCTTTTCTCCCTGTTTCTCTGCTCTATCACATTTCCTTCAAATGCCCCCAAAATGCAGTGACACTGACTAAAATTTAATACACAAAGCATCGGAATTTGCAGGGGGGAGGGATGTTGCAAAGAGTATAGACCGATAGGATGGGTAGACAAGACATTCGTAAAGAAGAAACTGAGCCCTCTAGAGACCTCAATTATCATAACCGCTTCCAGCATGCTCCCTAGAAACATGTGTGACCTTGAAAACACCTGCCAAACTCTCAGCCTCAGTTTCCTCCCCTATCACTTGTGAGTCAGGTTCTGTCCATCTGCCCAGGTTCCTGTGAGAATAATGGGACGTTGGGAAAGCACTTTGGAAAACACAGTATTCTAGCAGTATGAGCATTTTTTTTCCACTGCCAGGCAGGAGGACATCTGTGTGAACCCTTGGGACCTTGCCCATTATTAGACAGATTAAACAGGCCGTTCTTCTTCCACTTGTCACTGCCACAGCTGCTTGCCTGCACGCGGGGTGCACCGGGACCGTGGGGAGTATGAGGCCCGCAGCTAAGGGAGAGGTGGCATGGATGATTTAGCACCATGGGCAGCCCCACCGTTGCCAACTGCAGACCCCCTGGATCCTGGTATGGAGAGACTCCTGAGGCAGGCCAGCCCGGCATCCATCTCATGTGTCATTCCCCACCAGGGAGGGGCTGAACCAGCCTCGAAAGTAAAATTCTTGAAATGCAACATTTCTGCTGGTTAGTTTATTTTCCCCTTCCCCCAGTTTCATTCGAGAGGGGATAAGAAATGATTTTACATTGACTACAAGGCATGTCTAGTCAGTCTAGGATCAGTAAAGGTAATTCTTAGGATCTCAATGTGCTTGACTTGCCAGCCCTGCTCTGGAAAACTGCCTGTCACCCTCGTGGCATCCTCTGCTTTCCCAGACTTCCACCCAAAGGGTAGCTTCCTATGATGATTTTTTAGGGAGTCTGAAGAGCTAAAAACAGCTTCCTCATGGATAGGAAGGCTGACCCTGGAAGGGGTGAGGGATGGGTGCCGCCTTAGAGAAGTGAGACCCTTGAAGCTGCATATGGAGTTATTATACATCTTAATAAAGAATAAGCACTGAGAAGAAAGGGAGGAATAAAATGGCTGTCATTGGTGCCATTATAGAGCTCCTAATCCTGTGTGGAAGGCCAATGGTAGATATCCTATAATCACAAATTGCGATGAGTGCCAGGAGGGAAATAAACGGGGGTGTGAGAGACGATAATGGAGTGAGGGTCCCATTGTAGATGAGGGGGTCAGGGCCGGCCTCTCTGAGGAGCGGACATTTGAGCTACAGTGGAAAGCAGGAAAAGAAGGCAGCCCTGCTGAAAGAAGGTAAAGAGGGTGTTCAAAGGTCCTAGGGAAAAATCTGGTGTGTCTGAGGAATGAAAATGCAGTGGTAGGCCGGGCGTGGTGGCTCACACCTGTAATCCCAGCACTTTGGAGGCCAAGGCAGGCAGGTCACCTGGGGTCAGGAGTTCGAGACCAGCCTGGCCAACATGGTGAAACCCCGTCTCTACTAAAAATACAAAAATTAGCTGGGCGTGGTGGTGCACACCTGTAATCCCAGCTCCTCAGGAGCCTGAGCCAGGAGAATTGCTTGAACCCAAGAGGCGGAGGTTGCAGTGAGCCGAGATCACGCCATTGAACTCCAGCCTGGGCGACAAGAGCAAGACTCCATCTCAAAAAAAAAAAAAAAATGCAGTGGTGGGACTCAAGGGTAGTGAGTTTGGGGTGAGTGGGGTTAGGATGAGGTTGGCGAAAGGGCCAAGGTCAAACCACATGGGGCTCTGTGCTCTCTGTGGGTGTGCACATGTGTGTATGACAGAGAATCCATATGTATGCACATGTGCCTGCCTACACATAGATGCAGTTTTTCCAGGAGGATGACATATAACTTTCATCAGATTTCCAGTAGGATCAGTGATCCAAAAGAACTGTAAGGAATTTTCTGAATCAAATTGCCCGTAGTCAGTCAACTAAAGCTCTAAAACAATTATGCCAAATGATTTTTTTTCCTTTCCAATTCCTGGAAGCTCTGAATCCTAAAACAGAAAGTGAAGCACTTAGGGTGCCTTTTCAGGTCTTCCTTCAAGGCCATGGGTGCAAGAGAAGGTGCCAAGTGAGAGCAGTGTATGGCATAGTGTCTGTAGTGACAGTGTGTGCAGGTGCCCAGAAGTGTTTGGGGTTTCGGTAGACACAGGAAGGCAGGTCTCTCTCTTTTTCTGTTCTGCAGCAGGAGCTCAAGGCTGCAAGGATGAGTGATGGGAGCTTTGCAGCCCATCCCCTGCAGGTGCAACCCTTGCCCCGCAGGTAATTACCAGGATTAGTGAATCAACCAGGCTCTCTTCTGTTTGCAGCCTCCTCAATGCCAACAAGATCAACTGCCTGCGGGTGAACACGTTTCAGGACCTGCAGAACCTCAACTTGCTCTCCCTGTATGACAACAAGCTGCAGACCATCAGCAAGGGGCTCTTCGCCCCTCTGCAGTCCATCCAGACACTGTGAGTACACTGCCTCGGGTGCCAGTGGGTGCCCAAGCAGCAGGAGACCCCAAATGCCCATCATGAAAAACACCCAAATGAGGGCAGCACGAGCACATCCAGGAGGAGTTCTAGAGCCTGCAGGGAAGCTAGAATAATAAAAATCGGAATAGCTTATCAGTACCAAGCACTTACACTGTGCTTGACACCACATGGAGTACTTACCCTGTCTTAAAACCCTTAAGCCTCACAGTGACCCTACTTGGTGCTGTTACTATCTCTTCTTTCTACATAAGGAAACCAAGGCATAGAATGGTTAGGTAACTTCCTCAGGGTCACACAGCTAGTAAGGAGCAGGTTTTGAATCCAGGCAGAGGAGGTCCTGAGCTACCCTCATAACCCCTGTGGTCACTGTATTCTGAGCAGACTCCATTTCTGCAGATAGCCCACTCCTGCCCCCGCTTAACCCCCTCCACCCTGCAAAACCAAGCATCTGAGGTGGGCACTCTTCCTCTATGGGAAGTATATCCTCACTTCCATGCACTACAGGTATTCATAAATATTTCACTTAAATAGATGACCTCCAAGTACAGATTTCAGCCCATTTTTTGATGGCTCCAGTCTCAGGCATAGACCTCAGCCCCATGCCCAGGTCTGCAATTAGCCTCGGGGCTTCTGGAGACCCTGTAAGTCATCTGGTGCTTGTTGCCTCTGTAGCCAGAGACAGGAACCAAGACACAGTAGGAGCAGCTGCTATATATTGACGCCGACCACGTGCCAAACACTGTGTTCGGTGCTTCACAGTTTTTCTTACTGAGGCAGGGGAAGCAAGACCCATGGTGCTCTTATGATGATAAGGATAATTACAACAATACCCGCTACTATATATGGAACACCCACCATATGCCAGGCGCCGTGCCAGCTGCTTTATGTGCCTAGTGTCACTGAGCTTAGAGAAATAAAATGCATTCTACCCCAAGTGCAAACCATGACTGGGTTTGTCTGTCAGAATTGGCGTGGGTGAGAGTAGAAGCAATCGGTGGTGGGTCTTGCCCCAAGTGGGAAGAGCTGGGAGACCGATTCCCCAGACCAGATGCTAGCTGCATCTGTGACTGTCTTTTGCAGACAGCAGGCCTCAGACCCCCTCTTTGAGCCCTGTCTGAAAGTAGCACCCCCTAAGGCTTCCTGGGGCGATGAGGCAGGAGGCCAGTCCTTGCAGTGGATTGCCAGGGCCCAGCGCGAGGCAGGGTGGTGGTGGTGGAGCAAGACGCCGTGGGTCACTCCTGATTAACGGCCCCATCCCTCTCGCAGCCACTTAGCCCAAAACCCATTTGTGTGCGACTGCCACTTGAAGTGGCTGGCCGACTACCTCCAGGACAACCCCATCGAGACAAGCGGGGCCCGCTGCAGCAGCCCGCGCCGACTCGCCAACAAGCGCATCAGCCAGATCAAGAGCAAGAAGTTCCGCTGCTCAGGTAATCAGGTTACGGGGCTGGGCCCCGCTTTCTGACTCAGAATGCAGCAGCCCCAGAGAGGCCAATAATCCAATCTGGAGGACAGCGAGCACTGTAATGGCTCCTGGGGAGCATCTTTGCAAATTAAATTGGGGAAATTCAGTTAGCCCTGCAGAAAACCAGTTACCTTATGGATTTAAAATAAAACACACACACACACACACACACACAATAAAAGCATGGGGAGGAGGAGACGGTTGCAGGGGAGACAGGACCCAGGCAGCAGCGTGTCTCCAAGAGCTAAGGAGAAGGTGGGGCTGGGGCGGCCTTTGCACATGTGCCTGTTACAGGCTAAGATTTATATTTTTCGTTTCCAAAGTGTGCTCCCCAAAGGGCAAGTAGAGAAATACATATAGCTCAGGCGAGGCTACAGACGGTGTGTAATCTTGGGGACCTCCCACTCCCTTCGGAGACAGACCATGGTACAGCCCTTTGACCACAGTATGTTATAGGTTCCACATGTTCACGAAAAACACTTTCACTAGCTTAGCTCCTCCATCCCTGATTACTGTGTTCTGAGTACGGAGAGAACAGTAAAGAGTCGTGCTTGGGAAGAAACAAAGCCTCGTTCTTCTGTGCCCAGGATCTCTCTAGAAAGCTTCCTTCTCACTGCACCCAGGAAGGACATGGGGGAAAACAGCAGGGGAATTCTCAGCCTATCTTGGAAAGAGAAGTAGCTCTCCTTGACCCGACAGCTACATGAACAGGCAGTTAAAAATTACTATCATTTGTGTTCTTTTCTACTGGAAAAAAAATCACCAAACTGCATTGTGCCCCCAATGGTGAAAGACTGATAGCATGAAGTGCCCAGGCGGGTTGCAGCCAACCCTCACGGTGTGTGCAGCAGCAAGAGCAGTGCTTCTCCCCTTGCCCAGGAGCTTCTGATGCAGGCGAGTCTTCCCGGGGAGAATGCCAGCGTGGGGAGAGGTTACTCCCAGGCAGACTTGTGCTTCTTACAACATCTTCTTGTCCTTTAAGTCAAATTCTTTAGTCCATGTCTCCAGAATGATAAGCTTTAGCTCTTTAAATTTTTTTAACAGAAACTAATACCTTGGGAGGGCTTGGAGATAATACAGAGACTTTGTGGCACTGTGAAAAGTTGGTACCGACTTCCCTTCCCTAGAATAATGATGTCAGTTACAACAGCCATCTTTCACCTGCGATGAGCGTGGTACTGGAGGCTTCTAGTCTGATTTGCTTCTTCCAATGGTCCTGGGAAGTCAGTAGGAGAGCCCTTTGCTCTATAGGAGAGGGAACTGAGGACTTAGAGGTGAAGGGGCACTCCAAGTTCACAAGCCAGCAAACAGCGGAGGCAGGACTAAACCTCAGGTTCATTTTGGTCCTCACACCACACAGCATCTGGGAGAGAAGGAATATTTGGGGATGACAATCAGCTGCTTGGATGACCTCCTTCCCTGGTCTCATGCTCCCACCCCTACCCGCTCCCTGAACACTGTCCTCAGGTTCCTTCCTGGGCCTGGCAACATCTCTGGAAAGAAAATCTCACCCAAAGCACAATCGTCCTATCCCCAGCACCTTTCCTCATGACTCACGCCAACCTTGGCCTCTATTCCTACCCCTGTCTGGCCAGGGCTGAGTTAATTAGCTCTGCCAAACAGTGGTACCCAAAAAGAAGGACAGTGAGAGCCAGAGGAGGGCAGGGTATTATCTGCCAACCTTGACCCTTTGGTCTCATAAGTATCCTGTTAGTACTTTGGACCCCAAATGGATGTGGCGGCCCTGCGTGGCACAGCAGGGAAAGAGTGCAGGATCCAAGGACTGGTATCTCCCCAGGAACACAGTCTTGGCAATTTTCTGGGCATGACTGTGGTTGGGGGTGGCAAGGTGGGGGTGGGGCTATAGAAAGAACTAAGTAGGAGAAAAGGAAAATGGAAAGTGGACCTAGGAAGCAGTAGAGCTTAGTTCTAACTCTAGCTCTGCCACTATCGTCCTACCTGTAGATCTGCAGGATCCTGGCTGCTTTTCCTATGTGGGGGAGGGGAAGCTGAACATTTTAAAAAAGAAACAGGGAGAAGGAGCCAGGTTCTTGGATTGACTCTAAGATACCTTTTTTAAAAAAAAAAACAATGCTAAGCGAAAGATTATTCCTAAAAAGTAGAGATGTTTGGAGCTAGCATGAGACTGACACGTAGCACTCTATTTGCTTTTATTTTATGTCATTGCAAAGAAAGCATGACTGCTGAGCTCCAAAGGCCTTGGCTTTGAGAAACATGGGGTTCCAGACCTGCCTTGGCCTTGGAGGGAAAGAAAAACCATAGATGTAAAGCTCTGTGTTTCCAGGAAGCTCCAGAAGAAAGAAGGGGGGCAGGTGACACAGACTGGATGTGACAGATAATAACTCTGCGTTTTACTTTTTCCTAAAAGCACCCCCATTGAAAAGACAGCTGATGTAATTAGGAGGCAATTTGAGGGCTGCTCCGTAACACATCCTGCCCCTCCTTAGGCAGGGCGTCTGGTTTCCCAGCTGCCTGTGTCTGCCTCTCTCTATCAGCTGCATCCGCCGCCTTGGGCAGCAAGATCAGTTTAGGGTTGGATGCTGCCGGCTGGGGTAATCTGACCATCAGATTAAGTCCTCCTGAAAAGGCTCCGTCTGGCTGCCTGGGACCCCAAGCCCATCCCTGGGAGCACTTGGCAGTTGCAGGGTGCTGTCTGTCTTCCTTCATGCCTCCCCGCTTTGTGTGAGAAGAAACTCTCTTGCTGAAAAGTACAGAGGGTGGTGACGCAAAGTGTCCAAAGACGGCGAACAGCAAGATAGCTCTCAAGGAATTACAGAACTTTTAGAAACCTTAGAGGTCATCCAGTTTATTCTAGAGATGGATAAATTGAGGTCCACACAGCAGAAAAATCTTATCTAAGGTATTGAGTATTATTTTTAGGGCAAGATCTGAAACCCAGGACTTCTGACATACTGTGAAGACTCTTGATAATTTACCTACAAATCCCTCCATTTCTTTTTGTAGGAAGAAACCAAAGAGAAAGAAAATTAGATTTTAAGGCTTGGTGAGGGTGGCGGTTTGCACGAACAGGATGGATTTCCCCTGCTCTTGTACCAGGGTCCTAATCAAACTCACATTTGAAGTCCCAGAACCACAGTGTTCACAGAGCCCTGCATAGGTGTCAAAGCAGAGTGGAGTCCAGATTCTAGTGGCTGACTCTAGTGCGTGTGATGAGAGACCTTAGGAAGGAGGAGAGGCCAGACAGACCCAGAGCTGTGGGCTGGCTCTTCCTAACTGGTCCAACATGGCAGACAACCTATGCACCGTTGAGATGCTGAGACCATCTAGAGGATATGCCCAGTCCCAAAAACACATAGTGGAAGAATGTTGATACTGGTTCTCATGTCAGAGGTCAGGCAGGGAGGGTCTCAGTCACTTAGCCTTAGCTCCAGTTTCTTCAAGATGCACATCTCCAGCCTAATGCCAAGTGGGAGGAAGTCCCAAGTCAGCAGGTTCATGGAAACTGACCCTGATCTATCACAGAGAGGAATATAAAAACTGGGTACCCTCACCTGGGCCTTTGGCATCCTGACAGTGGTTATTGGTTCATCCTGTTCGCTCCCATAATTTCCAGCTAAGGAAGAGAACAAGAAATCAAGAAGGACCCCAGAATTCAGTGTCTTCCCCTCAGACTCATCACTTGGCTTCCCTTTCCTTCCTTCTCTTAGTCTCAAAGAGGCCCTTCATCAGGAGGCGCACTGGCCACCATCTCTGTGAAAGTCAGTGTTCTCAAACAACAACTATGATTGCAGGTTCCTCAGTCCAAACCCTACGGCCCCATTTGTTTTCCTGTCTTTCTCTCTGGCTAGAGAGATATATTTTCTTTTGACACCCCACTGCTCCTCTATTAAACCTCAAATGATCTGGGATGAGTGTCTATCAGCCAGAGCATTCCTGCTGACCTCAAAGGATATAAAGGAGACTCCTGAATTGTGGAATGTCAAAGGGGGCTTTTTCCTAAAGAACAGCATTGAAGGTTTGCTAGACCACTGGGAACTGTGGATTGTCTCTTGACTTAAGGGGCTAGAGGAATGACTGTGATGGAACCACTCAGCTGTTGGGGGGATTGGGCCTATGTTGCAAAGCATGCAGAAGATGCTTTTCTAAGTTTAATGTCTTGTCAGACCAACTGGTGTGACTGAATGGAGTTTAGAGGCTCAATTCAGGCATGTGATAGGATCACAGATGTCTGAGTGTTCTTTCTTTCCTTGGGAAGGAACCATGCTGTCCTGAAGCTCCCGAGTATGGGCATCCAGTGATTTCCCTCCCGTTCTTCTCCCTTCCTACTGTGTCTCCCTGGGGTGGGGCACAAGGGCAGCAGGGCTGCAATCTTCGGAAGTGTTCCAGTGGAACCCCACTCCTGATACTAATCACGCTCAGTGGGGGCCTGCTCCGGCTTCCGCTTCTCCACGCTGCTTCCTCTGAGCGCTCCTGTCCTCTCTCTGACGCTGCTTCCTGACCTTGACTCTGACCAGTCGCTGCGGGGCTTTCCTTTGTGCTTGATCTAACCATGTGGTGGAACGATGGAAACGGAACATGGTTCTGTCAAGCACCGCGGAAAGCACCGTGCTCTCCTGCAGCATGGCCCGCCACCGCCGCCACCACCGCTGGACACCTCTCCTCTGCTCTGGAGCACCGCAGCCCACCACCTGCCAGACCCACCTCTCCCAGTCTCAACTCACCAAAGGCAGGAGGGTAGGAGTCTCAAAGGATGCAGATACAGAGGGAAATGGGTCTGGAGAAGCACCCTGGGGAAAGAGATCTGTATCCACATCTCTTTCCCAAAATGGAGTCACCCTCCCCCAAATCTAGTCTGGATGTCAGACAAGGAGTAATAACTAGGTTCAAGCTCAGAAACTACTGTGTCTCTTCTTCCACTGGAAGGGAACAAGTATACCCAAGGCATACGCCCCATGGTTTCATGGGAGAGTCCCAACCCAAGGTCATTTTTCCAAGTGGCAGCTAACCCAAAGGGGAATTCCTACTGCTTGTGACCCCCGACCCCTCCCACCACCACCTTTATTGGTATTCACTTTATTTGAAATGAACGTCAGCATGAGAATGGGTGAAACTCATGTGAGTCTGAGACTTTGGGTTTAACCCAAGGTTCCTTCTGAACCTCATTCCCATACTTTATGAAAACACAGTCCCTGAACCCCATGAAACCTAAAGTCCAGTCTGTTTCCTTGACCTGCAAAGCACAGTTAACGTGGAGGTGCTGGGCTCCTCACCTGGTGCTAATTCTGTTTCAGGGGAGGGGAGTGTGTGTGGACGTGGAAACCTGCTATCTCTGATAATAAAGAGAGGGATCTTGGTACCTCTTATTTTGCTTGTTCCTTGATAAATCCTAGACCCAGTGTAACCAGAAGACTGTGTTGTTCATTCCTGTCCTGGAGTCTTTGTCCTATTCTGCAAGAGAGAGCTAAGGTGGGAACTTTAGCCTAGCTCAGAACTAGAAGCTGAGCCCTGGGCCCCCATCATGAGGTGTGACTCTTATTACCTCGTCTATCTGAGGTTACCCCTCAGAACCAGGAGCCCAACCATTGCTTAGTAGTTTTTTAACATACATTGAGTGCTTGCTATAGGCCAGGCAGTGAACTGTTTTCACATCATTACCTTGTTTAATGTTCACAAAATCTAAAGTCCCACTTTACAGATGAGGATATTGAGGCTCAGAGAGGTTAGCTAACTTACCCAGGGTCATCTGATTCCAGAATGGCTGCACTGTACTGCTGTAATACCCACCTTCCCAGCTGTGGACAACCCCATTGCCTTGAATTAGAACATTTAAAAACTGTGATTTGATAGGGACTTGAAATTTGCTTAAACTCTCCCTTTCAGACTTTCATCTGTTAGTAGAAAGAACTTGAGTAAGAGAGAAAGCATTATTCAAATGGCTGTTCCTCTCCAGCATGGACATACAAAGATCCCATTTAACACAGAGCAAATCCTCGAGCCTGGAGAAGTTCCCTTTCCCACCTTACAGAGAGGGGCATTCTGAGGCCCTCGGCACTGCCCCTAACATGGCAGGGACCAGGCCTCTGGGAGTGGGTCCATAATGGTGCCCTTCCATCAGTGCTTTACTGGCCCCGCAGCCACAGGCTGTGATGAGGCAGTGCCAGCCTCAGACCATGGGTATTTCCCTCTGTTTTCAGGCAGATGGCTGCACTCATAATAGACTCCAAAGGGGATAGCTTACTAGGACGGCTCCCTGCCCAACTGGTGACCAAACTCCTAGTAAAACAGTTGGCATCTTCCAGCCACTGGCAGCTGGTCCCCCAGCCTTGCCCATGAGTGGATGTCTGTGTGCCTGGCAGTGTTCTCCTTAGTCATTCATCACTTATGACCCTTTGCTTATTCACATCACTGTCTTTTCAAGCTGATGAGGCCTGACAGGACTTACGCTCCCCCCAATTCCTCTTTCTGCTTCTTTCCTCCTTTCTTTTATTCCACTCATCTTAGGGATATTGGGAATAGGGGAGGAGAGCTCTGGAAACATGAGTTAGCAAGTCCATGATGATCAGATAACAATGAATTTATGACTCCCAGTCAGCAAACTGGCTGCCCAAAGGATGATACAAAATGCATACCGTTGATGGCAGCAGCCATCCTGGACCTGGTGCTGGCCTCTGATCCCAACCCAGCCAAGTCCATTCAAACATGGGAGCTTGGCTCCCTACCTGTCCCACACCCCTGGTCATCCAAATGTGACAAGTGTTCCTCCTGGGAAGTGGCTGTAGGACAGGGATGTATAATAAAATTGTGTTGCTGTAATTTCCACCTCCTACCCCCACCCCCCCGTCTATTAAAGCTTGTCTGTGATCACGTACCAAGTGTCGTTGTTCTGAGCTGCCCGCGAAAGGGGAGGAGGGCTCCAGGGGCAGGAGCAGGCAAGATGCCAGATGACATCAGCTCTTCCAAGGCTGGTTTCAGCCGAGGTTGAGTTTTATGGCCCTTCTTCAAATCCTCTGGGATCTCTTCTGTCTGAACTCACCCCAAAGAGAAGAAGCAACAGCCTATTGCAGTCGGTCCTCTATTACTAAGTATTTCTGGCAGTGACAAATATGCACTGAGATTGAAATTGACTTTTAAAGCTCTGGAAAAGTTAAAAATACTTTGGGGTAGTTATGAGCATTAGGCATAACAAATGGCTCTGAGAAACCCTGAGTAGTTTCGGTAATGAAATATGAAGTGATGGAGATGGCATTTCGGGCTGGCTCTGACTGGGGAACGAACTTTTTCGGTTATGTACATACGCCGTTATTAACATTTCTGGCTCCCACTCGTATAAAATATCACATTCCGACCCCCTTGTTATTACAAACCAGGGCAATAACAAAAACAGCAGGGGGAAAAATGCTGGAAAGAACACATTAGTCCATCGAATCTAATTGCAAAATCATTTCATTAAAATGGGTCAGCGGCTCCATTGCAGAGGTCCACCAGTTATAATCTAACTATACTACTGAGAGCGATTCCTGCTAACTACAGGCTGCTCTCACCTTGATTAAAATGAAAATGCATTTAATAGGCGGCTGTCCCCAGCCACAGCCCAGCCGGTGCACGCCTTCAGGCTCATCGCCTTGAAGAGCAAACTGTTCTTCCTCCTGTCTTTCTGCCTTTGATCAGCAGTCAGGGTTCCTTCGCTTTGCAAGGATCCCATTATAGACACATTGTGAAGGAAAAATCTCTGTATGTGTGTGCAATGCCCCTTCGTGCCATCACTCTGTGGATCCACTGGTGCGGAGAACAAGAGAAGGTAGTCATCTGACAGGGTTTGCAAAATGAAATTCGCCCAGGACTCGGCACGCTGATGGGTCTGGAAGAAAATGGTGCAGGTCAGAGTTACCAAAAGGGACGAAGCTGGCAAGCCAAGGGCAGGAGATTTGCATAATACAATGAACCAGGAAGCCACTCGAATAACTGTGGGGATACGTGCACGGAGTTTGCTCACACAAGCCTAGCGGTAGAAGGGGAGATGGAGGAGCGGAAATGGAGAGAGAGCAGAGAAGGAAAGGAGGACAGGACCAGGCTTCTGACTCCCTGTCTTAGGTAGGTAGTGTCACATCAGAATTAGAGACCCACCAAGTTCATTCTCGATCAGGAATTACCACAAGGAAATCACAGAAGGCATGCAAAACTAAGAGGGTGGGAGAGATCTGCGTCCTTCACCACCATAGCCCACTATGGAAAAATACCCCATTCAATCCACCTGCACCAAATCTGGCTAGATGATCATTCCTACAGGGACCTGGGAAAACCTTTGGGGAGAAGCAAGTCTGCAGCAAAACATGTTAACCACATGGAACCAGACAGCAGCCTGCGCAGACTGAGTGACCTGTGGGCCTCAGTTTCCTCGTCTATAAAATAGAGTTATCCTAACCTCAGAGTGTTGCAAGGATTAAATGAGATCATTCATTTGAAATGGAAAGAATAGTGCCCGGCTCAGTATATGTTCAGTAAATGGCCACTGTTACTGCTAGCTACATTCATATTTTCACAGCCTCTGAGCTGCCAAATGTTCTGCCAGGTTGTAGAAAAAAAGCAGTTGCTAGAGTCACAAGCATGCATACCACTCCTGAGGCTCTCCACCTCCTTAATGTTACTTTCATCTGCACAACAGCCCCTGGAAGATAAGGGCAGTTATTTGATTCCCATTTTACATGGAGAGAGACTGAGACTAGTAAGTTGCCAAGGCCTGAACGAGCCTGTGCTCCCTTCTGCTAAAACCCATGAAAAGCTAATGCTCCTAAATGCAAATAAGATCACCAAGTTGCCTCACCTAGTGGAGCAAACAAATAATGTTCACATTCTCTGAAACACTTCCCAATACTCATGTACAGGACACTCAGGTGCTCATGACACCCCACTCGTGCATTGGACAAATGTGGACCCATCTCTTGTTTTGTGTCTCGCATTGTGCTAGTGAAATGTTGAGTGTGAAAGGATGAAGAAAACCTGGCCCCATCAATAAGCTTATGTCTGATGGGAGAACCAGAGCTCCTTCAGTTCCAACCAGCATGATTCAAGGTCTCACAGAGGTTTGCCCCAGTGCCCAGGGATCATTTGTGATCATTGAGGCAACTCGCCGAGGCATTTCTCAGAGACACCACGTTGTTGGTCCCATTACCATTACTGTGCAACTTCGGGAGATTTGCTTTTCAAAAAAGCAAATCTCAGCTCCAACTTTTAGCTCATCAGAACGTGCCTTTCACTATAGTTATGTAGAATGTGCTCTGAAAAACAGAGGCCAAATCTGACCCTCAGATACAATTTGCTCGTCCTCGCGGCATTTTAAATTGGAATTTATTACCAATATTGTTTATATGGATTCTCTTTTTAAAAAACAACAAAAAAGCAACATCAGGCAACCCTGAGCCAAATTTCCAAGCATTAAGGCTGGGGCTCCAATTCCCCAGGTTCCCAACCCTCGTTGTCTTCCCAATCTTACAGCCAGGCGTCGATGGTCATTTATTGCCATGTACTTGGCCTGTACTCGTTTTATTACCTGCTGGGGTAATAAAGGCCCCTAAGTTTGCAACCCCTTCCCATAATTTACCCCTACCCCTGGCATAGCCCCCGTCAAAGCATCATCAAAATCTTGTCATTTGGATTTTCATGAACATTTAGAGGGTCCATGAATGATAGGAGTTGTGAAGCAGGTAGACCCCCTAAAATCGTAGACTGTACACCTGCACCAAGGAGCACTTCCCCGAGGAGAACATTCATAACTTTCATCAGCTTCTCAAAAACGTCTGTGACCCCCAAAAGCATAAGGGCCCACAGATCTTGAGTCTGGTCTTCCTGAGGATGGTGATGAATAACAAAGATCCATGGGAAGGAGGCAGTAAGGCTGGGGACAGGGAAGGCACCAGCAAGGTGGCCATATAGCAAAGGCGATGCCGTGTCTGTTACTTGACCCCTAACAGCCCCCAACTCATTCCCCCATCTCTGTCTCCCACCCCCACTACCCACAACCTGGGGCTGTGCGTGGAACTCGGGTGACGCTGACGTCCCCTCTTTGGCCCCTCCCAGGCTCCGAGGATTACCGCAGCAGGTTCAGCAGCGAGTGCTTCATGGACCTCGTGTGCCCCGAGAAGTGTCGCTGTGAGGGCACGATTGTGGACTGCTCCAACCAGAAGCTGGTCCGCATCCCAAGCCACCTCCCTGAATATGTCACCGACCTGTAAGTCCAACCTCGGCGTGAACTCCCTACTCCTCCCCACACGCCAGTCACCCGGAGCCAGCGTGGGCAGGGTCTCCTGGCGGTGACCCCTTCCTGGCTCAGTCATGTGGTGTTTGTTGGCTGTCTTTCACATACTGGTCTGAAGGTAGATACCCAGGCATCTCCTGTGGACAGCTTGCTTGCAAATAAAGACAGTTCATTCCTTCATTCTACACATATTTTCTGAACACCTACTGTGAGCCGGCATCATGCTAGGCCCACCAGTTTCTACAACAGAGCAGAGCAGGTAGTCCCTGCCAACCCTTACGGAGCTTACAGTAAAACCAGAAAGTTGGGTGCTAAATGAAGAATGGTAGTGAAGTGAGAAAACAACTAGAATGATTAAATATATCTGAGCCTCCAATTAGCCATGTTAATAAAGGGATGTGTTGGTTTATCAAAAAAAAAAGAGCTAAAAAATTATAGCTGGGCCATGGTTGGTGGGTCATGCCTGTAATCCCAGCACTTTGGGAGGCCAGGGGGAGAGGATCACTTGAGGCCAGGAGTTCAGTACTATCCTGGGCAACATAGTGAGACCCCACTCCCTTACCCCAGTCTCTACAAAAAAAAAAAAAAAATTTTTTTTTTTTATTAGCTGGGCATGATAGTGGCATGCACCTGTGGTCTCAGCTACCGGAGAGGCTAAGGCAGGAGAATCACATGAGTCTAGGAATTCAAGGCTGCAGTGAGCTATGATCATACCACTGCACTCCAGCCTGGGCCACAGAGTGAGACCCGGTATCTGGAAAAAAAAATTTTTTTTAATTAAAAAATTTTTGAAAAGTTATAGCCTCGTGGAGGACAAAGGCACAGCATGTGGGGACCGACAGACATGGGGCTGACACCTGACTCTGGCAGGCTTCCTAAGATTAGGCCATTTGCTCCTTGGATCTGAGACTCAGTTTCTTAGCTGTCAAATGGGGGAGATAATTAATGCCTACCTCCTACAGTGGTTGGGGAGACTAAGAAAGATGATGCAAGCATGGAACTCATCTTGAATCCTGGCACAGAGTAAGCCCTGGATGAGTGGTAGTGGTCTTCATTATTATTATTATTGTTGTCCTCTCTAATTTCACAAGTCATCAGAGGAAACAGCAGGCCCCTTTCCCTGCCCTGCTGCTCTCCCTGAATACCTGTGAAGTTCCCGAGCTGCTCCTGGTAGAGGGAAGTGCTTAGGAAGGAGCTGAAGGGCTTGGAGGGTTGGGAGACCCTGGAGAAACCTTCCTGGGGGTTTTAAGTTGTCATTGGTATGTCCACAAAATGAAAACAGATCCTTGGTAATTGATGGGTGCTGAAAACAACGCATGCCCACGCGGAATACTCAGAAAGTCCCCTAAACCCCAGCCGAAGGAGGCTTCCTCCAGGAGAAGGAGGAAGCAGCACTGCATATGCCTCCCCAAACTGCTGGGCCCCTCTGTTGATGGGACTGATGTCAAAGCTTCCGATGGCTCTGTGGTCCTTCACCGAGTGTGAGGTTCAGGCAGCAATGCAGCAAAGCCATGGGGGGTGGAAGGAGGGGCCTCGTCCACAGCTAACCTACCACTCATCTTGCTTCCTACACAGGCGACTGAATGACAATGAGGTATCTGTTCTGGAGGCCACTGGCATCTTCAAGAAGTTGCCCAACCTGCGGAAAATGTAAGTCAACTTCAGGAACTTGGCAGCAGCCTCTGTTCTCTAGCCAGAGCCTGTGTTCTAGACTAGAGGAACCAGGGGACCGGCCTCTCCCCCAGCCTCTGCTCCACTCCCTCCCAGCCTTCTCCTCAGCCCCGCTGTGGCCTCTGTTAGGAAGCAAGACATGTAGACACAGACCAAAGTGATGCTTCATGGTTTCAGTTGAGTGTTATACAGAGCGAGCATTCCACACCATCCCTGACCCCTCCCTGGACCCTCTGCTCACCCCACCCCTACACGCCATCCAACACCTACCCCAGGGCTGGTGGGTGGGACTCAGGTAAGGACTAGCAATGGGGCACGGGTATCTAAGGTATATGCTATTTGGCAATTTTTGTGTGGTGACAGTTAAATGTCTGTTTTCAAATGGAATCAAAAGACCCCTGCATCAGTGATACACATCAGAATGAACATGCCAGCAGCTTCCCACAGTGGGTTTCCTCCAGGAGTCCGTGGGTCTGACCATGCCTTGGCCTAGGCAAGGGCCCACTTGCCTATGTTGGCTTCTCCACTGCCAGAGATGCAGATCATCCTAACCCTCTCCCTGCACAGGAGCTCAGACCTAGTCATAAAGGTAATGAGAATGATGTTGGTGCACCAGTAGAGTCCTTGTCCTGAGCTAAGGACCATGCTCCCTGCGTCACACCCATTGTCTCACTGAGTCTTCACCCACCCATCCAGTGCTGGCTTCACAGTCCCCTTTGTGCAGGTGAGGAAGCCAGGGCTCAAAAAGTTTCTGTGACTTCTCTAAGACCACACAGCTAATGGGTCCCCGAGCTGGCATTCAGACTTGGGTCCACCTGCAGTCATGCTAGTGTGAGGCTGGCTTGCTTCTCCTCATCTTCCGTGCGGGGTCCCCCAGCAGAGGTACCAGCACAGAAGAGGAGGCTCTTTACCATCTAATCCCCAGGGGGGCACTCTTTGGCCCCTCTGCCTTACCCCACCCCCTACTTCATGTCTCCTGGCCCCAGAGTTCAGGTGTGCCTCGAAGACCAGGGAAGTAAAGTCCATCCTCATGATTCATGGATTCCATATTTGAGAATTCGCCGACTCACTGACATTTGTGTAAGTCCAAAGTCAAGACTCTCCGTGCCTTCACAGTCATTCTCGGGTGTGCACAGAACAACAAAACAAAAACCAAAACAAAAACAGAGTCACCCACACCCACGTTCTCAGCTGGGGTCGAGCGAGGCCACGCTCTGCCTTCTTCTGTCACCTCTCATGCTGTAAACCAGTGTCCTTTTGCGTTATATTCAGTGCCGTGGGTTTTGCATGTTTGTGGTTTTTGTTGGTGATTTTGCTGTTTAAAATGGCCCCCCAGACATACTGCCGAAGGGCTGTCTAGCCATCCTAAGTGTGCAAAGGCTGTGATGTGTCTTACAGAGGACATATGTGCGTGAGAGCAGTTTTATTACAGGCTTGAGTTATAGTGCTGCTGGCCATGAGTTCAACATTATGGATCAGCCATATGTATTACATAAGCTATCTTTAAACAGAAGCATACATATAACAAGGTTATACGTCGATAGGTTGATAAAAATGTGGAGACCAGAGGCTCGCAGGACCCTAATCTTGTATTTCCCTAAGAGCAATGCTTTGGTATTCACTAATGCAGTGTTCCCAGCAACTGTATACAACATAACTACTGTGAGTACTGGTTGAGTATCCCTTATCTGAAATGCATGGGATCAGGAGTGTTTCAGATTCCAGATTTTTTTGGATTTTGGAATGTTTACATGTACACAATGAGATGTCATGAGGCTGGGATGCAAGTCTAAACACGAAATTCACTTGTGTTTCATGTACACCATATACACAGCCTGAAGGTAGCTATGTGATATTTTTAATAATTTTATGCATGAAACAAAGTTCAAGTACATTGAACCTTCAGAAAGCAAAGGTGTCAGGTGTGGAATTTTCTACTTGTGGCATCATATCAGCACTCAGAAAGTTTCGGACATTCTGGTTAGGGATGCTTACTTATAATGAGAGTGGACTGTACCACCTCGTTTTTTTCTCATTACCCATGCTCCCACCCATCAGTTCCCTGTAGACAAATATGACAGAGGCCTTCTAGGCCCTGGGCAGCATCTGGATCTCACTGGTGCTACTCAGATCGCTTTCCTCCCTCCGTCCCTGCCTGCAGCCACCACCTTGGTCATGGCTCCAGCGAATGCTGTGTAACCGGGTGCAGTGGAGAGCACGTTGGGGGGCCAGCTGAGAGAAGGGCACACTTGGGTGAGGATCATGGCTGTCACTGGGGTCCAGTGCCCCACTAGCTTCAGGGTCCCAACACAAACATCACCCATCACCTACCAGGAATTATTCTTTTTATTTCAAACCAGAGAAATGTACTTTGTTTTTAACCTGAAGACAGAAACTTACAGGCCTGTGGGCGTGAGGCAGATATTAAGATGAATCAAGCTGGCCAAGCGCATATTTGTCTTCTGAACAGGATCTGCTAGTCTTTGCTTCTGCGAAGAAATACGTACTCTCCCATTTGAGGTGAAACTCAAGCACTTGGAATCTTTCATCCTCCCAGTTTTGATAGGAACATGAGTGTAGAGAATATTTCTGTATGCCCCAGAAAACAACAGCACAAACACATGATAAGTGTCAACCAACTCCCAGCATCAGCAACCAAGCAACAAAAGGGAGTGGTGAGGTCTCTGGAAAAATATGGGCCTAGATCTCATCAAAAGGGACAGATGTCACTCAGCTCATCCCAGTGCTTGCCATGTTGGAATAAAAGTGAGGGCTGCCAAATGTTTCCATTTCTCAAGAGCTGCCACAACTCCCGGTGTGGAAGGAAAATGGGCAGACAAGCCTATGTGAGTTCTGAGTTCAGCTCTGCCCTTCCCAGTTATGTGACACCAGGAATGTCCTTAGCCTTTCTGAGCCTTAGTTTCATCATTTACATAATAGAAATAAATCCACCTTCCTTATAAGTTATGATGTGGATCAGAAATATGAGGAAATAAAGATGAAAGACATGGCTGTGGTACTGGGGAGACAGGGTGTGGAAAGACAGGAGAGGGCATCTGAGTTGAGTGACCCAGAGTAGCTGGTTATATATTTAAAACAGGGGTTGGGTTGGGCACGGTGGCTCACGCCTGTAATCCCAGCACTTTGGGAGGCTGAGCCAGGCGGATCACAAGGTCAAGAGATCGAGACCATCCTGACTAACACGGTGAAACCCCGTCTCTACTAAAAATACAAAAAAAATTAGCCGGGCGCAATGGCAGGCGCCTGTAGTGCCAGCTACTCGGGGGGCTGAAGCAGGAGAATGGCGTGAACCTGGGAGGCGGAGCTTCCAGTGAGCCGAGATCCCACCACTGCACTCTAGCTTGGGGGACAGAGTGAGACTCCGTCTCAAAAAAACAAAAACAATAACAACAACAAAAATAGGGGTTGCACACCCAGACACTTTCAGGAGCCTGGGAGTAGCACAAATGTGGAACTTGGCTGCGTGCAAGGCCATAAAAATAATAATAGCTAGCAGTGAGCACAAATTAAACACTTTACCCTGCGCTAGACAGTACAGATATTAATGCACTTAACCCTCACCAAGAAACCCTCAGGGGCTCTGAACTAACCCAAAGATGGAGAGAAGCCCCCTGGGTGGCCCTGGTTTTACATTTTGTGGTTTCCTGGGATCTGGGGCAAGATACTGCTCTAAGAATGTGATCGGCTCTTACAAAACCTCCATGCACTTGTTTTGTTTCTGGAGTGTTTGCCCCAGGCTGCACTTTCTGTCCTTCAGCTACTGCTGCCTGTAGTTGCGAGCAGTGCTTTGATGGATGTAGAGACGGCAGCAGCCAGCTTTTCTGGAAAATTATATCCCCCTCTTTTTTACTCTCCTTCTGTTTTCCATTCTCCCAGCCTGAGGAAATCCAATTCACAAACCTTACAGTAATGTGATGTTAATTTTGCTCATTTAAAGAAACAGATGTCAGGAAATGGGAACCCTCCCACTTCATAGCTGCTTTAACTCATCTGCATTGCCCATCACTTGTATTTTAATCCCCACCCTCCCCAACAAAGAAGCTCAACTCTGGAGCAAAAGCCTTCTCTTCTGGCATTCGGGTGACTTATAGCTGCTGGAGAGCCTTTATCTCTCCTCCTGCATCTCATTTGGGGGTAATTGGCAGTCTCCTCAGGGCATTACCTTCATTCCTGGGTTATCCCAGACCAGGGCTACCAGGATTTATAAGAAAACCGGCCAAGTTTAAGGAGAACCAGGCAGGGAGTGGAAATCCAGTCTGCGAGTCTGCTGACTGTCTCAGACCTTGGGCGAGGGATGCTGGGAATGCTTACTCCTGTTTTCCTGGCAGGATGGGAAGGAGAGAAGGAGAACGAGGTCATGCCAAGGAGTAAGGAGGGAACCAAGGCACCGGCTGTTTCCTCCACACCTGCCCACAAGCGCAGGCATGGCCTCACCCTGGGGGCCTGGTCCCTCCTTGGGAAGAGGGCAGTCAGCCTGCATTGAGTCCCCAATTCTGTCACTTGCTCCAAGTCAGTCCCTAAGGGAGTTCTCGCCCCCTGGCATTGTTGTGGGTCAGCCCAGAGCTCAGACCAGGGACTTGGTATGGTCCTAGATCCCCTTCCAATGCTCTGTGACCTGGAGCAGTGCCCTCCTGCTCTGGGACTCAGTATCTTCAGCAGTAAAATGGTCCTGGTCTATCTCTGCGAGCCCGCCAATTCTGCCAGCTTTCGTGTGCTCTGTGAGTTCACGGGCTCCACCTCCACCTGCGATTTCCTTGTTTGCAGAAGATGGTTCCCCATGCAAGGCTCTGAATAGGCTGTCTGCTTGGGAGGCTGGACTCTCCCCTGAGCTAATATAAACACTGTCATCACCTTCAGTTCATCCATCTGGCCAGGGATGCTTTCCAGGGCCAGGCATTTTGATGGTCCACACAAGCCCCCCAGCAACCCTGCCAGGGAGAACTGCTAACTCGCAGTGCTAATGGCTCTGCAGCATCTGCTTGCTGTTCTGATCTCTCTTGAGGTCTGTGCAGGATGTCAGCATGCAGCCTCGGAGGGAAGGGCTGCTTTCAGACCTCAGGGGCAGACTCAGAAATGGCAGCACCAGCCAGGCATGGCGGCTCATGCCTGTAATCCCGGCACTTTGGGAGGCCAAGGTGGGTGAATCACCTGAGGTCTGGAGTTGGAGACCAGCCTGGCCAACATGGTGAAACCCTATCTCTACTAAAAATACAAAAAATTAGCAGGGCATGGTGGCAGGCACCTGTAATCCCAGCTACTCGGGAGGCTGAGGCAGGAGAATCACTTGAACCCTGGGGGCAGAGGCTGCAGTGAGCCAAGATTGCGCCATTGCTCTCTAGCCTGGGCAACAAGGAGAGAAATTCTGTCTCAAAAAGAAAGAAAGAAAGAAAGAAAGAAAGAAAGAAAGAAAGAAAGAAAGAAAGAAAGAAATGGCGGCACTGAGGGTTTGATAGGACCAAGCTCACTTTAAGCAAATACAATATCCAAAATCTTGAATTTTGTAAAGAAGTAATATCCACATAGTCAAAGGAATACTCACTTATGAAAGAAGAGGTTCAATGGAGTACATTTGATATGCCAGAAAACCTGGCTTCAAATCCCAGTTCTGTCAGCTGGGTGACTGCAAGCAAGTTAGTTAATCTCTGTGAACCTCAGTCCCATCATCCGTAAAATGAGACGATAATAATAAATGAGTCCGACAGCCATCGTTTTGAGGGTTTGATGTGGTTGTGTTGGTCAGATCCCTCATGAGGTGCCTAGCACATAAGAAGTGGTCAACAATAGTAACTGGAAAGCACCAATTTATTTGTATCAGGGATCCTTAACTGGTGAGAAAGCTTAGAAGTTCCACAAATGCCCTAGTCCCAAGGAGTGGGGAGCATGCTTTATATTTTTCTCCTGCCTTCCTCTTGAAAATCAGTGCTTAGTGAGAATCTCTAATGAAGACAGAAAATAAGTTTGAGAGTCACTATTTTAACTCTGTCAGTCCCCCAGAGCATTGAAAAGACAATTACACAGAAAAAAACTTCAAATCCCATCCAGCCTGTTTTTTTAAATTGATACATAACAATTATACATATTTATGGGACACGTGATATTTTGATACATGCATGCAATGTACAGTGATCAAACAGGATATTTAGGATATCCGTCACTTCTAACATCTATCATTTCTTTGTGTTGGAGGTATTTCAAATCTTTTCTTCTAGCTATTTTGAAATACATATTGTTGTTAACTATAGTCACCCTACTGTGACTGTCACCCTATCTAACACTAGAACTTATTCCTTTTAGCTCCCCCATTAACCAACCTCTCTTCATCTCCCTCAAACCTTCCCAGCCTCTGGTAACCATCCTTCTACTGTCTCCCTCCATGAGATCAACTTTTTTAGCTCCCACATATGAGTAGGAGCGTATGATATTTGCCTTGCTGTGCCTGGCTCATTTCACTTAACACAGTGACCTCCAGTGCCATTCATGTTGCTGCAAATGACAGGTTTTCATTCTTTTTATGGCCAAATAGTCTTCCATTGTGCATATATACACCACATTTTCTTGATCCATTCATCCACTGACCATACAGTCTGTTTCACAAAGGTAGCTTCACCTGTATAGGGCCAGGGTCCCTGCTCCCTGGGCCAGATGCTGAAGACCAAAGTTCAGGGAGCCCCAGACTGAGCTCCTTCCACCATCCAGTCCTCAGTCTCAGGGGCCCCAGAGAGTCCCCAGCAGCTGCAGGGCAAGTCATCCCCTCCCGGCATCAAGACCATCTGCTCCTTTTGATTCTCCCCTATTCTGTTTCTTCCTTCTAGAAATCTGAGTAACAATAAGATCAAGGAGGTGCGAGAGGGAGCTTTCGATGGAGCAGCCAGCGTGCAGGAGCTGATGCTGACAGGGAACCAGCTGGAGACCGTGCACGGGCGCGTGTTCCGTGGCCTCAGTGGCCTCAAAACCTTGTGAGTGCCTGGGGTGGGGCCTGGGCCAAGACCCAGAGGGAGACGGGAGGGCAGGGGAATTAGAGACAGACTACGAAGGCAAGTGGGACCCAGGCACTGTCTTGGCCTGCTGAATCCCTCTCTTCCTGGAGTCAGAGTCATCAGACATTCTGGAGCCTTGGATGGGAAAGAATTTAGCATGCTGAACACCTCCAGCATGCACACTCACACACACACACCACACACACACCCAACATAGTCACCCACTCTCGTGTATACACGTATATAGATTTATACCAGAAACTTGCTGAAGGAGGCACACAAACAGACATTTACCCACAAACATAAGCATAAGGACCTTTATAAAAATGATATATGCAGACACGTGCAACATGCACATAAACATATATACAAACAGGCACAGACACACAAGCACACACATACATACAAGCTGATGTCTACAACCACGTCTTGATTCTCTCTTCTCTTCCCAGAAATATGTGTGCACACCCTAGCAGCCACACAATATGCGTGTGTATACACACATATGCATGACATGTGCTTCCAAGAAAGCATGCACAAACAATAATGTACATACACATTTACACACAGCCCCAGTGGGGCTCCAGTCCCTGCTATCACAGGACAAACCTGATCAACATGGCTGGACTGAGCTTAGAATTGGCAAAAGCATCTCACCTATACACACACACACACCACCGTGGCACCATTTGGGACAGAAAAGATCATGCCTGTGCTCTCTCATCCCCACCCCTCTCCCTGTAGGATGCTGAGGAGTAACTTGATCGGCTGTGTGAGTAATGACACCTTTGCCGGCCTGAGTTCGGTGAGACTGCTGTCCCTCTATGACAATCGGATCACCACCATCACCCCTGGGGCCTTCACCACGCTTGTCTCCCTGTCCACCATGTAAGTTCTCCTGGGTCCACTGCCCACGGACTCTGGGATCCCACTCTGCAGCGCTCTCTCCTCCCAGCTCCCTGCTACCTCTAGCCAGGCTCATCTATCTGTCTGTCCACTTAAAAACTCGTCAGGCTTTCTGTATGTGCCAGGCAGGCATCGTCTAGGTGTTGAGGCTGCACACACCCGGCCCCTCCTTCCTGGAACTCACAGCATAGTGAATTGCCACAGAAAGCATGTCCACAGTGATTTGAAAACCCAAGCTGGAAGGCCAGGCATGGTGGCTCACGCCTGTAATCCTAACACTTTGGGAGGCTGAGGTGGGTGGATCACCTGAGGTGAGGAATTCGAAACCAGCCTGACCAACATGGTGAAACCCCTTCTCTACTAAAAATTCAAAAGTTAGCCAGTTATGGTGGTGAGTATCCGTAATCCCAGCTACCTGGGAGACTGAGGCAGGACAGTTGCTGGAACCCGGGAGGCGGAGGCTGCAGTGAGCTGAGATCATGCCACTGCATTCCAGCCTAGGCGACAGAGCAAGATTCCGTGTCAAAAAAAAAAAAAAAAAAAAAAAACCAGGGGCTTTGTTGAGAAACACTGGAGCTGTATTCTGGAAGGTAAGTGGGAGGTAGCTGTTGAAGAAAGTGGACAGTGCAGTTCCTTCAGAGGGAAGGGCATGTCCAAGGGCCCTGTGGTTGGTCGCAACAGAGCATATATGTGGGACTGAACATCTGTCAGCATGGTCACAGTGCTGAATGAGGGAGGGCATGACATAAGGCAAGGCTGAAGAGGAAGCCAGGGTCAGGCTGCAGGACTGCTGTGGGCCATCTCGTCTTTGTCCAGAGCACATTAGGAAGACTGGGACCTTTAAGTAGACCTTAAGTAAGACATCACCAGACAGGGGTTTTAAAAAGATGTCACTGGCAGCCAGGCTTGGTGGCTCACGCCTGTAATCCCAGCACTTTGGGAGGCCGAGGCAGGTGGATCACAAGGTCAAGAGATTGAGACCTTCCTGGCCAATGTGGTGAAACCCCATCTCTACTAAAAATGCAAAAATTGCCTGGGCGTGGTGGTGGTGCACACCTGTGGTCCCAGCTACTCAGGAGGCTGAGGCAGGAGAATCGCTTGAACCCGGGAGGTGGAGGTTGCAGTGACTCGAGATTGTGCCACTGCACTCCACTCCAGCCTGGCAACAGAGCGAGAGCGAGACTTCGTCTCAAAAAAAAAAAAAAAAAGATGTCACTGGCTGCTTTCAGTGGGTATCAGGACCAGAATTAGAACCCAGCTTTCTGGGCACCTAAAGGAGTGCTCCTGCCCGGGTAGTGCGCTGTCGTGGGAAGGGAGCCTCTGTGGAATAATGGGTAAGACTCTAGAGCCAAATTTCCTAGGTTCAGATCCTGGCTGTGCCTCTTGTTAGCTGTGTGACCTTGGGAAAGTGACTTCATCTCTGTGTGTTTCCATTTCCCTTCTGCATAATCTACCTCCTAGGATGGTTATGAGGATTGAATGTGGTGATGCTTGTAAAACACACAGCAAGGGCCTAGGTGTAGAAAGTGCTCAACACGTGTGTGTTTTACAGCTGCTCGTCGTATTTCCATGTGGCTCTGTTATCCTTAGTCGCTGGTTTATTGTCCCGTCTCTAACCTTCCCCAAAGACCCTTTAGAAGGCAGAAGCAAAGGCTGCTGCCACACCTCCTGTTGCTGCCCTATGCCTACTGCACTTGGAATCAAAGCCGAAGTTAGAGGAGGGCCTAAAGGCCGGCCCCACGTCATCTGGCCCCTCATGCCCTGCCTGTCCCCTCCCTCTCTCCATTCTAGCTCCGTGGGGCTCCTCGCCATTTTCCCATGATCCAAGCCCACTCCAACCTTGGAACTTGGCACTCCCTGGAGCACCCTCCCCCAGCCTCCCTCCCCCTAGCCTCTCTCCCTTCCACCTTTGCTCAAGGGTCACCTGCCTCACCCCGTTCTACCCCTCTGCCATAGCCCCAATCCCTCTAGCCCTGCCCCTTAATATTACAAAGCACTAACCATGTCCTAACATACTGTGTCATTCACTAACTTGCTGTTAATCATATATTATCTGCCCACCATCATATAAGATCCCGAAGGACAGGGATTTGTGGCTGTTTTGTTCACTGCTGCATCCTTAATGTTTAGATCTGTGCCAAGAGCACAAGCAGATGCCCGGCATATAATTGTTGAGTAAAGGAATGAATCGAATGAACGAGTGATGTCAACAGGAGAGGACAATGGGTTGGGAGCTAACATCAGTGAACTGGTCCATTTTAGTCCATATTTAGCCCCTCCTAGGTACCTCCACATTGGAAATCCAAAGACACCTAAGATGCCCAGAAGGGCAGAGTCCCAAAGCATTCAGGGAACCAGCTCTGACCCATGAAGTAACTTGCCCCGCTTCACACAGCTACTGAGTGTCAGAGCCTGGACTCCAACCCCGAAACAGCCACTCTCAAGCCCTTCATTGCTGTATCATCCTACAGCCACTCAAGGGCTGTCTGTCCCGCTTAAATAAGCTCCCCAAGCTTCACTTTCCTCATGTGAGAAAAGGAAGATAATGTTACCTCCTTCATAGGGTCGCTGTGACAGGAATGAATGAGACAATGGATTTATAAAGTGCGTGGCATGGTCCCAGTCCTGTAGTAAACACTCAGGAAGGGATAGCTGCCATCATCCCCTCATCTCTCCATCAGTCCCATTGTTTCAGTCCACAGATGCATATAAAGTGCCTGTGATGACATAACGCTAGTTTCTGGATATGCAGAGGCAAACAGACCCTACCCTCGTGTATGTAGAGTCCAAGGTGCAAGGCGAGCACAGAAACCAGTCACCGCACACTCCCATGGGTGCTATGGGGAGAATGAAAGGGAATGAGGGAAAAGATATGATAGGGCTGAAGTATCCCACTTGATATGGGGGACTCAGAGAAGGCTTCCTTGATGAAATGTCATTGAAGCCAAGGACTAAAGAATGAGAAGAAGCCAGCCAGGCAACCTGTAAAGATACGGGTTCCCAGCAAGGAGAGTAGCAAGTGTGAAGGCTCTCGGGGTGAATCTCTGCTAAGGACCCAAAGGCAGTTCACACAGCCAGGGCTTGGTACCCAAGGGAGGGCATGGCGAGACACCACAGCCACATCCATCAGAGGCGAGGGTCTGGAATGAGACCCTCACAGAGACTGCATCTGGGGAAGAGCCTACGTTTCCTTCCTGAGACCTCCTCCTTCCTGGCTAGGAGAGCTGGGCTCTGGGCAGCAGATCCCAGGGCCGCTCCCACAGTAGAAGGATGGAGGCTAAGCACCCTTCTCTCTTCCTAGAAACCTCCTGTCCAACCCCTTCAACTGCAACTGCCACCTGGCCTGGCTCGGCAAGTGGTTGAGGAAGAGGCGGATCGTCAGTGGGAACCCTAGGTGCCAGAAGCCATTTTTCCTCAAGGAGATTCCCATCCAGGATGTGGCCATCCAGGACTTCACCTGTGATGGTAAGAAGGCTGTGGGTCAAGGTCTGCGGGGAAGGCCCTGGGAAGGCAAGGAAGATGGCGAAGATGCACAATCAGATACTCCCTGAGATCCAATTCCACTTTGCTTTGGGCATGCAGCTGGAGCTCTGGAGAGCTCTGCAGATCTGCTACTAGCCCACATGGCTCCTTCATGCAAATTAAGAAAAGGTGCCCATTTCAGCAGTCATTTTACTTCCATCAGTTAGAAATCTGTCATAATATATTGATTTCATTAAGACAAGACACCTGTCCATTAAAACAAGATACTGCCATCTATGAGAACACTGTTGTACCAAATATACTCATCTATCATGTCCACAGTGAGATTGGTGCCCCTTAAATGATATGGCACCCTTGTGGAGTGCACAACCTATACAACTGTACATGGGAGCCCTGGCCTCAGTCTTCCTGTCAGCATCATGATGAGACTCAGTATGTACTCATGAGAAACAGACTTCAAGAAAAGTCTTGTCACTGGCTGGGGATATGGATATCTGAGGCTTTGGTTCTCAGGATCCCAGAGGGCATATTTATTTGCATAAATTCAAGCCAGCACAGTTCTTTACTTGATCAACTTTGGGTTATCTAGAGACAGATAATTAACTGAGATTAAGGCACAATGGAGGCTTGGGACATACTCAACACCCCGGAGGGACTGTGTAGTTGTGGGAGCAGAGAAAGAAAGGAGAAAGAGGAAGGGAAAAGACAAGGCTCTGCCCCCCTCCCCCTGACCACTCCTTCAATCAATTCGGCTTATTCCTGATATGGTTAACGGTGACCTCTTTCCTGTTACTCTTGCTGAGCCTCCTTGATGGTCTTCATCTTATGTCAAATGAGGTAAAAGGTAGGCGACACCCGCCAACCACGGATGAGACCAGCGGGTACCCTCTTCCTGGTTCTAGAACACAGCGGGGACAGGGGACAACTTGTCTTTGTGGAGAACACGCAGCCTTGCTCACTGGCTCCCCCTAGTGGGGCTTATCTCCCACAACCCTCACCCTCTCTGGGGCTCTCCACAGGCAACGAGGAGAGTAGCTGCCAGCTGAGCCCGCGCTGCCCGGAGCAGTGCACCTGTATGGAGACAGTGGTGCGATGCAGCAACAAGGGGCTCCGCGCCCTCCCCAGAGGCATGCCCAAGGATGTGACCGAGCTGTAAGTACCCCCAGCTGCCTCCAAGCACCCTGTCATCTCACCACCAGCAGCATCCTCCATACTTTACCCCAGAATCTCAAGCAAGGCAACATGGCGAAACTGCCGGGGGGAGACCCTACTTGAATGGATCCCAGCAAGATGGCAGTGGAGCCCTCACCAAGATGGCAGCCATGGGCTTTGACAAGGGCACAGGAAACATGGCTCCCCCAGTGCCTCTGCCTGGCAGAGGAGGAGTCTCTGACCCTGTAATTCCTAAAGATACCCTGAGTATAAGTGGGAGGGTTATTGCCTCATTTTCCGTATCACCCCTGAAACCTCTGCTCTGTACACCCTCTTCCTAAGACTCCTCAGCAGTCTCTCAGTCTGATCCCGGCAGCAGTGCAGGATAATTGTGAAAACATTGTCCAGCGGGCACCGTGGCTTACAAAGCACTTTTCTGAATAGGATCCTATTCCACGTTCAAACAGCCCTGTCAAGCATGCGGCCCCATTTTACAGATGAGGTCTTAGCTCTGAGTCCCATTCATTCTCAGAACAGGAGCTTTCTTATTCCACAACCCGAGCTCCTGCCACTGACTCCTCAGGTCCTGTTTCTGCACCAGAAACTCCCAGCTCAACGAAAAAGGTGTTAGCCTCTTCCTGTAGGGCTCTTAATATTATGGAGAAAATCCTATTTCTGCCCCCCAGGAAAGCACAGACAGAAGGACAAGGCACGGTCCCCCAGTGAGGGGGCCTCCCTGGAATGCACCAAGAGCACTGCAGCTAGGACCAGAGGAGCACCACACACTCACACAACCAACACACACCATGTGCACACTCGCATCCATCCACTCCTTCACTCATCCACTCAACGCATATTGACCAGGTTTCTCAGGTATGAAGTACTCTGCTCACATTGGAGAGACAATGGCGAGCAAAATGGGTGTGACCCCTACACTCACGGGGCTCGTGGTTTATTAAGGAAGGCAGACATTCACTCGATCATTGCAGATGCACATGCGAAGTGACAACTGTGAAAAATGCTACAAAAAGAGAGGTACAAGGTTGCTAGGACACGCAAAGTGAGAAGTGTGACAGAGACATGAAGCTCTGAGAAAGCTGCCCTGGTGAAATGATGCTAGAGCCGCAATCTGAGGGGTGAGGGGCAGGTCACTAGGAGGGAGGAGGCAGTGCTCTGGCTGAAGTTGCTGCATAAGCAAAGGCCCTGTATGGGAGCGGGCAGAGCCAGGGAGAGGCAACAGGAACAGCCTAAGTGCCTGAGCAGCAACACACCCACAAACCCACACCACACACCACCACACCACACACCACACATCCACACCACCACACACCACACACCACCACACCCACACCACCACACTCACACACCACACACCACCACACCCACACCACCACACTCACACACCACACACCACCACACACCGCCACACCCACACCACCACACTCACACACCACACACCACCACACCCACACCACCACACTCACACACCACACACCGCCACACCCACACCACCACACTCACACACCACACACCACCACACACCGCCACACCCACACCACCGCACACCACCACACACCGCCACACCCACACCACACACCACCACACCCACACCACCACACACCACCATACCACCACACTCACACACCACACACCCACACCACTACACACCACCACACCACCATACTACACACCACACCCACACCACCACACTCACACACCACACACCACCACACACCACCACACCCACACCACCGCACACCACCACACACCGCCACACCCACGCCACCACACTCACACACCACACACCACCACACACCACCACACCCACACCACCGCACACCACCACACACTGCCACACCCACACCACCACACACCACCACACTCACACACTACACACCACCAGACACCACACACCCACACCACCACACTCACACACCACACACCACCACACACCCACACCACCACACTCACACACCACATACCACCACACCCACACCACCACACCCACATACCACCACACCACACATCACCACACCCACACACATCTGATGCTTGACTTTGACATCTCTTTTGCCAGGCCCCATGCACATCCCCTTTTCTGGGCCAGGTTAGCACGTACAGGCATACCTTGGAGATATTGTGGGTTCAGTTCCAGACCACCATAAAGCACAAACTGCAATGAAGCAAGTCGCACAAATGTTTTGGTTTCCCAGTGCATATCGAAGTTATGTTTATACTATACCGTAGTCTATTAAGTGTGCAATCTCATTGTGTTGGAAAAAAACCAATGTACCAATGTACATACCTTAATTCAAAAATGCTTTATTGCTAAAAAATGCTAATGATCCCCTAAGCCTCCAGCGCGTTATAATCTTTTTCCTAGTCGGGGGTCTTGTCTTGATGTTGATGGCTGCTATCTGATCAGGGTGGTGGTGGCCAACATTGGGTGGCTATGGCAATTTCTTAAAATAAGACAGTAGTGAGGTTTGTCACATCAATGGAGTCTTCTTCATGAAAGATTTCTCTGCAGTACACAATGCTGTTTAACATCATTTTCCCATAGTAGAAGTTCTTTTAAAATTGGAGTCAAGGTCAGGTGCCGTGGCTCACGCCTGTAATCCCAGCACTTTGGGAGGCCAAGGCAGGTGGATCACTTGAGGTCAGAAGTTCAAGACCAGCCTGGCCAACATGGTGAAACCCCATCTCTACTGAAAATACAAAAATTAGTAGGGCATGGTGGCATACGCCTGTGATTCCAGCTACTGGGGAGGCTGAGGTATGAGAATGGCTTGAACCTGGGAGGCAGAAGTTGCAGTGAGCCAAGATCGTGCCACTGCACTCCAGCTTGGGCAATAAAGTGAGACTCTGTCTCAAAAAAAAAAAAAATTGGAGTCAGTCCTCTCAAATCCTGCTACTACTTTATCAACTGAGGTTATATAATATTCTAAATCCTTTGTTGTCATTTCAACAACGTTCACAGCATCTTCACCAAAAGTAGATTCCATTTCAAGAAACCAATTTCTTTCCTCATCTATAAGAAGCAACTCCTTATCTGCTCAAGTTTTAGCCTGAGATTGCAGCAATTCAGTCACATCTTCAGGCTCCACTTCTAATTCTAGTTCTCACTATTTTCACCATATCTGCAGCTACTTCCTCCACTGAAGTCTTGAACCCCTCAAGGTCATCCATATGGTTGGAGTCAACTTCTTCCAAACTCCTATTAATGTTGCTATTTTGACCTCCTACCATGAATCACAAATGTTCAAATGGCATCTAGAACAGTGAATCCTTTCCAAAAGCTTTTCAGTTTACTTTGCCCAAATCCATCAGAGGAATCACCATCTATGGCAGTTATGGCCTTACAAAATATATTTCTTAAATAATAAGACTTGAAAGTTGAAATTACTCCTTGATCCATGGGCTGCAGAATGGATGTTATGTTAGCAGACATGAAAACAACATTAATCTGTGTGTACATCTCCATGAGAGCTCTTAGATGACCAGGTACATTGTCAGTGAGCAGTAATATTTTGAAAGAAATCTTTATGTTTGTGCAGCAGGTCTCAACGATGGGCTTAAAATATTCAGCAAAATATGCCATAAACAGACATGCCATCATCCAGTCTTTGTTGCTATATTTCTACAGCACAGGCAGAGTAGATTTAGCATAATAAAAGCCCTAGGATTTTCAGAACGGTAAATGAGTATTGGCTTCAACTTCAAGTCACCATCAGCAGTGGCCCCTAACAAGAAAGTCAGCCTGCCCTTTGAAGCTTTGAAACCAGGCATTGACTTCTCCTCTCTATCTGTGAAAGTCTTAGATGGCTACTTCTTTTAATAAAAGGCTATTTTGTCTCCACGGAAGATCTGTTGTTTAATGTGGCCACCTTCATCAATTATCTTAGCTAGATCATCTGGATAACTTGCTACAGCTTCTCCGTCAGCACTTGCTGCTTTACTTTACACTTTCCTGTTATGAAGATAGCTTCTTTTGTTTTGTTTCGTTTTGTTTTGAGATGGAGTCTCGCTCTTTCACCCAGGCTGGAGTGCCGTGGCGCAATCTCGGCTCACTGCAAGCTCCACCTCCTGGGTTAATGCCATTCTCCTGCCTCAGCCTCCCCCTTAGCTGGGACTACAGGAGCCCGCCACCACGCCCGGCTAATTTTTTGTATTTTTAGTGGAGACAGGGTTACACCATGTTAGCCAGGATGGTCTCGATCTCCTGACCTTATGATCCACCCGCCCCGGATTCCCAGAGTGCTGGGATTACATGTGTGAGCCGCTGCGCCCAGCCGGCTTCTTTTCTTAAACCTCATGAACCAACTATTGCTAGCTTCAAACTTTTCTTCTGCAGTTTTCTCACCTCTGTCAGCCTTCACGGAATTAAGGAGAGTTAGGGCCTTGCTCTGGATTAGGCTTTGGCTTGAGGGAATGTTTAGCTGGTTTGATTTTTCTATCCAGACCGCTAAAAGTTTTTGCATGTCAGCAATAAGTCTTTCTCATGATTCATGTGTATATTGGACTAGCACTTTTAATTTTCTTCAAGAACTTTTTATTTGCGTTCACAATTTGGCTATTTGGTCCAAGAGGCCTAGCTTTGATCCGTCTTCGTTTTTGATATGTCTTCCTCACTAAACTTCATCATTTCTATCTTTTGATTTAAAGTGAGAGATGTGTGATTCTTAGAGGCCGTTGTAGGGTTATTAGTTGGCCCAATTTCAATATTGTACTTTGTCTCCGGAAATAGGGAGGTCCGAGGAGAGGGAGACAGGGAACAGCTAGTTGGTAAAGCAGTCAGAGCACACACAACATTTATCAATTAAATTCATCATCTTTGATGGGCATGGTTCGTGGTGCCTCAAAACAATTACAATAGAGACATCAAAGATCACTGATCACAGATCACCATAAAAGTATTATAATAATGAAAAAGTTTTAAATATTGTGAGAATTACCAAAATGTAACACAGAGACATGAAGTCAGATATGCTGTTGGAAAAATGGCACTAATAGACTTGCTTGTGGCGGGGTTGCCATAAACCTTCAATTTTTAAAAAACGCAATATCTACAAAGTGCAATAAAGCAAAGTGCAATAAAACAAGGTACGCAGTACCCTCAGATGTAAGTGACAGAACGCGACCCAGACTCCTCCAGAGTTGCTTTGATCTGCCCTTCTAATAATGCTTTTGGGGACAGAACCTGAACATGCCAGTTTCTTAGACTAGCACATGGCGTGAACCTCCAGGGTTCATGCCATTTTCCTGGCTTAGCCTCTCCGGTAGCTGGGACTACAGGCGCATGCCACCACGCTCAGCTAATTTTTGTATTTTTTTTTTAGTAGAGATGGTGTTTCACCCTGTTGGCCAGGATAGTCTCGATCTCTTGACCTTGGGATCTGCCCACCTCAGCCTCCCAAAGTGCTGGGATAACAGACACATTCTGACAGTATCATTGCAGTACCTGCATCCAGCCCTAGAGCCCGGTATCTTCCAGTGCCTTCTTCAGTTATCTGAGTTGATAAATTCTCTTTATGCTTAAGGTGGTTTGAACTGATTTTCTTCCTCTTTGCCCAGGAGGAAAGCTAATATACCACTTCATAAGCTAGCTGTAAGCATTAAAAGACCAGATGCCAGTGGTTCAGAAGCACTCAGTCACATTAGCTATGATGATTGTTATCACTGTCATGACTCCTCCTCTATGTTTTTGAGTGGATTTTGGGGCCAGTCCCCTGGGAGTTACCCACATAGAGTAGAAGCCTGAAAGTGTGCAGCTGGTATGTCTCAAAGGCCGTGGTGAGTCCTGTGACCTGATTCCAGGACTGCAGAGGAGACATTGCATCTTGGCAGAGCGGTCAGCACCTGTCCCCTTTCTCTCTGCATCTTCCATTTCACCCCACTCCTCAATTCCCATCAGAGGCCTCTCTGGGTGAGGAAGAAAATGCCTCATTTTTACATAGGCCAGCTCCCTCCAGTCTGAAATGGGTGCAGATAAAAACATGCTAGCCTGCGATGGGGAAGCAGGTAGAATGTGGTAGAAAGAGCACTGGGCTAGGAGCCCAGAGGTGAGTCCCAGCCTTGGTTCTGCCTGTGCCTTGGGGCTACTCAGCAGCATCTCTTCCCACTCCTGCCCCCAGAAGCCACATTGCAGCCACACCTGTAGCTTCTTGTGATTCCCCCAGTGCATATGCCTTTCCTGACTTCAGGGCCTCTGTCCAGGGCATTTATATTCTCCCGGCCTAGAATGTTCTTCACTCCCATCCCTACTTAGGTAACCCCCTCTGGTTTCTCAGTCTCAGTCCTGGAAGCACAAGTTAAGAGGAGTGATTCTGAAAACAAATAGTCTTGGGTTTAAATTCCAACTTTACTACCTACTGATTGCATCACTTTGGGCAAGTTACTTAATCTCATTCAACCTCTATTTACTGATCTGTGAAATGGGGATAACAGCGGTATATCCTTCACAAGGCAGAGGGTGACTAAGATAACATAACTAAAGCACTTAGCCCTTTGTGCAGCACATAGTCACGGTTTGATGAATGTCAGTGCTGATTATTAACCTTCCTTTCAGAAAGCCTTTTGGGTGGCTAAGACTGGGTTAGGTGCCTCTCACTTGTATCCCCATGGCTCTTCTCTCAGGTATCGCCTTGTGTTGTAGTTGCTTATTTACTTATTTCCCCTTCTAGACCAAGAGCTCCCTGAGAGCAGCAATTGTGTCTCATTCACTGTTTGTTTTCTTTCCCCCTCCAGAGTTAAGCACAGCAACTAACCCGTAGCAGGCATTCCTCTCTGAATCTGTCTTGTCTTCTTTTTTTTTTTTTTTTTTGAGACCGAGTCTTGCTCTGTCGCCCAGGCTGGAGTGCTGGAATGCAGTGGTGTGATCTCGGCTTACTGCAAGCTCTGCCTCCCGGGTTCACACCATTTTCCTGCCTCAGCCTCCCGAGTAGCTGGGACTACAGGTGCCCGCCACCATGCCCAGCTAATTTTTTGTATTTTTTAGTAGAGACGGGGTTTCACCATGTTAGCCAGGATGGTCTCAATCTCCTGACCTCGTGATCCGCCCGCCTCGGCCTCCCAAAGTGCTGGGATTACAGGCATGAGCCTCCGTGCCTGGAGGCACATGGATTCTTGAGTGTGTGTTGTGGCTCCAGGCATTTCCCAATGCTCAGAAAAACTGAAACTAGGGCTGCCAGCCCAGGGGAAGGAAGGGAGGTCTTGACAGTTGCTAAAAAGTTCATGTCCACCGTGAGTTTGAGCTGGGGTCATGCCCTGGAAGTTCTGTGTACAAAAATGCCCCCACGTGCAGTGAGCTTCCTGCCCTTCCCTTGGACCGGGCTGTGCCATGGGACGGGGCTGCAGAGAATGACCCAGTTATACTCTCCTTCCTGGGCCAATTGAGTGCCAAGTGACACATGTCAAAGGACAGAAATGCCATGACGATAGCCCGTGAATGCTTTTCCCCAAAGCTCATGGAACGAAAACTGAAATAACAAAGATAATTGGCTGCAATTATAAAGTAAACTTCAGCACTTTGGGAGGAGACCTGATTTTCTGATTTGGAAATGGTATCACTTCCCTTGGCCAGGCATGGCTTCCAAAGTGCACCGAGGAAGGCAGCCCTCACTTCTTTCCCCAAACCGTCTTCCTGGGGTGGAGGGTTGGGGGTAAGCAGGAGAATGAGTGTCAAAGAAAGTGAAAGCTGGCAGACCTGGAGAATTATGGCTGGGAGCCTCTGGTTCAGAGACATTGGCTGAGTCCAGATCCAGGGTTTCCAATGCAAGCTTTTCAGCTCCCTTGGGTCTCATTAGTTATCTCAGGCAGAGCTGCCAGCTTACAAAACAAAATTAAGTTTAATTCACCAAGAAAAAACAAAAACAAAGTTGCCCAGCATTTCTCTAAAGGGCAGAGTGTGAGAGGCTGTTGCAAGCATGCAAGACCCCAGCAATGCCATCTGAGCAGGAGGTGATTTTTTTCTCCAGTCAGCTCTCTATTAACCCTCACTGGCCCTTCTCTCACAGTCTCCTTTCAGTTCTACCCTGGGTGAGTCAAGCCAAACTGAGCCTCATTCTCACATTCAGTCTTGCAAGTGCTCTTTGAAGTAGGGCTACAGTACCAGTTGCCCTCTTTGTCTGACCCCAAATCCTGTGCTCATGCCCATTCCACCAGAGGCTCTTAAATGTTTAGGTCTCAGGACTCCTTTATGCTTTTCAGAAGCATCCAGGACTCCAAGAACCTGTGTTTATGTGGGTTATAGCTATTGATATTGATCATATTACTAACACTGAGAAAATGTTAAAATATGCATTAATTCCATTTAAAAGTAACAATTATATACCCATGACATGTTTATATAAAAAGCACATTTTTAAGACAAACCAAAAGAAATGCAGGTGAGAAGAGTTTCATTGTTTTATATTTTTGCAAATCTTTTTAATATCTAGCTTCCTAGAAGACAGCTCAATTTTCATATCTGCTTCACCATTCACTTTGTTGTGGTATGCTTTTTGGATGAAGGATAAGAAATTTGGCTTCACACAGAAATGTATTTGAAAAGGGAGGAGCCGGGTGCGGTGGCTCACGCCTGTAATCCCAGCACTTTGGGAGGCCGAGGTGGGTGGATCAGCTGAGGTCGAGACCAGCCTGACCAAAATGGAGAAACCCCGTCCCTACTAAAAATACAAAATTTGCCAGACGTGGTTGTGGGCGCCTGTAATCCCAGCTACTTGGGAGGGTGAGGCAGGAGAATCACTTGAAGCTGGGAGGGTGAGGCAGGAGAATCACTTGAAGCTGGGAGGCAGAGGTTGTGGTGAGCTGAGATTGCGCCGTTGCACTCCAGCCTGGGTGACAGAGTGAGACTCTATCTCAAAAAAAAAAAAAAGAATAAAAAGAAAGAAAAAGCGAGGAATACTTTAATAGTCTTTTCAGGTAATTATGGGTGTTCTTCTTTGATTAAGACCAAAGCTCAACAAGTGGCATTTTCTTAAAGGCTAGTTGTAGTGTGGAACTGCACTTGTACCAGTGAACCTTTGGTCCTCTGTTACATAACTCTACCGATCTGTCTTACGCTTTGAATGGAACTTTCCCCATGCACGATCTTGTAATATCATGTGTTGGTCAATGGAAAAATATCGGTTCACTGAGTTATGCAGATCTTCCAAATGCTAACACATTTCATTATACAATATATTTTTTAAATAATGTCCTTTGATATCACCGCTGATCTCATCAGAAAAGTCTTTAAGTGAGGGAAAGTTGTTAAGCTCAATGTGGCAGTGAAAAGTTTTCCAAAATTTTAATTTTTACTTGGAAGCACGAATTTATCATTGGCAACAAATACTGTGAGCTGCTTTTTTTTTTTTTTTTTTTTGAGATGGAGTCTTGCTCTTTCACCCAGGCCAGACTGCAGTGGCGCCATCTCGGCTCACTGCAAGCCCCGCCTCCTGGGTTCACGCCATTCTCCTGCCTCAACCTCCCCAGCAGCTGGGACTACAGGCGCCCGCCACCGCGCCCGGCTAATTTTTTGTATTTTTAGTAGAGACGGGGTTTCACCGTATTAGCCAGGATGGTCTCGATCTCCTGACCTTGTGATCCACCTGCCTCGGCCTCCCAAAGTGCTGGGATTACAGGCATGAGCCACCGTGCCCAGCCTGTGAGTTGCTTTTTTTAAAGTGATGGGCTTACTTTGTTCATTTTCAAGAAATTATCTACTAAATAGCCATGTCTGAATAATGAGTTTGCCAGTCTTTCTTTTAGGTAAAAACAGTGTTCCATGAAAAAATGTAAAAGCCAGCTAGTTCAGCTTGCAACTCAATTACACAGGTACTTTTCTCTAGACAACCAACATGCTGTGTGTGTACATCTCCCATTTTGTCATACGGGACATTAAAGGAATGTGTGCTCAAGAGTTGAATGTTAATACAAACAATAATTCTTGGTACTTCATCAAGGGCATTCCTGGTTTTGGTAAAACCTGCAAGTGCACAGAGGTGAAGAATACAGTGACCACCAGTTTCATTTGGTAGCGATGTCCTGATTCATGCTGAGGTGCCAGCAGTTTTACCCTCCACTAATTTTGTACCATCAGTGCAAATGTCAACACAGGGCAAAAGGAAAATAACATTTTAACCTTATTGTAAATATAGTTTTGGCCTCATAGACCCCTGAAAAAGCCTCAGGGACCCCCGGGGTCTATGGATGACACTTTGAGAACCACTCTGGTCATTACATATTGGTGGGCAATGGATAGAGAGAGATAACTGCTCTAAGTCAGCACGAAGTTCCTAATTTAAAAGGCAAGCTTACAGAATCTTATGGAAAGCAGGACAGAAGCAAATACAGGACATCTCAGCCCTCAAAGTCACCAGAATACTCTCTGTGAAGGTAGGGCCTCACTGCCTTCAGAAAGTACAATTATTGCCATGCAACTGTCCTTTTAAATTCATGCTTACCTCACTATTTTAGAACTGAAACCTAAAAATCTGCTTGCTTCCATTTATGGAAATGTTTACAAACATCAGGTTTCCTGGTTCTGGAAACAAACTCTGCAAAGCCTACATCTTCATAACGGTTAGAGAAGAAATGCAGAATCCAGTGCTGGTGAACAGCTTTCCCCCATATCTACCCCTGGTTAATATCCATGATGTTTAGACATATATTTTTGGTCTAAGGACAATGAGCATGGATTTGTTGTCCTATAACTTGATATCCCAAGGAAAAGAGGGGGGAAGGATGACATAGCTCCAGGCACAACTATTGGAAGAAAGGATTTGTATTAGGATGCGGGGTCTGAGAACACTGTGGGAAGCAGGCTGGCAGTGTGCATATGCATGTGCATGTGTGTGTGTGTGTGCACAGCACTGACAGGAGACAGGAAAAGGATGGGGCTCAACCAGGAGGTAGGAGGGCACAGGGCTGAGATGCAACTCTCTGAGAGTGAGTGTGGCAAGAGGTGATGACAAGAATGCACTGGTTGAAGAAGCAAGAAGGACCTGGCCTGGCACTGTGTGGGTTCCAAGGAGTTAGGGGATGGAGGTCTGGGGTCCAGAAAGCTCAGTGGCACTTGGTCCTCATCCATAGTTTTATTGGGGGAGACATGCAGGCAGGAGAAGGGGGAGTGCGACGCAGCAGATGACAAGCACAAGGGAGTGGCTCAGGCAATATGTGCTCTGGGAAGAGAGGAATCCAGGAAATTCTGCCCACCTGGCCTTTAAGAAAGCAAGCAAGAATGTCCTGCCTATGCTACAAACCACCACAGCCACCATTTCTAGAGCATTTACTGTGTACCAAGTGCTGTGCTGGGTTTTCTTAATAGGTAATCTCATTTCACCCTGCTAACAACTCTTCAAGGCAAGTGTCATTATTCCCATTTTGCAGGTGAGATAACCGGAGCTACTGAAGGTTGAATAATTTTTGACGATCACACTGCCAATAAGCAGCAGACTATAGACTCAAGCCCAGGTCCATCTGACCCCAAGTCCTCCCTGTGGCAGAAACCCAGGTCCCTATGTGTTCTGCCCAGTGGCCTGGCTTGCTGGGGGCTTACATGGGTCCTCTTGAAAACTGACATCTGCATTGCAGCAGGGAGGAGGCAAGCCCAGGCACTCTGCATTGCAGCAGGGAGGAGGCAAGCCCAGGCACTCTGCATTGCAGCAGGGAGGAGGCAAGCCCAGGCAGCCTGCCATGAGGCTATAGGTACCTGTCAGTGGTTCTGGCTATGTCCATCCTGACAGCTGGGCCTTCTCTAGCAAGGCAAGCTGCTGCCCGAGAAGAGCCTGCTGCTTTTCATATCCCCCATGCTCCCCAGAGCACTTAATAGAACAACTGCCCAGCACTGACTACATCCTTGACATTCTCTGGCCCAGGGAGAGAGACTGAAATGTGCCTCCAGCCAGCTGGAGGGGTTGATCACATCTTTGGAGAGTGGACCAGCTCTGGGCACAGCAGCACTTATGAGTCCTGGCACAGGCTCTGGCCCAGAGAAGACCTCAGCAGATGGCACCAGTAGAGGACACTTCTCCACACTATTGGACAGTGACAGCCATCTATGGGAGGGGCTGTGGGTGGCCTGAGCACAGGCCGAGAGCTGAGAAGGCTCCCTTCCATTCATTGAGTTCATTGTGCCACACACTGTGGTAGCAGCTGAAGGTACAGTGGCTACCATGACAGATAAGATCCCTTTTCTCAGAAACTGAGAGTAGGGGAGAAAGACAGTAAGAAAACCGACCAGATCAGGCATTTCACACCAGGAGTAGAGGGGGATTTCCCAGGAAAGTAAAGGAGGGAAACAGAGTAGAAAGAACATGTTTTATGAAGACCTCAAGGTGGAAAGATCTTAAATTCAAGAAACCAAGAAGGCTGTGAGATGGAGCAAATAGGATGACAAAGAGGGTGATGTGTGCTGAAAGCTTGAGAAGGGATATGTAAGTTCTTGTAGGTATAGGGAGAGCTGACTCCAAGAGAAATGCAGGAATCCAGGAAGAATTTTAAGTGGCATGATCCAATTCTCATTTTAGAAATACTACCCTGGAGGAAGAAGAAGAGAATGAACAGCAAGAGGAACATTATCTTTCAATAAGCTATGTGTATTATTGGATGGAGATGTGTGTGTGTGTGTGTGTGTGTGTGTGTGTGTGTGTGTGTGTGTATCTATCTGTCTATATGTATGTGTATGTATATTTAAAATGTGTTGGCCACCAGTGTGCCGGGTACTGCTCTGAGAACTGTTCACAGAGACTCAAATTTAATCCTCAGAATCACATCAAGGTGGTGATCATTATAAGCTTTGTTTTACAGGTGACTAAATGTAAGCTCAAAGAGGTTAAGTACTTCACCCAGGGTCACACAGCTCTTAGATAGTAGAGCCAGGATGTGAGCCTCAGCTGCCTGACCCCTGAGCTGCCCCCACATCACTCCAGGACTCTAGTGGAAATTCTGGCCTGGAGCAGAGTCTCTGGGAAGGTGGCTTCCCTCCCTCTCCATTAACATCAGCTGGTTTGAGTTCTTTGTGGGGCATCAGTCAGCACCCCAAAGCTCCAAACAGGAATGGGGAACACCCATTCACAGAGATCTGTGTGGAGTTTCATGCAAGGCAGATGTGTCCTTGTGTGTTTGCACTGGGGCTGAAACAGAGCATTTAAATGCAGGCCAAATGCAAAGGGTGACCTGCCAGAAACACTCCGGCAGTTCTAAGGCTGGTGGGGCAAGAGGGCAGTCTCCTGAAAGGGTCCCTCTGGGAGCCTGGACTGTAGGCTACAGACAACTTTGGAGTTCAGAGTTTTCATGAAGGGCCTGCTACAAAGAGAGCTCTCCCCACCACTGCATCTGCATTTCTGATGTGAAAGCTTTGATTCTGAGTCTTCTGAGCTGTGCTGCCAGGTCGCCGGGGACATTCTGCACTGAAAGCAACTTGTGCTTGGCTCCATCATGCCAAACGCAGCTCTCCCTGAGGAGTTCAGGGGTTTTCATCACACAGATGACGTTTCCTGAGCATCTGCTGTTGCCAGGCAGAGTGCGAGAATGCTGTGGTGAGCCAAGCAGACATGATTCTGCCCACATTAATCACAGAATCACACGAAAGATGTCACCATGGGGGTCAAATGCTGTGATGAAAAGACAGCCAATGCTTTGGCTGTCTTATATAACTTTAGGCCAAAAGCACTTAATAGACATTTACAGAGATTCTACCCAACAACTACAGAATATACATTCTTTTCACCAGCACATGGAACATTCTGTAATATCACCAGCACATGGAACACCTGTAATATCATTGGTAGGTGTGGGAACTGATATTGAAAAACTAATGCTGGAGCTGAGATCCATGCATCTGTAGGAGTTAACCTGGCAAGGAGGGAGGAGAGACACTAGTGTGTACAAACACCTGCCCCCCACCAGAGGGGATGGGGCATTTTAGGAAGGTTAAGGCCAGTGGAGTTGGAACCAGAGGTCAAGGGAAAGTCTGATAAAAGATGAACCAAAGACAGGAGGCAGGGCTCTAACAGTTAATTTCCTGTCTCAACTGGGTAGGCTGTGGTGCTCGGTTGTTTGGTCACATACTTGGTCTAGATGTTGCTGTGAAGGTATTTTGTAAATGCAATTAATATCTACAGTCAGTTGACTTTTTAAACAATATATTTAGGAGGTACAAGTACAGGTTTCTTACATGCATATATTGTGTTGTGGTAAAGTCTGGGCTTTTAGTGTACCCATCACCCAAATACTGAACATTGTGCCCAATAGGTAGTTTTTCAGCCCTCAGCACCCTCCTACCTTTTGTAGTCTCCAGTGTCCATTATTCTACTCGGTATGTCCATGTGTACCCATTGTCATGCTCCCACTCATAAGCAAGAACATATAGTATTTGACTTTCTGTTTCTGAGTCATTTCACTGAGGATAATGGCCTCCAGTTCCATCCACATTGCTGCAAAAGACAGGATTTCATTCTTATTTATGGCTGAGTAGTATTCAATGTATATAGATATTCCACATTTTCTTTTTTTTTTTTAATTTTTTTTTATTTTAAGTTCCAGGATAGATGTGTGAATGTACAGGTTTGTTATGTAGGTATACATGTGCCATGGTGGTTTGCTGCACCTATCAACCCATCATCTAGGTTTTAAGCCCTAGATGCATTAGGTATTTGTCCTAATGCTCTCCCTTCCCTTGCATCCCAACCCTTGACAGGCCATGGTGTGTGTTGTTCCCCTCCTTGTGTCCATGAATATACACCACATTTTCTTTATCCAATCCTCTGTTGATGGACATTGAGGTTGATTCCGTATCTTTGCTATCGTGAATAGTGCTGTGATAGACATACAAGTGCAGGTGTCTTTTGGATGTAATTATTTATTTCTCTTTGGGTGTTTACCCAGTAGTGGTGTTGCTGGATCAAATGGTAGTTCTATTTTTAGTTCTTTGAGAAATCACCATACTGTTTTCCGTAAAGGTTGTACCAATTTACATTCCCACCAGTAGCATATGAGCATTCCTTTTTCTCCACATTCTCACCAAAAATCTGTTGTTTTTAGACTTTTTAATAATGGTCATTCTGCTGATATGATATGGTATCTCACTGTGGTTCTGATTGGCATTTTTCTGATGATTAGTGATGGTGAGCATTTTTCATATGTTTGACCAATTGTATGTCTGTTTTTGAGAAATGTTTATTCATATCCTTTGCCCGCTTTTTAATGGTTTTTTTTTTCTTGTCAAGTTCCTTATAGTTTCTGGATATCAAACCTTTGTTTAGGCATAGTTTAAAAGTATTTTTCCCATCCTGCAGGTTGTCTGTTTACTGTTGTTTCTTTTGCTGTGCAGAAGCTTTTTAGTTTAAGTCCCATTTTTATAATTTTGTTTTTACTACATTTGCTTTTGAGGACTTAGTCATAAATCCTTTGCCTAGGCCAATGTCCAAAAGAGTTTTTCCTAGGTTTTCTTCTAGGATTTTTATATTTGCATGTTTTACATTTGGGCCTTTAATTCATTGTGAGTTAATTTTTGTATATGGTGAAAAGTATGAGTCCAGTTTCATTCTTCATCATATGGCTATCCAATTTTCCCAGCACCATTTATTGAATAGGGTGTCATTTCCCCAGTGTATATTTTTGGCTTTGGTGAAGATCAGTTAGTTGTAGGAATGTGGCTTTATTTTTGGGTTCTCTGTTCTGTACCATTGATTTATGTGTCTATTTTTATACCAGTACTGTGCTGTTTTGGTTACTATGGCCTTGTAATATAATTTGAAGTCAGGTAATATGATGCCTCCAGCTTTGTTCTTTTTGCTCAGGATTGCTGTGGCTATTTGGGCTCTTTGAATTATGAATATGAATTTTAGGATTTTTTTTCTAATTCTGTGAAAAATGTACCAAATGACATTGGTCATTTGGTAGGGATTGCAATGAATCTGTAGATTGCTTTGGGCAGTATGGTCATTTTAACAACGTTAGTTCTTCAAATCCATGAGCATGGGATGTTTTTCCATTTGTTTGTGTTGTCTACAATTTCTTCCATCAGTGTTTTGTAGTTCTCCTGATAGACATCTTTCACCTCCTTGGTGAAATATATTCCTAGGGTTTTGTTTTTGTTTTTGTTTTTGTCCTTGTCTTAGCTATTGTAAGTGGGATTGCCTTCTTGATTTGGTCCTTGACTAGATAGTTATTGGTGTTTAGGAATGCTACTAATTTCTAAACATTAATTTTGTAGCCTGAAACTTTACTGAATTCATTTATTAAGTCTAACAGTTTTTTGGTCAAGTATTTAGTGTTTATTTTCTAGATATAAGATCATATCATCAGCAGAAATATTTGACTTCCTCTTTTCCAATTTGGATGCCTTTTGTTTCTCTTTGCTGATTGCTCTGGTGAGGACTTCCAATACTACACTGAATAAGAGTGGTCAAAGTGGGTATTCTTGTCTTGTTCCAATTCTTAGAGGGAATCCTTTCAACTTTTCTCCATTAAGGATGATGTTGGCTGTGGGTTTGTTGTATATAGCCTTTATTATTTGAGGTATGTTCCTTGTATGCCTAGTTTGCTAAATTTTATCATGAAGGGATGCTGAATTTTCTCAAATGCTTTTTCTGCATCTGTTAAGATGATCATATGGTTTTTGTCCTTATTTCTGTTTATGTGATGCACATTTATTGATTTGCGTATATTGAAGCATCCTTTCATTCCTGGAATAAATCACAACCTGATCATGGTCTATTATCTTTTTGATGTGCTCTTGGATTCAATTTGCTAGTATTTTTTTTGAGAATTTTTATGTCTATTGTCCATTCAGGATGTTAGCCTGTAGTTTTCTTTTTTCATTGTGTCCTTGTCTGGTTTTAGTATTAGGGTGATACTGACCTCATAGAATGAGTAAGGGAGAATTACTTCCTTCTCAGTTTTTTAAAATAGTTTCAGGAGGATTAATACTAGTTTTTTGTGTGCTTGTTAGAATTCAGCTATGAATTCATCTTTGGATTTATGGTCCTGGGCTTTTTGGTGGCAGTTTAGGGGGGGATATTTTGTATTACTGATTCAGTCTCTCTACTTATTAGGGGTCTACTGTTCAGAAGTTCTACTTATTCCTGGTTCAATTTCAGGAGGTTGCATGCTTCCGGGAATTTATCCATTTGCTCTAGATTTTCTAGTTTGTGATTGTATAGTTGTTCATAATAGTCTGATGATCTTTTGTATTTCTGAAATATCATTTGTAATGTCTCCTTTTTCAGTTCTGATTGTATTTATTTGGATCTTCCCTCTTCTTTTCTTGGTTAGTTTAGCTAGTGATTTATCAATTTTGTTTATCTTTTTGAAGAACCAACTTTTTCTTTTGTTAATCTTCTGTATTATCCTTTTGGTCCCCATTTCATTTAGTTCTGCTCTGATTTTTGTTATTTCTTTTCTGTTTTGTTGTTCATACTAGAATCCTTAGTCTCAGCATGATCTTTGTTATTTCTCTTCTTCTGCTAACTTTGGGGTTGTTTTGTTCTTCTTTTTCTAGTTTCTTGGGGTATGATGTTAGGTTGTTAATTTGTGATCTTTCTACCTTTGTGAGGTAGGTATTCAATGCTATTAACTTCCCTCTTAGCACTGCTTTTGCTGTATCCCATAGGTTTGGGTATGTTGTTTTTTCATTTTCATTCATTTGGATTTTTTTTTAATTTTAATTTTAATTTCTTTGTTGACCCAGTGGTTGTTCAAGAGCACGCTGTTTAATTTCCATGTATTTGGATAGTTTCAAAAGTTTGTCTTGGTATTGATTTCTAGCCTTAAATTACCGTGATCTGAGAAAATACTTGATATAATTTCAGGTTTTTTAATGTGTTAAGACTTGTTTTGTGGGCTAACTTGTGGTCTATCTTGGAGAATGTTCCATGTGCTGGTGAAAACAATGTATATTCTGTCATTGTTGGGTAGAATTTCTGTAAATGTCTATTAAGTCCATTTGGCCTAAAGTCCAATTTAAGTCCAGTGTTTCTTTGTTAATTTTCTGTCTCAATGATCTGTCTAGTGCTGTCAGTAGGGTGTTACCAAGACCCTACTATTATTGTATTGTCGTCTGTTTCTTTCATTAGGTCCAGTATTATTTGTTTGTGTTATTTGAGTTCTCCAATGTTGGTTGTGTATGTATTTAGGATTATTACATCCTCTTGCTGAATTGTTCCCTTTGTCATTATCTAGTGACCTTTTTTGTCTTTTTTTTTTACTGTTTTATGTGATATGTCTTTTTTATCTGATATAAGTGTAGCTACTCCTGCTCACTTTTGGTTTCTGTTTGTATGGAATATCTTTTTCAACCCCTTTACTTTCAGTCTATTTGCGTCTTTATGGGAAGGATAAGTTTCTTGTAGGCAGGATATAGTTGGATCATGTTTCTTTATCCATTCTGACAATCTGTATCTTTAAGATGGAGCATTTAATCCATTTATATTCAGGGTTAGTATTGATATGTGAGGCTTTGTTCCTGTCATATTGTTGATTGTTTTCAAGTTGTTTTATAAATTCCTTGTTTCTTTCTTTTTCTGTCTTTGTGGTTTGGTGAAATTCTGTGGTGTTGCCATTTGATTCCTTTCTCTTCTTCCTTTGTATAATTGTTTTATATGAACTGTGAGTTTTATATTTTCATGATTTTTTGTGATAGTGAATATCGACCTTTCATTTTCACATTTAAGACCTCATTGAACATTTCCTATAGGGTTGCTCTAGTGGTGGCAAATTCCCTTAGTATTTGCTTGTCAGGGAAGGACTTTATCCTTAATTTATAAAATTTATTTTGGCAGAATACAAAATTCTGGGCTGACAGTTTTTTTTTTTCTTTCAGCACTTTGAAAATGCCATCACATTTCTCTTCTAACCTGTAAGGTTTCTGTGAAAAGTCTTCTGTTAGTCTGAGGGGTTTCCTTTGTATATGACTCCATGCTTTTCTCTTGCTAATTTTAAAATCCTTTATTTCACTTTTATATTAAACATTCTGAATATAATATGCTATAGAGATATCCTTTTTGCAATGTATTTGCCTGAAGATTTCTGGGCCTCCTGTAAATGGATGTCTAACTCTCTTGACAGACTTGGGAAATTTTCATCAATTACTTTCTCAAATATGTTTTCTAAACTTTTTGATCTCTTTTCCCCCTTGGTAATATCAACAATTCATAAGTTTGGTCACTTTATGTACTCTCACATATCTCAAAGCCTTTGTTCATTCTTTTTATTCTTTTTTCCTTATTTTTGTCTGACTGGATTATTTTAAAAGACCTGTCTTCAAGTTCTGAGATTCTTTCTTCTGCTTGTTCTAGTCTATTATTGAAATTTTCTAATGTATTTTGTATTTCCTTCAATTAATTTTTTAGTTTCAGAATTTCTCAGTTGGCTTTTTTTTTTGTTTCTTTGGTTTTTTTTTGAGACAGAGTCTAACTCTGTCACTCAAGCTGAAGTGCAGTGGTGTGATCACAGCTCACTGCAGCCTTGACCTTCCAGGCTCATGCAATCCTCCCACCTCTGCCTCCCTAGTAGCTGGGACCACAGGCACATGCTACCTTCCCCAGCTGACTTTTTATTTTTTGTAAATACAGGGTCTCACTATGTTGCGCAGGCTGGTCTCAAATTCCTGGGCTCAAGCAGTCCTCCCACTGGCCTCCCAGACTGCTAGAATTACAGGCCTGAGCCACTGCACCTGGGCTTTGGCTTTTTTATTTTTTTTAAGATGTCTGTGTCCTTGGAAATTTCTTATTTATAGCCTACATTGATTTTTTAATTTATTTGTGTTGGTTTTCAGATTTCTCTTGCATCTCATTGAGCTTCTTTAAGAATAACATTTTCAATTCTTTACCTGGCATTTCAAGGAATTCTTTTTGATTGGGATCTGTTGCTGGACAATTGTGGTCCTTTGGTAGCATCATATTTCCCTGCTGTTTCATGTTTCCTGTGTCATTACTTGGATTTCTGAACATCTGGTGTAGCAGTCACTTGTTCTAATTGTTTGAAATTGCTTTTGTAGGGGAGAATTTTCTCTGAGGATATATATATATATATATATATATGTTGTTGATTAAGATACTTTGGGTTTGATTTTGAGTGCCTGTGGTAGTGTGATCTTTGTATGAATTCCTCGGCAGGGCATAGGATCAGTGGTCTCTATAATCACATCCTCAGTGACTTAGGGTACCATTATTAGTTGAGGTGGTGGTGAAGTTTAGCTGGAGATTTACATGCAAACTGAGCCAGTCTTTGGGCCCCAGTACTGGCAGCATAGAATGAGCAGCATAGAAGGTGGGAAGCCACTGTCAATCTCAGGTCATACCCCTTCCTAGCAACTCCCTCGGATCTCCCTGGAGAAGAGATCCTCCCTGGACCAGCGCTTCTCTGCCTGTCCTGCTCATTCCTCCAGCTCCTGCCTCCAAGCTCCCCATAGCCACACTGTCCACAGAACACTTCCTGCAGGTGTGTGAATTATGGCCCAACAGTTTGTCCTCCCCTTCTTCAGCCTGCACAGAGCAGAGCCTCCCTGCCCAAAGGAATAAGCTGGATACATACCCCCTCCCAGTGTCTGCTCCTTCCCACCACCGGCTGAGCCCCTGCCCCTGTTTGGGGAGTAGGGCAAGCATTCACTCAGAATGCAAATACCCCACAGCCTTTCATGCAGGGAGGGCAGAGGGTGAGTACAGATGAGAGGCCTGAGGAAGCTCTGCAACACCAGCCTCTGCCCTTGTCTGCAGTCATGGCCTCTCATTGTGCTTTGAATAAAATAATCTCCAAGGCCTCAGCGTGATCTACCCTGTCTCCCACTGTCCTCTCCAGGCCCATGAGACTTCAGCCCCTCAGCCTGCCTTCTCTGCCTTGGAACTCAAGCTCTGGACTGTCCACAGGCTGCATTCTTGCCAGACTCTTCCACCTCCCCTGCTCTTTCCAAGTCTTCACCCTTTTCACCTACCAATCCTCATCTGAAAATATGTCCTCCTCAGCTGTGCATCTTCCTTTTTTTTCTTTTTCTTTTTTTTTGAGACGGAGTCTCACTGTGTTGCCCAGGCTAGAGTGCAGTGGCACCATCTCAGCTCACTGCAACCTTGGCCTTCTGGGTTCAAATGATTCTCCTGCCTCAGCCTCCCTAGTAGCTGGGACTACAGGCATGCACCACCACACCTAGTTAATTTTTGTATTTTTAGTAGAGACAGGGATTTGCCATGTTGGCCAGGCTGCTCTCAAACTCCTGGCCTCAAGTGATCCACTTGCCTCAGCCTTCCAAAGTGCTGGGATTACAAGAGTGAGCCACCGTGCCCAGCCAGCATATTTCTTTTTTTTTTTTTTTTTGAGACACAGTCTTGCTTTGTCGCCCAGGCTGGAGTGTAGTAGTGCAATCTTGGCTCACTGCAACCTCTGCCTCCTGGGTTTAAGCGAGTCTCCTGCCTCAGCCGCCTGAGTAGCTGGGATTACAGGCATGTGCCTCCACATCCAGCTGTATTTTTTGTATTTTTGTTTTTATTTTTGTTTTGTTTTGTTTTGTTTGTATTTTTAGGAGGGGGGTTTCACCATGTTGGCCAGGCTGGTCTCAAACTCCTGACCTCAAATGATCCACATGCCTCGGCTTCCCAAAGTATTGGGATTACAGGCATGAGCCACCACACCTGGCTCTTCAACTGCATCTTTCTGCAGTAAGCCCCTTGGTGTTTCCTTGCTCCTTCCCAAGAAAGCACAGATTGCAATTCATAATTTATATTTCTTTATACATCTGCCTGCTTGCTCTCCTGTATGCACTGTCTCTCTCCCTGCCTCCCTCCCTCCCCTCCCTCCCTCCCTCCCTGCCTCCCTCTCCCTCCCTGCCTCCCTCTCCCTCCCTCCCTTCCTCCCTCCCTCTCCCTCCCTCCCTCTCCCTCCCTCCCTGCCTCCCTCTTCCTCCCTGCCTCCCTCTGCCTCCCTGCCTCCCTCTGCCTCCCTGCCTCCCTCTCCCTCCCTGCCTCCCTCTCCCTCCCTGCCTCCCTCTCCACCTATATTTGATTTTTAATTGCCTGAAAGCAGGAATTATGGCTCTTATTCACCAGTATATACGATACTTGGTACATCATAATCGTTCAATAAATACTTGGGCTTGAATGAATGCATGCATGAATGAATGCATTTCTCTTGGCTTTTCTGTCTGAGGGCACAATCTAAGCATGTGCATGACTGAATTTTAGGCTCCCTGAGACAGAAATGGAATCTGGTTCATCTTTGTATTTCTCCCAGGATCTAGCATAGCTCTTGGCCCATAATGTGTACACAATCGAGGATCAAAGCAAAAGGACATCAGTCCAATATGCCATGGCCACCTAAGACCTTATTAGGTCCAGTCCAGCACCCTGTGCCATGAGAGTCCCCAGGGGCCAGCCATAGGAGGAAAGTTACTTGGTCTTAATTAAACAATTAAAGATAATGCACGTTCCAATGTGGCCTTAAAGCTAAGGCTGGTTCAGTCATTGACACCTTGACCCATATTCTGTTTTAACCCATTTCTATCCCATTTAGTCATTTTGTGGTAGGTCTACTGGACACCAGGTAGTGTGCTAGCACCTTATTACTCAAAATGTGGTCTGCAGACCAGCAGTCACCACCATCACCCAGGAGCTCATTAGAAATGCAGATTCTCCAACCTTACCCCAGACCTAGGGTCAGAATCTGTGGTCTAGCAAAATCCAGGTGATTTGCATGTATGTTGAAGTTTGAGAAGCACCAGGCTAGCAAGAGATAGACCTAGGTCTAGCCTCATGGAGCTTAAGGCAGACACTTGACAAATGGACAGCAGTGGCTATGTGTTGACTCTTATAGGAGAGGATGCTATGGGAGCTTTAGATCACCAAGGAGATCAAAGCAGTTCTTGTAAGCCATCTTAAATGTTCTTCAGCTTTGTCCTGAGAGCAACAGAAAGCCTGGAGAAAGGGGTTTACAGCAAGGGTGGCATGTCCCCACTTGAGGATAGCATTAACTTTTATTTATAGGTAGGAATAACCTTTGTAATTCATGATTACATAATTACAATGAGACGTTCTTATCTTAAGCCACACTTGAGTCTCTAAGGAGGCGGCCTCATCCTAGGTGAGCAGGTCAGTGTAGGATGCTGAAGTCCAGGCAGATCTTAGCTCAGCCTTTGCATGTCCAGAAGGAGTCCCCATCTGTTGGGTGCAACCTCACTCTGAACCCCTGTCCCCTCCTGCCATGTAGTCCTTCTGCTGGGAACTGTAGTACAGTGCTCCAACAACAGAGATAGCCCCCCATTTCCTCAGTTTCCAAATGTACATCAGAGATAGTCAACATTGAATTAGGGTTCTTAATCATGCCTGGCTCAGTTCTCCCAACAGCTTCCGGAAGCTAAGTGTGGAATTGTGGTAAGACTACAGTCAGAGCTGGGTTCAAGTCCTAGCTCAACCACTTGCTTGCTGCATGACCTTGGGCAAGTGTTTTAACATCTCTGAACTTTTCTTCAACTGTGACTTCCTGCTACATAAGGATATTTTGAGGGCTGAGTATAAAATGAGTGCTTTATTTATTAAACAAATATTTATTGAATACCTACTATGTATCAGCTCTGTAAACAGCCACGGGGGGATCCAACGGTGGGCAATTTTAGACAAGAATCCTGCCAACATGAAATGTATAAGTCCAGTGGAGAAAAAAATGTCATTCATTGGATAATCAAATAAATATTAAATGACAAATATAGTAATGCTTTGAAGTTGGGGAGGGAGGCTCTAAGAGTAAAAGAGGGACCTAATCCAGCCTGGAAAGTCAGGGAGGCTTCTCTGAAAAGGTGAGAATTTGTACAGTGTCTCTTTCTCAGGTGTTGTCTCTCCACACCTCTTTCAGGTACCTGGAAGGAAACCACCTAACAGCCGTGCCCAGAGAGCTGTCCGCCCTCCGACACCTGACGCTTATGTAAGGAGCCCAGTATTGGGTGGGATGTTTATTTTTCCCTGCTGGGGTCGCTCAGGAAACTGAAGTGGATGGTAAGAGAGAACAGAGCTGCAGGCTGATGCAAGTGGTAATTGAAAGATGCCTGTCTGCTTAGGACCAGAAGCCAGTCTGCAAAGGGAAAGTGGGAGATCTTGCAGAATGAAAGAGCATTACCCTTGGGAAAGTAGGAGACCTTCTCTGAAAAGCTGAAAGAACACCATCTCTCTGTGGGATGGATTCCTATAAACTCCTGAAACCAGCCTCTAGATAAGGATTTCTCAACTTCGGAACTATGGACATTGGGGTTAATTATTCGTTGTTGGGAGGCTGTCATAGACATTATAGGATGTTTAACAACATCTGTGGCCTCTACCCACTAGATGCCAGTAATACTTACCCCAGTATTGACAACCAGAAATGTCTTCAGACCTTGCCAAATGTCACTGAGGGAGCACAAGTGCCCCCAGTTAAGAATCACTGCTCTAAAGCAATGGTCCTCACCATCAGCTGATTAGAGGAATCACCTGAGCAGATTTTTTTCAAGCTACTGATGCTCAAGCCCATGCTAGACCAATTAAATCAGAATACCTGGGCATGGAACTCAGGCATCAGAGGATTTAAAAGCTCCCCAGGTGATTCTAATGTGCAGCTAACATTGCCACAGCTCTGGATGTTTATCCCCGCAGGGAAGCTCGAGGTTGCAGCTGGCAGAGGACTGCACCCCCACCAACCTCAGTCCTCCTAAGACAGAACCTGATAAGACGGAGTAAATGAATGCCAGAAAAGAAGGGGGATAGAGGAACAGTGAAAAGAATTAATCAGGGGAAAAAAGTACTAAAACAAGGAGAGATTGTTATTATATGTATCATATTTTGTTGGTACAGTGAAATGGATGAATAGTCATGTAACTGAATGATTGACTAGCTGCATAAGTGAATAGATGGATAAATGAATGACAGTTGCTTGAATGATTGAATAAGTGTTTGAATTGAAAATGACCATTTGGATGAATGAGTGGGTGGATGAGTGAGTAGATAAGTGGGTGGATGGATGGTGGGAGGGAGGAAGGGAGGGTGGGATGGATGGATGGGCAGGCAGGCAGGTGACTGCCTGGGATAAATATGATAAATATGTGAGGGGTAGATGGGTAAGTGGGTGGGTGGGTAGATGTATGGATGGACGGATGGATGGGAAAGCGGATGGGTGAGCAGGAGAGTAGATAAACAGGCCAGCAGCGGGATGGATAGATGAGTGAGTGAATTAATGAATAGGTGGGTGGATGGGTGGATGGGTAGATGAGTGGGTGGATGGCAGGTATGTGTGATACTTGGGAATGGCCTCCTACAGATGCAACTAAGACAAAAGCATGACCCCTCTGTTTTACTTTTCCTAGTGACCTGAGCAACAACAGCATCAGCATGCTGACCAATTACACCTTCAGTAACATGTCTCACCTCTCCACTCTGTGAGTACACTGAGATGCTGTGTTTACCATGCCCTTGGGCCTAGCAGTAGATGGTTACTCTTTCCCTCCCTCCCAGCAGGACTAGTTTCTCTGCCCTAATGACCCTCAGGCCTATGGCTGCCCTAGCATAAGATACACCTTAATCATCAGAAGGAAGATAAAGTAGGAAGCCCTCCACTGTCCAGGCAGTTAGAGAGGAACTAGAACCTCGTCGCTTCTGAAGAAGGCTGTCTTAGGAATACCTTTTGTGGTTTGTGAATTTTCTTTCCCGGAAATGGTTTTCCTACACAATTATATTTTGCTCACACCCATTTATTTCCCATTAGCTTTACACATTGTGAGTACTCATCATTGGACAGGAGAGAGAGGTGACGAACAAGCTGGTTAGAAAGCCAGCCTGCCACAGAACTTGAGTAAACTGAGGAAATAAAGCCAGTGCGCTTCCTGGATTGGTGAAGAGGTTTCTTGTCCCTTTAGGGGATGTTCTGTCAATATATCAACATTGAAAAGATAAACCATTTGCTTTGTTTCACAACGTGAACAGTGCACCTATGCATGGTAGAGAATAGAAAGACACAACAGGGCACATGCCTCCTTTTCCACAGGATCCTGAGCTACAACCGGCTGAGGTGCATCCCCGTCCACGCCTTCAACGGGCTGCGGTCCCTGCGAGTGCTGTGAGTACCCCAATGTGCTGATTTTGACTTACACATTGCTGAGTGACAGCAGGAAGCAGACTAAGCACTCCCCTTCCCCACTCTCTGCCCAAAGCCCACTCCACCCCCAAACACACCTTCCTACCCAGCACCCTTATTTGCTCAGTGGAGTAGAGAGAGCTACCTTTGAGAGTCTGCCATTCCCAGGGTCCAGCGCACTACCACTGTGGAACCTTGAGCAAATCACTGAGCCCCTTCAACTTTCTGCTTCTTTATGTGTAAAATGGGATCAATAGCACCTCCTTTGTGAGGATTAGGATATGCAATTGTATTCTACCCTCTAGTATTGAGCATAGTGTGTGGTCATAGCCACGTTTCGATGATCATTCTGTTGACAGTTGTTTCCTCAGAGGGGCAATGCAGCATGGTGAACCTCTGCATGGAAACAGCTCCTACCCCAGAGATCACAAGCTGGAAACCCAGGGCCCCCGTCCAGCTCACAGACAGCTATTAGTTAGCAATTGTGGGGTTGGCTCATAGAGTGTCTTTTTAAGAACACAAAGCTTAATAAGCTGTCAACATTTAAATATCAGATTTCTTCCACAAATCCCACTCTCTATATTCTTTTGGAAAATTGAGAGACCTGGCCGTACCAGGGCCCTACCCCTGCATTCCTGCATGGCTGAGCAGCCCTGCCCCTTTAAACAGAGTTGTGCAGGCTGCAGCCTCCACAGCCGGCCCACTCTCCTCGCCTGCCTGGCCCTGTCCTACACATGGGTAGCTGAGTGTCTTCTCATCCATAAAATCAGATAATTATGGTAATTGCCTCACAGGGTCTTATGAGGATTAAATGAGATACTGTATATGAAGTACTTAGTGCAGCTCTGGCACTGTAAATGCTTAACAAATATTCACTTGTTATTATTCTTATATCACAGCTTGCTAGGGCAGGAAGGCACCCCACCACCACCCCCAATCCTGGGCCTGATTAACACCTGATTTTTGTGCCTTCCCATCTTGCTTCTATTTTATTAGCACATTCCTTTGAATTCCTTTGGTCCTTTGAATATCACCCTTGAATGCTATTCATGAAAACAGAGATGCCAGATACTCCGCCCCCAAACCTATCAACTTCCTGACTTTCTAGATCATTATTACTATAATAGTGATCAACATATTTTATGGGACAGTTTTCTTCGTCTAACCTTTTGCAACACTGCTGTGAGACCAAGACAGTTCTGCCCATTTTAAACATGGAGAAACTGAGGCCCAGACTGGTGAAGTAACTGGCCAAGGTCTAGCAGTCAGTAGGTTGCAGAATCCAGCCTCCTGGGACCCGGGAGCCATTCCAGGGCCGAGTAGCAATCCACAAACAGCACCCAACAAGCTAGTCCATTTCAGAGCCTCCAGGCTGATGTGATTTATTGAGGCCCACAAAACACCGGTGTCAGTGACAACTCCCGCCACATGTCATCTGCGCTGTTATTAAAAATCAATTCTCTGGGGGCAAAGAAGTGCCCGCGCTGACAGTGTGCAATCTGTTATTGTCACTTATTTATTATCCACCTTCTCTGGGGAGTTTGAGAATGGATACATCAGCACAACCATTTCCCTGTTTCCAGTTGAACACAGCAGGAGATGGGCTCGTATCACTGGCCAGGGCTGAAGCCGGACCTGCTCCCCCTTCCTTCTCCTACCATTCCCCCTCAATCCCAACCTATTGTCTTCCATCCCAGTCTAATAGTTCCGTGTGTGGGTTCACTGCCAGGAGGTGGGACCTGCCAATTTTAAGGAATCTGCATGCATCTGTTCATAATTAGAGTAGTGATGTTTGGGGCAACTCAATATGTAAGAGGGAGAGAAAATGTTTGCCCGTCCATCTGTCTGTCTTTTGGGGTGGTGGGGGTGATGGGGTGAACACCACCAGCCTGACCAGGGTTTTCTCTTTCCTCAGCATCATTTGTCCCAGTCTGGCACTACTACTGCCATGAGTTCATCAGCGGTACACGTAACCATACAACACGCTAGCACTTGCTTCTTGAAATACGAATTAGTAGGCTTGCCCCAGCATGGTGGCTCACACCTGTAATCCCAGCACTTTGGGAGGCCGAGGTGGGAGGATTGCTTGAGCCCAGGACTTCAAGACTAGCCTGGGCAACATAGTGAAACCCTGTCTCTACCAAAAAATTCAAAAAATTAGCCAGGCATGGTAACATGCGCCTGTAGTCCCAGCTACTTGGGAGGCGGAGGTGGGAGGATCATTGGAGCCTGGGAGGCAGAGGTTGCAGTGAGCTGAGAGCACGCCATTGCATTCCAGCCTGGGCAATAGAGCCAGACCCTGTCTCAAAAGAAAAAAAAAAGAGAATTAATAGGCTTTTAGCATCATCATTTTAGAATCATGAGATCTTGTGCATAAAAAGGGATCTTAGAGCACCTCAGTCCAACCATCTACCTCAGTGGGGAGCAACCATTTTCTGCCTAAGGGCCAATTCAGGAAAAGTAAAAATGTCCTTTCTCCCACTAATTACACACCTAGGAATTTAGGTTAAAGAATCATCCAAAATGAGGGAAGATTCTGTGCATTAAAATCTTTGTTGTACTGTTATTTTTAACCTAAATTTTAAGTATTACCTACAAGGGCCACAGTGGGGAAATGTTTAAGGAAACCATGAGGCAACCAGTCAATGAAGTACAATTATTAAAAGAGGCAAAGATGAAAACTAGATAGCAATGTGGGAAAGTGCTTATCACATAGCGTTACATGGAGAAATAAACCTAACTTGTATATATGTTACAATTATAACTTGTAAACATTTATACCTATGAAGAAAGACTGTAAGAGAGCAAATGAAAAAAATTGTGATAGTTAGTGTTTATATAAAGTCATTTCTATAACAAATGAAGGCAAAGTTGAAGATGAATGAAGACCGGGCATGGTGGCTCACGCCTGTAATCCCAGCACTTCGGGAGGCCAAGACGGGTGGATCACCTGAAGTCAGGAGTTCAAGACCAGCCTGACCAATATGGTGAAACCCTGTCTCTACTAAAAATACAAAAATTAGCCGGGCATAGTGATGTGTGCCTGTAGTCCCAGCTACTCAGGAGGCTGAGGTGGGAGGATCAATTGAGGCAGGCAAGTGGAGGCTGCAGTAAGCAGTGATTGAGCCACTGCACTCCAGCCTGGGTAACACAGAGCAAGACCTTGTTTCAAAAGAAATAATAAATCAATAAAGATGAATGAAGATGGTAACATATTTACAACTGAGGGAGTTGGAAGAAAGATTGGCTTTTTAAAATCAGGAATTACATTATCTGCAACTGCATTTGAACATTTGTATATTCTTTCCTCATTTCTGAGGGGTTTCATTCTTTTAATTAAACTTTCAGAAATGACCAGAGACCCAGAGATGTTGGGTGTTTGCGGCAGCAAGAAGAATGAGCATCAAGGTTTAGTTTGGGCGTAGACAAAGGCCAAAAAGTGATCTGGAAAGCAGGAAGAGAAAACTGACATTTAAGAGAGAGAGAGAAAGAGAGAGAGAGAGAGAATGTGTGTGTGTGTGTGTGTGTGTGTGTGTGTGTGTGTGTGTGTGTGTGTGTGTATGGGTGGATATGAATACATTTCAGGAGAGCACAACAGGAGGGTGGTCTTTTAGCCCTGAGTACAAAACATTGTGTGGAAAATGCTTTTTCTACTTGGCTCCGAATCTGAAAATAGCGAAAAGAGAACATTCTTGTGGACATCTTCATCCATCTTAGGGGATCCATGCATTCCCTGATCTTTGCTCCACACCAAGTCACATGCCTTGTATGCGTGTGGTCCCAACTGTCTTGCCCCAGTCGCAGGAGGGCCACCTGGAATCAGTTAGCTCTGGGCAGGCAATTTCAGTGTGTGCTCACGAAGGAGCCAGTGGGATTATCATTCACCATCCTCAGTATCTTTAGCTCCTAGTCCCCGAAGTAAGAATTGTGCTGTTTATACCCACGGGGCTGTTCATCACTGCTCTACCAATTGCCTGAGTTCTCCTTAAAACATCCCTGTAAGGGAGCCCTTTGCTTGATTACCTTCTGAGACAAAGAGATCACTCCCTTACCAGGCAACTCTATTCCACTTTTGACCAGCTATTAGAGCATCAGAAAATTCTTCTGCTGAGCCAGAAGGTGACTCACTGTGACCTCCCAACCATGGTCCAGGGTTGGCACTTTGACATCTGTAAAATAAAAATAAGTAAACAAAAGTTTAATTGCAGAATTTAGGATTGAAGAGTGAATATTGAAAATTTTTCTGTCCAAACGTTTCATTTATAAGAAGAAAAGACAGGCCGGGTACGGTGGTTCATGCCTGTAATCCCAGCACTTTGGGAGGCCGAGGCGGGTGGATCATGAGGTCAGGAGATCGAGACCATCCTGGCTAATATGGTGAAACCTCGTCTCCACTAAAACTACAAAAAATTAGCCGGACGTAGTGGCGGGTGCCTGTAGTCCCAGCTACTTGGGAGGCTGAGGCAGCAGAATGGCATGAACCTGGGAGGCGGAACTTGCAGTGAGCAGAGATCACGCCACTGCACTCCAGCCTTGGCCACAGAGCGAGATTCGGTCTCAAAAAAAAAAAGAAAAGACAGATTCAGAGAGGTTTAGTGACTTGTTCAAGATCATTGTCTTATTCATCCTTTCCTGAATACCTGCTACCGGTTAGTTGCTGTGCTTAACTCTGGAGGGGGAAAGAAAGCAAACAGTGAATGAGACACAATTGTTGCCCTCAGGGAGCTCTTGGTCTAGAAGGGGAAATAAGTAAATAAGCAACTACAACACAAGGCGATACCTGAAAGAAGAGCCATGGGGATACAAGTGAGAGGCACCTAACCCAGTCTTAGCCACCCAAAAGGCTTTCTGAAAGGAAGGTTAATAATCAGCACTGACATTCATCAAACCGTGACTATGTGCTGCACAAAGGGCTAAGTGCTTTAGTTATGTTATCTTAGTCACCCTCTGCCTTGTGAAGGATATACCGCTGTTATCCCCATTTCACAGATCAGTAAATAGAGGTTGAATGAGATTAAGTAACTTGCCCAAAGTGATGCAATCAGTAGGTAGTAAAGTTGGAATTTAAACCCAAGACTATTTGTTTTCAGAATCACTCCTCTTAACTTGTGCTTCCAGGACTGAGACTGAGAAACCAGAGGGGGTTACCTAAGTAGGGATGGGAGTGAAGAACATTCTAGGCCGGGAGAATATAAATGCCCTGGACAGAGGCCCTGAAGTCAGGAAAGGCATATGCACTGGGGGAATCACAAGAAGCTACAGGTGTGGCTGCAATGTGGCTTCTGGGGGCAGGAGTGGGAAGAGATGCTGCTGAGTAGCCCCAAGGCACAGGCAGAACCAAGGCTGGGACTCACCTCTGGGCTCCTAGCCCAGTGCTCTTTCTACCACATTCTACCTGCTTCCCCATCGCAGGCTAGCATCTGTTTTTATCTGCACCCATTTCAGACTGGAGGGAGCTGGCCTATGTAAAAATGAGGCATTTTCTTCCTCACCCAGAGAGGCCTCTGATGGGAATTGAGGAGTGGGATGAAATGGAAGATGCAGAGAGAAAGGGGACAGGCGCTGACCGCTCTGCCAAGATGCAATGTCTCCTCTGCAGTCCTGGAATCAGGTCACAGGACTCACCACGGCCTTTGAGACATACAAGCTGCACACTTTCAGGCTTCTACCCTATGTGGGTAACTCCCAGAGGACTGGCCCCAAAATCCACTCAAAAACATAGAGGAGGAGTCATGACAGTGATAACAATCATCATAGCTAATGTGACTGAGTGCTTCTGAACCACTGGCATCTGGTCTTTTAATGCTTACAGCTAGCTTATGAAGTGGTATATTAGCTTTCCTCCTGGGCAAAGAGGAAGAAAATCAGTTCAAACCACCTTAAGCATAAAGAGAATTTATCAACTCAGATAACTGAAGAAGGCACTGGAAGATACCGGGCTCTAGGGCTGGATGCAGGTACTGCAATGATACTGTCAGAATGTGTCTGTTATCCCAGCACTTTGGGAGGCTGAGGTGGGCAGATCCCAAGGTCAAGAGATCGAGACTATCCTGGCCAACAGGGTGAAACACTGTCTCTACTAAAATTTAAAAAAATACAAAAATTAGCTGGGCATGCTGGCGCACACCTACAGTCCCAGCTACTCAGGAGGCTGAGGCAGGAGAATCGCTTGAACCCAGGAGGTCGAGGTTACAGTGAGCCAAGATCATGCCACTGCACTCCAGCTTGGCAAGAGAGTGAGACTCTGTCTGAAAAAGAAATATGTAGGCTGGGCGCAGTGGCTCATGCCTGTAATTCCAGCACTTTGGGGGGCCAAGGCAGGTCGATCACCTGAGGCCTGGAGTTCAAGACCAGCCTGGCCAAGATGGCAAAACCCCATTTCTAATAAAAATACAAAATTAGATAGGCCTGGTGGTGCACATCTGTAATCCCAGCTACTCAGGAGGCTGAGGCAGGAGAATCGCTTGAACCGGAGAGGCAAAAGTTGCAGTGGGCCAAGATCGTGCCACTGCACTCCAGCCTGGGCAACAAAGTGAGACTGTCTCAAAAATAATCATAAAATAAAAAATAAAATGTACCTCTGCCTCTCGCCCTGTTTTCCTAAGTGGATTTCATTCTCAGGCAGTCTTTCTCTATTTAAGACACAGAGGGTCCTGATGGGCTGAAAGTTTACATTCTAGCAGCTTAGCAGCCCCACAAAATTAAACTGCTTCTGCCCTCATCGTTCCAGAGAGAGCCCCAGAAGTGTCTCTCCTTGGCTCCCTTAGGTTGCATGCTCAACCTCACACCAATCACTGTGACTCTGATTGGCCAGACCTGAGCCATAGGTTCATACAGAGGCCAAACCACTGGGACCAAGAGGTGGGGAGGGGTAACCCCCAGTAGAAAACAGAGGAACGGCTACAGAAAACAGCATTGATGCTGAGAAACCCACATCCCCTAAAAATGTCTACTATATGTAGTTACTAAGAATTCCTCCATTTTAGAGATGAAAATATCTGAGAAACCAAAATATCTGAGAAACCAAAAAATCTGAGAAACCAAAAGTCAATTGTCTCAGCTCACACAGCCAGTATCAGACGAGGGATTCACACCCAGGCAGTCTGACTCCAGAGCCTTGGGTTCTTAACCCCCAGATCACCTGGGAATAGCTTAGCCTGCTCAGAAGAGAATTCACCCACCCACACCCACATTTAGAATGAGGATAGTTCCCACTGTTTATTGTATTAACCGTAGGACCTAGGGGTTCAGAGACCCAAGGTTCGCGCAGCCCAGAACTAAGGAATGGTTATGCCCTAATGTTGCCCTGATGGTGCCCTCATCTGCATTCTGAAATTCTTAAGTTTGCCTTTAACATCCCCTAAGAGTTAGGCAAAGAGGAGGAGTTCCAAGTGCTTGAAGATGAGCCACTGAGAGTTGACAGTTGCTTGCCAGCCCAGCCGCTGGGAGGCATCAGGGAGAAGGGGAGGAGAAAGGGGAAGGAGCACTCATTCTCCCACTTCTCTAGCATCCTTTAGGATGGTTGTTTGACAGGCAAGAGTACTTCTTTGGGGGCCAAACCAGGATGGAGAACCTGCAGTGTAGGCGGATTTAATGAGTTGTCCTAGTAAATTATAATCCTGTTACTCTGCAGGGTTTTTTTGTTTGTTTGTTTGTGATGGAGTTTCACTCTTGTCGCCCAGGCTGGAGTACAATGGCACAATCTTGGCTCACTGTAACCTCTGCCTCCTGGGTTCAAGCAGTTCTCCTGCCTCAGCCTCCTGAGTAGCTGGGATTACAGGCGCCCACCACCACACTCGGCTAATTTTTGTATTTTTAGTAGAGAATGGAGCCTGACTTGCAGGTGTCACAATGCTAAAGCTGCCCTTGGGTCCTTCGGTGTTTTAAAGTTAGGCCTCATGCCTCTCCAGGGGCCCAGGCCTCATTTGGAAATGACTAACAATAAAGCTGGGTGCCTATGCAAAACAGCAAGCAGCCATGAAGCCATGCAGGCAGGGGCTGGTATGATTCATAAATAACCTCATGAACTAGAGGCTAAATGATGCTGATAAAAGTGTTAGGAAGTGCTTCTAGCTCTTCCTTACTCGGGGAGGTGAGAAGCTATCGTGAACACTCTAGATGGCTGTTTGCCATCTTCCTGCTGTCCTAGCTGCCTAAGCACTGAGGCTCACTTTCACCCTGAGAATTTCACCAGAGAACTGTGAGGTGGGAGGAGAAGGAGCTGATGGTGATGAGGATATCAATGGAGGGTAACTAAGAGGAGAAAGAGAAGAGCAGATTATATGGGAAGAGGAGAGAAATAAGGGCCTTGCCTTAAAGCAATAGGAGAAACCTTTCTAAACCCTTGCTACTGGCGTCAGCATCACCTCAGAGTTTGTCAGAAATGCAGAATCTCAGGCCTCACCTCAGACCCACTGAATCAGAATCTTTGGAAGTGGGGCTCAGGAATCTGCATATTCACTAGCTTCCAAAGCTCACTCAGTGTGAGAGCCACTGTTCTCTATCAAGAGTAATTAGGCTCATGTCTCTGTCAGCTGAAGACCAAGGGCAAGCTAACTTCAGTTGAAGGGAGAAGAAGAGCAAATTCATTCGTTATTATTCCATCTGTACTTCCACTGTCAACACTAATCGTCTCTTTGTTCTACTAGGACTCACTGCCTGCAATAAAGTTGTTAGTCCTTACCCTGAAGGGTGATTATTGCCAACACAGGTGATGGTGCCCATCAGTCACTAAAGAAGCCTTTGAGTTTCTATTAATTTGCAGATTTTTTTATGCAGTTGATGATTAATCCTTTAATGGAGAATATAATCCATGCGTTGTGGATTTGCTCGTGTTGCTACTTGAGCACGGAGCAGTGTTCATTGAGGTTTTTCATGCACCTATCCTCCAGGCATTTGTGGAAGGCTTAGTATATGGCACCACTGTGTAAGTGAGAATAGCTCCTAGCTGCCTACACCACAGGGTGGAGAGAGGCATGATTAATACCAAGTGGGGTGCCCGGCCCCTCCAACGTGCTGTGGGAAGATGCACTCAGGTGCACACAAGTGCCAGACTCGTGTATGTGTGTGGCTGATGCCAAAGCCGTTTCCATAACAATGAGTGTTCGGCTCCAGAGACTCTCCTCGGGAGCTGAGGACCCCCTCCCTCTGTCACCAAAGCTGGGATTGGTAGCATTTCTCAACGTGCCTAAGATCTCTTTAGGTAAATACGAAGGAAACTAATTTACTGACCTCCTTGATACAGATACCCTTCAAGACTCTTTCACAAATATTAATATTGATTAGTCATTTAGCACTTAGAAAATGCTGGCTCTCTCTACGTGGATTAACACACCCATGACAACTTTCCGTGGCAAGCCTTTTTATTCTCATACCTGTTTTACAATAGAGGCTGAAGCACAGAGAGGGTAAATTGCTTTGCCCTTAGTCACACAGCTGGTAAGCGACAAAGTCAGGTTTGACTCACACAGCCTGGCTCCAGAACTTCCGGTCTTAAGCACAGCTCTTCATATGATCTCTGAAACTCCAGTAACTCCCTTGGGTCTCTTCCTTTCTCAGCTGCAAAAATGAAGGCCCAGAAAAGTGACGTAACTTATCCAGCATTCCACGGCTAAGAGAGACTGGTTTCTGATTTCGCCTCAGGTCTATCAGATTGAAAAGTCCACCCCCTTCTTCCGCAAACCCTCTACTCCCTCCATCCTTGCTGCTGAGCTGGGCATAGAACATTCATGCACCCAGAGCAAAGGGGGCAGCAGCTACTGCTAGGAGCAGTGGGGCTCTGAGCAAAACTGAAGGGTGGCAGGGCCAGGCACTGGAGGCCCTGAGAATATGCTAAATTCAAATTAGTGGATGCTAACCTTCCGACCTGTGCCCTCTGCTTCAGAACCCTCCATGGCAATGACATTTCCAGCGTTCCTGAAGGCTCCTTCAACGACCTCACATCTCTTTCCCATCTGTAAGTAGCAGTGTTTCTCCCCAATGAACATTCAAAACATGAAAGCATGAAAGTGTCAGCGACAATGTCATCACTGTCAGCATTTTGGCAGATGTCCTTTCCTTATGCATACAGTATATTATACAACTATGTATCCACACTATGCATATTGTCTTGTTTCCCACCTCAGAAGCCTTCAAAGGAATCCTCAATTATGTAAACACTGTAAATATTTAATAAGAACTAATAGAAAACATGTACTATGGGGTAAACACTTTAGATAAGTTTTCTATTTATTTCTTACAACTGTAAGGCATTTTTATCCTTTTATTATATATAATAACATTGTGTCTAAGCATGGCACAGCTAGCAGATGGCAGGGCCCAGGATCAGATCTAGGTTTGCCTTGACTCCAAAGCACATATTCTTAACCACTTTGCACTCTGCAACAGGTATTCCCTTCTTATTTTACACAGGAAAAACTGAGGCCCATAAATATTAGGTGACTAGCTAAAGTTTGACTATCAGGTCAGTGAGATGTTGGACTAGAATCTAGATTCCCTCACTCCCAGGCCAGACCTCTCTTCCACAGATCAGGAATCTCTACATTTTTTTATACACCTCTGTCAGTGAACATTTTCGAGTTTGTATTCCTTCTATATGCATATTTAATTATTTTCATAATGTGTGCATACACTATAATACGGATATACTACGTATGCATATTCTAAAACTTTCAAAAGTAGAATTGTTAAAGGATATAATTTAAAAAAAAAAACAGAATTTCTAGTATTTTCGTCCCAGTCACAACTGGGATGAAAGTCTAGCCAAGTGGTTTGAAGCTGCTCCCTAGGTTGCTGGGTTTCAGAACCTTCTCTGCAGAGTATATCCTCCAGTGGACCCTTCAACAGGGCAAGGGAACCAGATAATCAGATGGCCAGTGATCCAGGAAGCTCCCTAAAGGAGCTAGGATGGGGTTGAGTTGAAGAGTGAGTCTTACTTGCGTAGGTGAGAGCCACGCCTCAGAAGTGGAAGGGGCTGGGATGGGAGTTGAAACTTCCACAGGATTGGAAGTACACTCTGGAGATATTAACTTTGCCACAGTGGAGACGACTACTCCGCTGGCCCCATATTGGATACCTCCAGTCTAGCCAAAGTCTGAAAATGCATTTCCAGAGAGCCAAGGATATGAAGGCTACTGGCCAAGCTGGGCAGGGGGCCCTGACTTCCTGTTCTGCCTCCTAGGGCGCTGGGAACCAACCCACTCCACTGTGACTGCAGTCTTCGGTGGCTGTCGGAGTGGGTGAAGGCGGGGTACAAGGAGCCTGGCATCGCCCGCTGCAGTAGCCCTGAGCCCATGGCTGACAGGCTCCTGCTCACCACCCCAACCCACCGCTTCCAGTGCAAAGGTAGGTGACGCCCACACCCCACCCTCCCCTGCCCCTCTTGGGGTCTGCTGTGTTCCCAGCAACCTGTCAGAGCAGGGTATCTCAACAGATGTGGCTTCAGAAACCTTCACCCTGTCTCTTCCATGGGTCCCACAAAGAGGCTCAGATGCTGACGCTGATGTGAACCCTCATCTAATGGGCCAAGTGTCATTCTCTCCAAGTTCCCTGCTGGCATTGCCACACATCTCCTCACTGACTTCTTTCTGTACATGTCTTTCCATAGTGGAGAATATCTTTTTTTTTTTTTCATCTTTTGTAGAGACAAGGTCTCACTATGTTGCACAGGCTGGTCTCAAACTCCTGATCTCCAACGATCCTCCTGTTTTGGCCCCCCAAAATGCTGGGATTACAGGCATAAGCCACTGCACCTGGCCTTGAGAAAAATCTTCAACCTGCATTTTTTAATCCAACATTATTAAAACATAAGCATTTTCCCATTTTATCCAGCAAACTTTTGTACATGTGATTTTTTTATTGATCATATTATAACAACAAACTACTACTGAGTTTGTATGCAACAGGAATGATGGTAAGCACTGTCTCATGTATTTTCTTCTCATTCTTCATGTAACAACTTATTTAATTCTCTAATACCTCTATGTGATCAACTTTTAATATTATCCTCATTTTTAAAAATGAGAAAATTGAGGCTTACCAGGCTTCCAGGTCCATCTGATTCCAGAATGCGCAGTCTTTATCACCAAGCCATAATACTCCACTGCCACTTAATCCATTTCTGGTTTTGAATCTTTCGAGTATTTCCATTTTTTTGTCTTACCATTGACACATAAAGATCTTTCTCTGTTTGAAATCATGTCCTCAGATAAGACTCAGAGAATAGAAATTACTGAATCAAAGTACATTATTATTTTTAAGGTCTTCACACATTTTGCCAAATTGATTTTCAAAAAGGGTTATAACCAATTTACATTCCCAGTAGCATCCTTTGGTTGCATTTTTCATTAGACTCTCATTATTTTCTCTTATTTTCTCATTGCTAATTCAATAGGTTAAAAAAAAAAAACTCCTTTTATTTTGTCTTTGATTATTGGGGAACCTGAATTTTTCATCAAAAACGTACTTTTCATTTGTATACACAGTTGTTTGATAATCTCTTTTGCTCATCTCTGAGAGGCTTAATACTTATTTTGATATATAGATACACTTTAATTACCCTCTCAAACTTTAGTGTGTCCTACACTTCTGCTGCAAGCAGAAAAACATTCCATTGGCTTAAAGCTAATTTTAATTTTCCTCCTCCTGCTTCTAAGCTATCTGATCTGATACTAAAGAGGCTCACCTAGGCCAAGAACAGTATAGGTCTCAATCTTGGCTGCACATTTGGACATCATACAGGAGCTTTTAAAATTACTGAAGCCTGGCTCCACCCTCTAGGTTTAGATTAAATTGGTCTGGGGTACAACCTGGGTGTGGGGACTTTTAAAAGCACTGCAGCCAGGGTCCGGGCACGGTGGCTCATGCCTCTAATCCCAGTACTTTGGGAGGCTGAGGCGGGCAGATCACTTGAGGTCAGGAGTTCAAGACCAGTCTGCCCAACAAGGGGAAACCCCATCTCTACTAAAAATACAAAAATTAGCCAGGTGTGGTGGCGCATGCTTGTAATCCCAGCTACTTGGGAGGCTGAGGCAGAACTGCTTGAATCCAGGAGGTGGAGGTTGCTGTGAGCCGAAATTGCACCACCACACTCCAGCCTGGGCAACAGAGTGAGACTCCATCTCAAAAAAAAAAAAAAACAAACAGAAAACAACACTGTAGCTGGTAGTGTAAGGCAGCTAAGTCATCTGGGTTTTGTCTGGGCCATTCTTGGTTTTAGCACTGAAAGCTCTGTGTCCTGCAAACCCCCTCAGCCCCAAGCAAACCAAGACAGATAGTCTTCCTCTTCTAATGTGAAGTCGGGTTGAGCCCCTGGTACCAGCTCTCAATCAGGCCATTCTTTTTACTCATCCACAAACAGTCACTCACTGAAGTTCATCTCAGCCCATCTCCAAGTTGATAACTGTTAACCCCAAGGTCATTTATAGTCCTGACACTAAATATGGCCTGTTTATCCAGGGCTCATTGTCAAAGCTGGCTGCAGCAGCAGGACACAGCCCCCTTTGCAAAGCTCTGGGAAGGACCCTGACCTCCCTCCAGTGCTCGCAGCTAAAGCAAGCACACGGCTGAAACGGTCACAGACGTAACATGTACCTGAGCAGTTTTCTGTCCATTGTCAGCATCATCGCTGTGTCCTCTGGGGCCATCCATTTCTTTCTTCCAAGGTTTTCCAGGGGGGACTTCCTCTGTGTGCCTTTGGCCCAAGCACTGTGCCCTGCTTAGCCTGGCACAGACTATTCCATGGGGAGGGGTGTTTGTGGGTAGAAAAATGGGAGGTCCGAATGGAGCCTGGGCCCAGAGCTTCCTGGAATATGAAAAGATACACAGGGGGTTTCTAATTATGGTGCATTGTTTGCAGATTAGCACCAAAATCGGATCAGGCTAATTACAGTAATTGATTTGACTGCAGAAGTGTTTCTGAATGATGTCCCACTGTGATTTTTCCTCACTGGACAGTGGCTGAATTAATGGGACTCTAGCTGGACTGGATGTGCTGGCTGAGGAGAGCCAGCTGCCATCTGGGCATGGAGTTGGGAAGGGGCTGGCGCTGGCTGAGGGAGGGCCCAGAGCAGAGGGGAAGGGAGGTATGGCAGTGAGCGCACTCAGGACCTGCCATCAGTACTCTGGTTTTGCTGCCCAGGGCCAGTGGACATCAACATTGTGGCCAAATGCAATGCCTGCCTCTCCAGCCCGTGCAAGAATAACGGGACATGCACCCAGGACCCTGTGGAGCTGTACCGCTGTGCCTGCCCCTACAGCTACAAGGTATGCTGGAGGCCCTGCCCCCCCGTGTTCATGCCTCAGGCTCCTCCTTCAGCCCTGGCCCTAGAGAGGGGCACCATGCCCTGCGTACCCTCCCTTCTCCAAGGGACAGCCTGGATGAGTCCATCGCACAGGTCACCACTCCAAAGCAGCATTTGCCAGTAACACTGTTCTCTGAACTAGCGGGAGCTGCCAGTCAGAGAGGCCCCCATATGGTCTTGACAAGGATGTCCAGAGAGAAAGAGGAAATGTAACATTTGTATTTTCTTTGTGAAACATGGAGAAATTAAGTCTCAGAGAAAAAGTGTTTCCAAGTAGAGGCATCCCTTGAGCCCACTCTCCCAATTTCCCTTCTAAAGGGATTTCCAGAACCTCCACCCCACCATGCCCCTGCCAAACCCCACCCTCAGAGCAACCAGCCTTGAAAGTGCTGGTTCCAGCTTGATGTAAATATAGGGATTGGGGATTGAAAGGCCTAGGGGCTGCAAACTCACCCAAAAGGTTGATCGGCTAAGATCAGCCAGCAAGAGGATGAGATCCCAGTTCTCCCCTCTGTCCTCCCAGACTACCTCCAAGACAGTCCTTCCTTCTTTCACCCAGAGCACGGTGTCATGCCCCTCTGCTGACCCCTGTGGATATCGACCATGTGCCTCTCACCAGCACCTACCGAGTACAGACTGTGCCAAGTACTGTGCTTGGCATTTTACTCACCTGTTCAAACACCCCCAGCAAACCTAAGAAGGCCTCATTATTCCCTTTTTACGGATATGGAGACTGGGCCTCAGACTGTCAAGAGTTCAACTCAATGTCCGAAGCTTGTAAGCAGTAGAGCTGTGATTAAGACCCTGGGCTTTGTGATTCCAGAACCCAATCCTTTTCCCCTGGAGGGTTTCCTGGATAGCTGAGCCCTTCCTTGGGCTTCACTGGAATCAGCAAAGCTGTGGCTCCATCCTCTTCTGCAGGGCCCGCCCAGCTTCCAGCCTTCCCAGGGCACCCATCCAAAGGCACTGGGCAAGCGCAGAGTTTCAGGACAGCCCCACAGCCTGTCTAATGCACACATCTGATGCAGGTGGAGTGAGAGTGAGCTGGCATCCCCAGGTCTCTGCCCCCAGTGGGATTGTGTGTGCGTAGTGACAGGCTTAGAGGCAGCCTCATTCTGGGGAATGGGACTACCTGATGTATTTCTAGACGATGGCTGTGCTTCTAGCAGATGGTGTCAGAGTGCCACCTATGGGCCTGGGACAAGAGAGCCAAAGGATTCCCTTTGAAGCCAGCCACCTCCAAAGTCTTAAACTTACCACTGAGTCCCAGACCCATACACCGTCATTTCATAAGCTGATTATAAAAATCAGAGAAGAGACTAAATGCATAAGGTCCAGATGAGTGCCTGGCCTTTACTGATGATTCAAAAGAGAACTATACTATGTATGGAATTGAGAATGTTATAAATTCAGTCACAGGGCACCCACACACACAAAAAAAATAATAGGAGGGGAGAATAGAGATTAACAGCAGACATACTCAGGATGTGTGGATCCTCTCAAACTCCCTTGTATGGATTCAGCAGAGAAAATTCAGACTGTGCAATTACACAGAGAAGCAGGTGTGGATTCCAGCTTTGTCATTTACTAGCTGTGTAGCCATTGCTAGTAATTTCATCTGTCTTCCCAGCTGCAAACTAGGACCTGTCTCATAGGTTTGCCGTAAGAATCAAATGTACAGTAATGTACGCAATACACTAGGATGATACCTGGCATTCAGTGAGCACTCAATAAGCTGGCATACTGCTGCCTTTCACCTTTACCCTTGCATGGTGGTCCCTCATACCTGGGTGTGGAATAGGCCATCAGTAACAGGTGGTATGTTGCTAGTTTGATCCAGGATTATCAGTCTATGGCACTGTGAACTGCCAAGAAACTTCAGTCATTCTCCTAGAACTGTGACTGCATTTGTAACATTCTCAATTCCATACATAGTATAGTTCTCTTTTGAATCATCAATAAAGGCCAGGCACTCATCTGGAGCTTATGCATTTATTTTCTTCTCTGATTTTTATAATCAGCTTATGAGATGGGTAGTATCATCCCCATTCTAAAGATAAGGTAAACTGTTTCACATTCTGATTCTTGCTTCCTTCTCTTTAAAACTGGCCTGAGTCTGAAAGTAGTAGAGCTGGGTTTGAAGTCCAGGCTTCTTCCAGCTACACTTGACTGTACTATGAAGCATGACCTGACCGTCAGTGTCAGAGCAAAGAGAGTATCTTCAGAGCTACTGCAGGATAAGGCCACTTGTTTGAACTTTGTTCTCAAGATTCTGAACATCATGTCAATTTTAGAAGAATGTGAACAGAGATTTTGATCTTGAGGAAAGTGTTGAGCCCAGGCAGGTCTAGGGTGCATGATGTTGATGGTGATGGTGAAGATGATGATGGTGAAGGTGATGATGGTGATGGTATCGGTGATGATGACAAAGGTGACAATGGTGATGGTGTTGATGATGGTAATGGTGCTAATGGTACAGATGGTGGTGATGATGATGATAACTATGATAATAACAGTAACATAAGAGCCAGCATTTATTGAGTATCTACTATGTACTGACAGTAGACTAAATAAGGTACATGTATTATCTTGCATACTCCTCATCAGAGCCCTAGAATACAGTTCCTAAAATGACCCTCATTTTACAGTTGAAGAAACTGAGCATGGTAGGTAAGGGAGTTGGGATTCAAAGCTCAGAACCAACTGACTCTAGAAGCTGTGCTCCTGGCCACTGCACTCACTGCCTGTTGGCAAGTGCAGTGATTGCAGGGGCTAAGGTGGAAGATCCCTGACTATTTAGGACCTGTCTGAATTTCCAGGTTAGAGACAAGTAGAGTGTAGCCATGGGAAGAACACCAAGCAGGACCCTCTGGAGCCTGTGCCTATGTGATGCATGACCTTGGACAGAACTCGCTCTTCTCCTCACCTCAGTTTCCTCAGCTGTAAAATGGAGGAGGTTGAACCCAAGGGATCCTTTAACTGAGGGTTGCATCAAATTCTCTGTGCTATGTCCCTGCTTTCCTTCTTGCCGGGGTTAGAGCCCGCCCAAACAGAGCGACTAAGATGGTAGTTCTGCATGAGTGGCTAACAGAAATCCCCAGATACCCACAAAACCAAGCTCAAAGTTCAGGCATTTACCTCTTTCCAGGTATCTCCATTTTCCCATTGACTAGCTGAGTGACCTTGGGAAGCCACAATATTATAAAAAAGCACAGGAATCACTGTGTAACATTTGGTAGCAGCTACTCTTAATCTACTATAATGCCAGGCCTTTGTGAAGCAGTTTAAACACATTATCTCTTGTAGTACTCTTAATCACCTTGTGAAATAAGTTTTATTATCGTCTTTTAATAGATGAAACAACTAAGGTTCAGAAAGATGAAATAATTTACCCAAGCTCTCACACTTAGGAAGTGCATGAGCTACAACCAGAGCTCAGCTATCTCTTGCAACAAAGTCTCTACACTCACAACCACTCCAAGTCAGATTCTCCCTAAGCCTCACTTTCCCCACCTGTAACTGAGAATACTCATACTCATGTGCAGGGCTGTTGGAAGGATGAAAAGGGGCTGTGTGTGTACTTTGCCTACCTCAGTGCCAGGATTCAGTAGATACTTCACAAAGGGTCAGTATTTTGCCATTATGTTAAGATTTGGGGAAAAAATATATCTGTTGGCTGATTCTTTTTCAGCCATTTAGTTTCAGGCACATATGTTCAATGTCTCAGAACAGTGCTTCTCAAACTTTTGTGTGCATAAGAATCACTGGAGAGCTTATTAAAATGCAAGTTCTAGTTCATTAGATCCGAGGTCAGGCCTGAGAGTGTGCATTTTTTTTTTTTAATCAGCTCCCAGGACATGCCAGTGCCACTAGTCCAAGGAGCACGCTTTGAGAAGTAAGGACTTAGCAGCATTCCTCGTGCGATCTCAGAAAGAGGTTTCCAATGAGGGCAGCTGTTCCCAGTGTCTTTTTTTTTTTTTTTTTTTTTTTTTTGGAGACAGAGTCTCACTCCGTTGCCAGGCTGGAGTGCAGTGGCATAATCTCGGCTCACTGCAACCTCTGCTTCCTGGGTTCAAGCAATTCTCCTGCCTCAGACTCCTGAGTAGCTGGGATGCCCACCACCACGCCCAGCTAATTTTTGTATTTTTAGTAGATACAGGGTTTCACCATGTTGGCCAGGATGTTCTCAATCTCTTGACCTTGTGATCCGCCCACGCTGGCCTCCCAAAGTGCTGGGATTATAGGCGTGAGGCACTGCGCCCAGCCCCCAGTGTCTTTTAAAGGTTGATTCCCAACCTTTTTGGCACCAGGGACCAGTTTCATGGAAGACAGTTTTTCCACGGAACTAGGGTGGTGGGCATGGTCTCAGGATGAAACTGTACCACCTCAGATCATCAGGTATTAGTTAGATTCTCATAAGGAGCGTGCAACCTAGATCCCTCGCATGCACAGTTCACAGTAGGGTGTGTGCTCCTATGAGAATCTAACGCCACGGCTGACCTGAAAGGAGGCGGAGCTCAGGTGGTAATGCTCCCGCCCCATCTGCTCACCTCCTGCTGTGCAGCCTGGTTCCTAACGGGGACCGGTACCAGTCCATGTCCCAGGGGTTGGGGACACCTGTTTTAAAGGAAGCCAGTCAGGATTCCTGGCCATGTCCTACACACACACACACACACACACACACACACACACACACACACACACACACACAAAGTGGGATGAGGGGTAGAAAGTGTGGTGGAGGACCAAGGAGCACCACAAATCTGGTAGATTTGAGCAAAATGAGGCTGAAGAGAATTGAATCAGGCTAATTAACCAGGCGTTGGCAATAGTGATTATTTTTCAAGGAGAGGTAAGTGACAGAAATCCCCACTTCCAGGCCCAATTACCATGTCATCAAGCGCTAGGCTCTGCCTCCTGGATTTCTGTGCTTGGCGTAAAGGGCTGCAGGAGTTGCCACCACCTCCACCACCACCGCCATAGTTGGGAGGGTTTGACCTGGAGTCACTGGTACTTACCAGTTCCCCAGAGCAGGGGCTAACCCAGGCAGGGGCTAGAGAGGTCTTGCCTTGACCTTCTCAAGGTTCTTTGTCCTGCCCTTCACGGTCCATGTGTTGGCCACCACCACTCTCATATATGCACCTCTGGAACTACTTGGCACCAACCAAAGACCTGAAAAAGTATTTTAGTCACTCACATTCAGCCCTGCCTCAGACCCCAAGCATCATCATCATCATCATCATCATCATCATCATCATCATCGCTATTATTTATGGAGCTGCCATTACATGCTAGGTGTCTTACATATATAACCATTAACTAATTCCCCATAGGGTAGTTCATATTATTTCCATTTCATAAGTGGTAAAAACAAGGCTCAGAGAGAACTAGTCATTTCCTCAAGGAACACAGCAGCCAACTTAGAATGTGCACTCCCATCTGTGTGCCCCTAGAACGCATGTTTTGAGAGGGGCTAGCCAAGTGGTCCTGCATAGAGGCTCCCAGCACTAACTTTGGGCTGGATGCCTGGGTTCAGCTGCTTGCTCCCCATTTCACTTACTGCTGTGCGATCTTGGCCATATTACCTCACTTTCTAAGTCTGTCTTTCCTGTCTGTAAAAATAGTGTAATAACAATCACACCAATCTCATAGGGTTGTTGTGAACATGATATGCGATCATGAATATAAAACACTTAGCATGAGGCCTGGAACGGAAAATGTGCTCGGCAAAGTGGGTGAGAATTAGTATTACAGTTTCCATTCCACACCAACTTTCAGAAAGGGGCCCTGTGTTGTTATGGTTTAGGATAAAACCAGATACCAGCCCAAACTGCACTCTCCCTGTCCCCCTCCAAGAAACCTCTGACTGGCCCCTTTGCTGGGACAGGGCATGAAGGGAACCAGACGGACATGGCCCATGCCTTCCAGCTGCTGAAGATGGGCCTGAGGCTCTGGTGTTTGAGAGGGTCCACAGCAGAGGCTGTCCTGGGCCCAAGGCCTTCAGCCCAGTTGGCTGCAGCGTCGCAGCCAGGAAGCCCCAGTTCCATTCCATCACATCACCAGCAACAGCAGAAGAGGGAAGAGGATTTTCTCAGGCAGATGGCGAGCAGGTGGTGTGGCAGTGGGTGGGCTCCCATGATCACCTCCACCAGGTCTGTGCCAAGCCACTGAGCCCAGGGCCCAGAAAGGATGCAGCAGTCACCTCCCCAGGCCCCACGCTACCAGGTCCTGTAAGGGACTCCATGCCAAGCATTGGGTGAGACTGGTCTGTCAGTCCCAAAGGAGAAGCAGGAGCCAGAAGGCCAAGAAGAGTCGGGCTGTTCCCTGGGACAGTGGGTCTCATGGAGCTCAGTCTCCACCTTGGGGCTGCCTTCCTCAGGGCCGCTGCCCTCACTGCTCCTGCTGCCTGGCACGCTCCTCTCCCCACCTTCCACACAGTTGGCTCCTTCTCAGCTCACACGTCCCCTTCAGAGGGGCCTGCTCCAAAGAATCCCACACCACCCTGAGTTCTCTATCGCAAAGGTTCCCCACCTGGCCTAACCTTAGGCTTACCTTCAGAACTTTAGAATACCAAAGCCTGGACCCCACTCCAGATCAATCAAGGATGGTTCTCTGGGGTTGTCACTTTGTAGGAGACAAGGTCTGTTGGCCATACTTCAGCCTTAGTCTTCCCTACTCAAGTTGTGGGTTATATTTAAGGTTCAGTGAGGCTCATGGTAATGTTATCTTCTAGCATTTACAGAATGCCTACTATGTGCTAGGTGGATTACACACGTGTAACCTTTTCCTTACATGAAACTTTTCCTTACATGAAAGCTCAAGTTTAATTCTCATAGCAACCCTGTGAGGTGGACTTGGAGAGGTCAAGAGGCTTTTATGAGGTCACGATCAGCCAACCCAGATGGGATGGAGCTGGAATGTGAAACCAGCTGTATGTGAATTCAGCTTTGCCTGAATCCATAGCCTGGGCTCTTGCCCTGCAGTTTGGGATACAGAAGGGTGCAAATTCTGCGAAGTAGTGAGGCTGGAACCTGAACTCCTGGCTTCTCATCACTCTTCCCCTTCTTACTGTCCAGTGACTAGGGGTTAGGGCTCCCATGGGTGGGCTCCAAGTCACACAGCAGGCCTTTCCTAGGGGCTCCTTGTTGTCATCTCCCCAGCCTCATCACAGAGAATGCTGGAACCCCTGGAGTCCCCTGGGCCATGGCAGCCCCAGAAGTCCCCCTAACCAGGTGCTTCTCCCTCTTTTGCTCCTCAGGGCAAGGACTGCACTGTGCCCATCAACACCTGCATCCAGAACCCCTGTCAGCATGGAGGCACCTGCCACCTGAGTGACAGCCACAAGGATGGGTTCAGGTAACAGTTCACCCCTGGCCTCCCTCACTGTATTAGTTTGCTCTCACACTGCTAATAAAGACATACCCAAGACTGGGTAATTTATAAAGGAAAGAAGTTTAAAGGACTCACAGTTCAGCATGGCTGGGAAGCCTCACAATCATGGCAGAAGGCAAAGGAAAAGCAAACATCTTAAATGGCGGGAGGCAAAAGAGAGCTTGTGCAGGGGAACTCCCATTTATAAAACCGTCAGCTCTGGTGAGATTTATTCACTACCATGAGAACAGTATGGGAGAAACTGCCCCCGTGATTCAATTATCTCCACCTGGCCCCACCCTTGACACTTGGGGATTATTATAATTCAAGGTGAGATTTGGGTAGGGACCCAGCCAAACCATATCACTCACCTTGGAGGGCTCCCTGGGCAGGCTAAAGAAGCAGAGATACGACCAGCGAGGGCGTGCCCAGTGCCCGTGCTGTGCTGGCCCTGTATGAGAATGATCTCAAGGCTCTTCGCACCCTGTAAGGGAAGTACAATTTATCCCCACTGTGCAGATAAGGAAGTTCAAGCATCAGAGGGACAAATCCTCTGCCTAGAGTTACATTAAGCATTGGCACAGGGATTTGAAACCAGGTCCCAACCTCGTGCTTCCTCCAAGGGAGGTGTCTGCTGCTGGCTAAAGTCAGAGAAGGATTGGGTGAAGGCTTAAAGACTGCCCGTCTGGCACTTCCACCATGCTTTTCTGAGTTATAAAATAAGTGGCATTTATTATATGCTCACTATGCCAGGTACCAACTAGTCAAGTATTTTCTCATTTAAATCCCTACAGACCCTATCCAGTAGGTAGGTATTATCTTCATTGAACAGATGGGGAAGCTGAGACACAGAAATGGACTTGCTCTAGGTCGTATCTCCTGATGCTCATTCCTGGATCTTCCAGGCCCACCTCCAGCCCTCTTTCCTTCCTGACATTAACATTTCAAGAAGAAAAGGGAATAGAAGTCACTTAGGTTTTTCTCCTCCCTGTCCTAGGAATGGGATTGGCTTCCACCCAACCTCAGGACCCCTTCCTGCTTCCCACCTTCCCCAGCAGCTTTTAGATGCCCAGTTTCACTGGCCTGTGGCTCTGACCAAAGCAGACTGTTGGGAACGGGCTCCTTTGGCATCCCTGGTGAGCCAGTCAGGAGGCGGCAGCCCCTTGGCAATAAAGGCAGGGGCACCCCATGCCAAGCCATGTGTGGGTGTCTTAGAGCTCAAGTTGCAACCAATTAAATATCAAAAGCACTCTGGCCAGTGCTGCCGTGTGGTCTGGGGAAGAAATCAAATTCCAGGCTCCCGGTTCTCTTCCCCCGGGAACCCGCCCGCCCACGTGTCCACCTGCCAAGCCAGCTCCATCAAACTCTGCCTCCTGAAAAGTGAAATTCAAGGCAGAGTTCCTTTTCCTGCCTGGAGTCAGCCAAACCACCCACTCCTGCTGGCTCACATAGAGCAGGGGTGAGAAGAAACTGCAGGGAAACATGGAGGTGGCCACGGGGCCCCAGCCAGGAAACACCCCTCCAGGGCACACAGCCTGGGCTGCCCCACCCAGGCGAGGGATTGGGGGGGTCAGATGAGGGAAGAGCTCCCCGCTGCAGGCAACTGTGTTTCTCCCATCTCAGCTGGAGGTTCGGTTGAGCAGAAATATCTCATTTCCATCTTAAGTTGTTGAAGAGTTTCAGATGAACAGAAAATATTTTTAGAACTTAATGTAAAAGGAAAAGGGCCCAGATCTACAGGATCAGGGAAATGGGGTGGAAGGTTAAGGCAATGAGGCAGTTACTAGGGATGGGAGAGCTCGTATGCAGTCCTCAAGGAATAGGGAAACTCTTCTGCATCGGGCCAGCACCTGGTGGGTGAAGGGGAGTGGTGCTTGTCAGGAAGCTCCCCTTTGCTCCCCTCTTCCATTCTAGAGTAATTCCTTAGGGCTGCCATAATAACCACAGACTGGGTGGCTGTAATCACCAGAAATTTACTCTCTCACAGTTCTGAAGGATAGAAGTTCCAAATCAAGGTGTCAGCAGGGCCATGCTCCCTCTGAGCCTCTAGGGGAGGGTCCTTGCTTGTCCCTCCCTGGCTTCTGGTGTTCCTGGCAATCTTTGGCATTCTTTGGCTTGTGGCTGCAGCACCCCTCTCTCTGCCTGCATAGTCACCAGTGCTCTCTCTGTGTCTGCTTTCCCATGACCATCTTCTTTTAGAGACACCTGTTATATTGGATTAGGGGTCCACACTCTTTTAGTAGGACCTCAACTTAACTAATTACATCTGCAAAGATCCTATTTCAAAATAAGATCACGTTCTGATGTACTCAGGGTTAGGACTTCAACATATCTTTTTTGGGGGGAACACAATTCAACCCATAACAGGTCTTAGTCATCAGCATCACCAGCCTCTTCATACACATGCTTCTCTAATCTTGCTGCATTGCCTGCTCACAAAAACAGCAAAGGTTGGCAGAGCAGGCCCCACAGAAGACCAACACAGGAGATGAGATCTGCTCTCATCCCCACAACCAACTCATGGCACCTGGAGTCTCCTGGACAGCTCTCCAAGGTTTCCAATGAAGACAGGGAGACATCAGCCTCCTTCCACCCTGTCACTCCTTTAGCAACCTCTCTTTCCTCGACCAGCCACCATATCTCACTGCCAGGTAGCCCTAAGGCTCTGGGGGAGCCAAAGTAACTGGTCTTTAGAAAAACAAATGGGCAACACCATGGTTTAGGACTTTCAGAAACCTACCCTCTGTCTGGCTCTGAAGAAGTAGCCTTTTTCATGAGTGCCCAGAGTCCCTAACAGGAAAAAAGAATGAGTCATTTTGCTGTACCCCAAGAGCTGAGACCTGAGAGGCCCCTGGCCTTTTGTAGAAAATGTGATATGGTTTTCAGTTGTAGAAAGGAGACCAATTAAGTAGGATTCTAGGACCACTGAAATTCACTGCCTGTTAGCTGAGTGTAGTTTACTTTTTTAGCTAAATCCCAAGTCAGAGCAATCTCTGAAACCTGAAATTCCAGATCTGAAGCTGAAGCGCACACTCATAGATGGAGTGAGAATCCCTGACAAACGGGTTAGGCCAAAGAAAGATCGAGATTCATTGCAGCATTTATTTAATCAGATGGATGCTCACTCCACCCCCGACTCCCATCCCTTCCGCATGGCCTTTATCTGTTCTAACCGATCTTGCACGCCCAGTCCTGGGGATATGACCAAGATCAGGCAGAGATGCAGGCAGTTGAGGTTTTTATCCAAGAGATTTAACACTCTAGAGACAAGTGAAGGAAATGCATCTTGCCGCCCCACAGCGTTTGAAGCCAAGTTGACCCGAAGGCCTCACTCTTGGCAGGCGAGGGATCCTCCCACTCTAGCCTTCATCCCCCAGAAGCTGGAGGGGCTCAGAAGTAGCAAGAATACATGATGGGAAGAAATGGCATCCCTGAAGAACAGTTAAGGAAGTAGGGTGGTTTTGTGTAGAACTATAGCTTGCTAATGGGTTCTGAGCATTTTCTATGTGCTATGTACCCTTTTAAACATTTTGCTTGTATAATCTCAATCTTCACAACCACCCAGGTCAAGGTCAAGTAGCTAGAATGTATCAACAGGAATTCATTCCCAGGAAACCTGGGTACAGAGTCTGGGACCTTGGCCACTATATTCTGCCCACCCCCTCACCCTGAGATAGAAGGGCTGCCTTTGAGTAAAAAAATCACTTAAAGGAGGATGTTTACTATGCTGTCTCTCTTTATTTGCAAAAGAGATTGTGCCTCAGAAGAGCCAAAGGGAGGGCAGTTTGGAGGACAGCTGGAGGAATTTAAGCCATATCCAGGAAACCACTTCCAGCTGGGGGAATGATGACACCGGCCTTGTTGGTGGACATTAGCCCCAGAGCGAGGCAGCCAGCATGGGCCAGGGGAGATAGAACATTGCCTGGAGATGGGGTTGGATGAAATGACCTTTTAGGTTCCTAAGGGTCTTCCTGCTCAGGACCCCAAGGCCTCATGTGTCCAAAGTGCTTTCTCAGACCTCCATCTGGAGGAAAAACTAATTGTATTTCCCACCCGTGTCTTCCTCTCTGCCATCCCAACCCACCTCTCTCCCTGACCCCTGACTCCCCTGCTCTCCACCCCTCACATCCCAAAGCTGCTCCTGCCCTCTGGGCTTTGAGGGGCAGCGGTGTGAGATCAACCCAGATGACTGTGAGGACAACGACTGCGAAAACAATGCCACCTGCGTGGACGGGATCAACAACTACGTGTGTATCTGTCCGCCTAACTACACAGGTAAGGATCTCATGACTGTATGTATGGTGGGGTGGAGGGGTGTCGCTAGAATACCATTTTCTTAACTTCCTCCAGGGACTCTCTTCCTCTCTCCCTGAGGACAGAGACTAAGACCCCAAGACTGTGATATGCCAAGAGGGGCTCCCCAAAGGCCTGTTTGCTTCTCCGTGTCCTCCACCACCAGCCACCAGCAAATCACTGCTCCTTCCCACTTGAAACAGAGTCCCAGGCTCTTTAGCTGCTGTTCATCTCATTGCTGGCCATTACATCCTTTAGGGCCCCTGTAGACCTAGTGGTGTTTGAGGCTGGCAGAGAGGCGCTTGCATTGTGTTTATGCTTCCTTCAGGTCTAGTCAACCGTCTCTTGAAATCCACATTTTCCAGACACTTAGCTAGGAGCTAGGGATACAAAAATGACCAAGACAGAGTTCCTTCTCATAAGAAGTTTATAGTCAGGTGGACAGAGGCGTGGATTCATTAGAAAGAGAACATAACATCTATAAGCCCTGGGGTGTGGGATCACACAGAAGGAACCTAACCCAGCCAGAGAATCCAGGAAGGCTCCCACAAGAGAGCATTCCTCAGGAAGATCATTCCACCCACCTACCCCCCAAACACAAAACCTTTATTTTCCTACATTAATAACCCCTAAAAAGGACAGTTAAATATATCATTAGATTGTGAAGCAAAATGCTACCAATTTTGGTGCAAACACAGCCCGCTTTGTTATGAGATCAACCAAAGTAGCGTATCCCAGACTGGAATTCCATGAATTTGAGGAAAAATCCCCATGAGACAAGAAGTTTGGGAAGCACTGCATATAATAATAACCTTCTTCTTGGTGTACCATGATACAAATAAGCATATTAGAGGTTCCAAAAATTCCTGCTTTAAAGAAAGCTGTTTGTTTAACCCAGCAGTTCCCAAACTTATCTGATCTCAGAGCTTCCCCTTTCCCCATCCTCGAACACTATTCCCAGCCCAGCGATCCTGTGTTGCAAGAAGCACTTTTAGGAAATACCAGCCTAAGGCAAGGAGAAAATGAGGAGGGGGAAGCTCAGGGACTCCCATGTCCTGGACTACTGGAACCAGGCCTTTATGTCAGGAGTGAAGTGGGTGGTGGGAAGCTGTGGAAGATGAATAGAAGCATCCTTGAAGATGGCAGAGAAGGAAGCCAAATGGCTCCCATTGTCCCTCATAGCCCATACCTTTATCAAGCCTCCAGCCCATAGACAGTATCCCCAAGTACACTCTTGAAACTGTAGGAACGTACCACCACCAACTGAGAAAACCACTTGCTCTAATAATCCTGGGCTTCCTAGGACCCCAGACAAGCTTCTGTGCTGGGAGAAAGTGCATGGAAATCTGCTGTGGGGGCGGATGCAGTGGCTCACGCCTGTAATCCCAGCACTTTGAGAGGCCAAGGCAGGCAGATCACCTGAGATCAGGAGTTCGAGACCAGCCTGGCCAACATGGCAAAACCCCAGCTCTACTAAAAATACAAAAATTAGCTGGGCATGGTGGTGGGCACCTGTAATCCTAGCTACTCAGGAAGCTGAGGCAGGAGAATCACTTGAACCCAGGAGGTGAAGGTTGCAGTGAGCTGAGATCCTGCCACTGCACTCCTGCCTGGGAGACAGAACAAAACTCTGTCTCAAAAAAAGAAAGAAAGAGAGAGAGATAAAGAAAGAGAGAGAGACAGAGAGAGAGAGAAAGACTGACTGACTGACTGCTGAGGGGTTACCTCCCCTTCCCTCTTTCATCTTCTGAGAGCGGAATTGTAGCCAAGAGTTGCATTAGCAACAGGCAACACTTACTGTGCACCTACTGTATACAGACTACTAAATTAGCCACTTAGAGAGACCAAGAAATCTAAGGTATGCCCTCAGCCCACAAGGGCTTCTGGTCCATGAAAAGAATCACTGTATAGAGTTGAGTCATTGGTCAAGAAGAATCAGCTTAGTGCCAGAAGAGAGATGACAGAAATCCCAGTAGTGAAAATGGAGAGGGCAGTGGGGCTCTAACAAAGGCTTTGTGGCAGGGGAGGGGCTTGAACTGAATTTAGAGCAGGCAGATGGGCAGCAGGAGGGTACTGAGGAGGCATTGATGAAGTGGTTTCCTGCCGCAGTTGAGGCCTACCTGGTGTCTGCCGTTGACCAGGGTGCACTGCTGATTTGTTGCACTTTGGTCCTGAGAGTGAGTGCTTGTATAATCTCATTTAATCTCCACAACTGCCAAAGTCAAGGTCAAGCAGCTAGGAAGTGTCAACTAGAATTCATTCCCGGGAAACTCAGGTACAGAATGAGGCTTTGTGGTTTGCTCTGTCCCAGAAAATGTGCAAGTCCCACACAGATACTTGTCTGCTTCTCTGGGTGTCTCCAGATGACAAGAAAGAGGAGGCTTCTCAGGAACATAGTGCCTTCTGTGGTCTTGAGAGGCTGAAGGCAAAATTTGGAGAGGGAGGGGTTCAGTGCTCCCTCCCAGGACATGGTTGGGGTCAGCCTCTCCCCACCATAGCAAAGAACAGACTTAGGGGCTATCTGTTACTCATTACCCTGCAGCCAGCCCTCTGGACCTACCTGCCTATACCCTGGGAGCAGGAGCTAAGGCAGCTTTCCCCGCCCTGCTCCCACCCCATTCCTGGAGAGAACGTTCATGGTTAGACCTTTCCCTCTCTTAGATCACTCTCCATCTGGCTTGACCTAGTGGAATTTGAGGAAACCCAAAACTCGGATCTTAAAAGCTGGTGTTGCTTGGGAGCTGCTGTCCTGCCTTACCGCCCTCCCCCACATTCCTAAAACACATTTTCAGGTGGTGTAAGCTTTTCAGGGCTTATCTGCAAGGGCCATCCCTGGGTGTTTATGACCGTTAGGTATTTTGTAGCACTGCAGACTTCAAAGGCAATGTGTCTAGAGACCAGAACTTCAAATTCCTTTCATACTTCCTTCCCTGAAAAATCCAAGGGGCTTACTTTTCTGTAACAGGTGAACTGGGCTGCTAAGCCTTGTCTGTGTCTCTGAAGCCTCCTCTGACCTCCTGGGGGAGGTTATGGGTCCCCCTTGTGCTTCCACAAAGTTTGCCCTTCTGGTCACACCTACAAGTCTGTATTGTAATTGCCTGCTTATTTGTAGATCTTCCCAAATAGGCTGTGGGTAGGAAAGGACCCAGTCACTGTTGTGTCCCCAGTGCCTGGCACAGTACCTGCCACACAGGAGGTGCTCAGTAAATAAGTGTGGAATGAAAAAACAAATGAATAAGCATGGCCCAAAGTGAGGGCCAGGCATCCTGTGCTCTCAGCTGCACCTGCCCCTGCCCCTGAAAGATCAAGTAAAACAGCCAAATGGTGATGCTAGGACAGTGTCCAGGAGGACACCTGGAATCTTCCCGTGGTCACTGCCAAAGAAACCAAGGCAGAGGTGCAGGAGGATACACAAGGAGTGAGAACACAGGACTCCTGACGTCCATGCCCACCTGACCAGGGGCTGGATGAGTCTGATCTTCTGGCCAGGATATCCCCCCTAGTACTCTGATCTTCTGGCCAGGGCATCCCTACCCTGCCTGAGGCCTGAGCTATCTCCCCCATCTGTGCCAGGTGAGCTATGCGACGAGGTGATTGACCACTGTGTGCCTGAGCTGAACCTCTGTCAGCATGAGGCCAAGTGCATCCCCCTGGACAAAGGATTCAGGTAAGACCTGGCTTCGTGCCCCCAGCACAGAGTCCATGAAAACTCTGCCTCTAACAGTCTAGGTTTTAGGCAGTCTCTGGTCTCTCTGCATGCTCTCTCTCTCTCTCATGTGCTTCTCTGCATCTCTGATTCAGCCATGATCTAATTATCTCAGTCTGTTTCCCTATGCGTGCCTCTGTCTGTCTGTGGGTGTCTCTAAGTCTCTGTAGATAGACAGGTAGGTAGGGAGAGAGAAAGAGACAGAGAGAGAGAAAGATCCACTCTTTCTCTTCCCTGCCCCTTCTTCCTTGCCTCTCCTCTCCTACCAACTTCCCAGTACTCTCAGCATATCCCTCCTTTCTAGAGCTAAAGAAGTAGAGCAATTCCACTGGGGAAGCAGCGTCTAAAGGGTATTTGGTCACCTTCTCCATGTGCAGCCTTTGCAGTACGCTGCCCCTCCAGTCTACAGCAAGTTTTTCAGCTTATGCACCTGTTGCAGGGGAAGGGGGCAGGAGCACTGTGGTCCAGCAGCATGGCCATTGGCGGAGCTGTCTCCATGGTGAGCAGCAGAGCCCATAGGAGCCAGGGGAGCACGTGAGCAGCCCTAAGGGTGGATGGAGAGGCTGCCTCAGGTCAGAAAGCCATGCAGCTCTTGAGGCTGAGGATCCAATGGCACTCCTGGGAAATCCCTCCCAGGCCCTGTACTCATCTCTTCCTTTCACCTTCCTTCATGAAAGCTTTTGCCACTGCCTCTTCTAGAGAAGATTGTGAGACCCTTGAGACTGGGGGTTTTCTGACATCGAGAGGGAGATCCCAGAACTCTGTGGCCAAAAACATTCTTCCCAACCCCAGTGCTGCCTTCTACACCCAGCTGCCTCCTTCTTCTCCCAGCAATCTCTGTCCAACACCAGAGGAAAGCCACTAGCACCAAGGAGTCAGGGTTTTGGGAAACAGGCAGTCCGGGGCAACTGGAGAGACCCCAGGATGTTAGCAGACCCCATAAATGACCTTACAGAGCCTCCCCTAGAGATGAGGGCCCTGGGCCCAGAGCTCCATGCCTGTGCTGATGAGTCTTTAAGGAGAATGCCCACCAGTGGCATCTCCAGCCTCTGGGGCCAGAAGCTCATGCTCTAGGTCTTGATGGGTCCAGAAGCTGTCATCACCCAGAATCTGTCCTGTTCTCAGTCACAGGGCAGAGAGTTAGACTCTGGGGGTATTTGTGACTATGATTCTAAACAACAAGACTTAGGACTTCAGGGAACCCCAAGATCTCAGAAAGCCCAATCACAGAATCTTAGAAATTTAGAATCATAGAATCTCTGAAACTTGAACTTGTAAGCTCTTAGAATCTTAGAATCTAAGAAGCAGGAGTTCTAGTTGTTGCTCCAGCCAGCCCACCCATCAGTCCACAGATCTTGATTGTGTGGAGTATAGTGGGGATTGGAAGATGGTTTTGATTCATCTCCTCAAGGCCCTTGCCATGGACCTAGGGGAAGAAGATTTGACACTGAGCAAATATTTAGAAAAGAAAGAAGTTCTAGGCCCCACGATTCTGGCTCTGTTGCTGGGGTTCTGAGGAAGGAAAAGGCTGCTGGAGGAGAGAAGCAGCCCCACCCCTTTAGGAATAGAATGTGGGTGACCCTTGAGGGTGGGTGGAATTTGGATGGGTTGAGAGAAGGAAGGACGGCTCCACTGGGGGAAGAAGAAGCAAGTAAGTAAGGGTGACAAGCAGACATGAGCATGTCTTTTATCGTGTCTTCCTTTTCTATTTTCACATCACAAGCCTAGATCTCATCACCAGGGGAAATGCCAAGAGGCTCTGGTTGCTCAATGAGACCAAATGAAGCTTCAGCCCTTCCATGTGTCTACCCCATTCCTATCTACCTCATCTGCCCCATGCCCCCTCAGATATGCCAGGTGGGACTTTTAGGCAGTCAAGTTACCTGAGTACAAGGGTGAGAGATACCTCACAGGACCTCCCCGCCTACTTCCACCCCCCTGATTTGACTTCAGTTCACTGCTGATCTTTACGAAGTATGGGATACTGTGAGGGGACAGGGAAGAATGAAGGGGCAAGGGGTGGGAAGAGACATGTAAATGCAAACGTGAACTCAAAGCAGAGCAGGCCAGGCAAGCAGAGTGCTCTGGGCATGCCCGGGAAGGGGCAGGGAATGGGGATCTGCCCATGGAGAGGAGATAAATTGCCTCTTGGCTGAGTGGACAGCAAGCTCAGAGGACACAGGCTTACACCAGCACTGGTCAGAAGTGGTCTAGGGGCCACCCTGGCCAACATGGTGAAACCCCGTCTCTACTGAAAATACAAAAATTAGCCAGGTGTGGGCACACTCCTGCAATCCCAGCTACTCAGGAGGCTGAGGCAGGAGAATCGCTTGAACCCAGGAGGCGGAGGTTGCAGTGAGCTGAGATTGCACCACTGCATTCCAGCCTGGGTGACAGAGGGAGACTCTGTCTAAAAAAAAAAAAAAAAAGAAAGAAAACAAAAACGTGGTCAAGGGTGCAGGTGTGGGGTTGGTTGGAGTGCTGGAGAGCTAACACTGCCAGGTTTTTATGATCCCCAGAACTTATTCCTAGAAACCTCTATTGTAACTAAAGTTCCTTGAGTTCTAAGACAATATAGGAAAGAATAAAATCAGTCTAGCTTTCATAATCTTGAGATATTGTATTTATATGTGATGTCATTATCTTGAAAAGGTCTACAGGCCAGCTCAATGTTAGTGTTTCATTAAAATGTGTTTAAATCAAAAATTATTCTTCCAGTGCAACATTTTATCATTTTATCTCCTTCATCTCCCATCACCAAACAGCTCATATCCTATGGCAGCCTGTAGGGATATTAGCCAAAGAGATACACAGTCAGGGTGACGTTTGTCCAAGTGTGAAGATGTTTATCCTTGGAGTTCTCCTTGTACGTTCCCTCTCCCTCAATGAGGTCTCAATGAAGGGCAGATACTACCTGTCCATAATACAATAGCCAAAAGAAAGATCACAATGACTAGCATGTACTGCTAACTTATTCTTTGTCAGGCAAGGTGTATTATCCAACATCCAACAATCTTAGAACGTAGAAACTCATTCACATTTTATGAGGCTCACTGAGGTGGCATAAGCCACCTCCATGCACACATATAAAGGGGTGGGGCTGTGAATCAGTCTGGGCCTGACTGATTTCTCAGCTAAATCCAGAGACTCCAGATGTCCTGGAACCAAGGACAGCATGCGGTTACTCTCCCTTGTGCAGAATCAATAGACCCAACACATATTAAAATGCATAAAATTTAACTAGAAGAAAAAGGCAAGCATTTGAGAACAATGGAGAATGCAGGTTACAGCACCAGCTGCCTCTCTTTAGTTGATGGAGAAGTACTATATAGGTCCTTGCTACCAGAGGTTCTTGAACCAGCAGCATCAGCATCACATGGGCGTTTGTTAGGAATGCTAGTTCCCAGGCCCCACCCAGACTCCCTGAATCAGAAGACACATTTTAACAAGATCCCTGGGTGTTTTGTATGCTCATTAAAGTTTGAGACTTGCTGGTATTGAGAGGGCTGTAGCATTTTAAAAGAAAAAGAAGGTCAATACATTTGCCTCCCGACCTCCACTGCTTAGTCTGAGAGTGAGAATAGCTTCCCTAATTCTTAATAAAGATCTCACCAGTAGCCTTGAAGTCCAGGCTTAAAATATTGGATTTTATCTTGTAAGTATTGGCCAGCTATTATTGCCTTGGAGAAAGTCATATAGCTTAAGTTGTTCTGCAACTACTTTTTAGAATTCAAGAGACACACAGATGGCTTCCTGGGCCAAGTTTAACACAGTAGCAGAAGTATACATGGTGCTGTATTGAGCACATGCCCCTCAAAGGCATTCTCAATGTGTTTCCTTAAAAGACTGGTTGAACATGTAAGTTTGTACTTCCAGTGCAGCAATAGGTTATGTATTTCAAATTTGCCAATCAAGTAAACGTGAATTGGTCAGATCTTAGCGGATTTCAATTTTTGAGCATAGGCCAGTAAGTCCTCAGTTTCAGGAACTTGTTCCAGTCGAGGACACATCACCCCCTCCGTGTCTTACCTAGCTATGAATCTACAGCCTGCATCATGCTCTGCCAACCACAACGATGCCAGTGGGGTTGCCACTTGTGGATTCCACCCCACTTCTATCCATTCCTAAAGAGGAGAGGGAGGAGAGGGATGAGGGAGAACCATCCCTTTGCCCTGATTCTTCCGTGGGGCTGCTTATTAGACAATCTAAGAGTTTAGAGAGCTTGCTTCCCCCCAACCCTCACCTCCCTGCCTTTGTCACCTCCTTCTGCCATGCCGCCTCCTCCTCTGACTTGGATAGGTTGTGGCTATTATTTTTACCTGCCCACTAGAATTCAGCTGTTGGGCCCAGAAAGGTACACAGGCTTTGCAGAAGGCAGAAGCGCCAGTAAGCATTTGCTTATATGTGCCTGTGGGTGCACCTAAGCCTCTGTGACTCAGCCCCTCGGTGCATTCAGGTGTGTTTCTATGCTGGGATTTTGGTTGAATGTTGCCCCAGACAGAGGAGCCCAGAGATGCATGTTTCTGGCCCACACTCAAGGAGGCCAGGTTTTAGCTGGGGCAGCTTCCTCTGGCCAGGTTTTAAACCTTGTCTAGAAGGGGCAATAATGGAATTGCTGACGCACCACTCTTTTAGGAAGGGCCAGATTGGTGTGCAGGGCCTGGGGCAGAGCAGGTGTTCCCATCCTCTTGCCCAGGTAATATGAGCCACTTATTAAGGCAGAAGAGATTTTTGCCTTTCTCATCCTGGTCTGAATCTCAGAGTGCAAACAGTATCGTATTCCTCTTCATTCATCTTCTACATGTCATGTTGAATATTTAACGTTTAATGCACTACACAAAGCATATCATATCATTTTTAAAGCAACCATAAGAGGTGGAGTTATTTATCAATTGCATTTAAAGATGAAGAAACTGAAACACAGAGAGGTAATGAGTGACTGACCCACTTAGAACAGTTTATGACACGCAAGTGTAAACTAAGTATTATCACTCGATGGGGTGTGGGGGTCCTCAGGGAAGTGCCTGCAGTGCTCTCTGCCCTCTGGTTTCTTCCTTACGATGGAGTATGGTAGACCCTCCCTTACAGGGTCCTGAGAGGCCTCAGTGAGAACTCAGTGAAAGGGGCATAGCACAGTGCCTGACCCAAAGGAAGGACCAAACTGAATGTCAGTTTCATGTAGGAAGTGGCAGATCCAAGCCAAAAGCTGGATGAGTCCAACCCTGTGTTCCTCACCCTGGCTCTGGAACACAAGACTCGCCCCACCATGAATGGAACAAAGGCCATGGGCCACCAGGGAAACCTGCTGTGGAGCCAGGCTTTGCAGATCCCAAAGGAACTTGGGTAGATAGAAGAGATGGGGAGAGGCCACCTGCTGAGGGGGGCTGGAGAGTGACTGCCTGCAAGCTGGCTTTGCCTTGAGGAACGGCCTTGCCTCTGCCTATGTTCCAGCTGCGAGTGTGTCCCTGGCTACAGCGGGAAGCTCTGTGAGACAGACAATGATGACTGTGTGGCCCACAAGTGCCGCCACGGGGCCCAGTGCGTGGACACAATCAATGGCTACACATGCACCTGCCCCCAGGGCTTCAGGTAAGGCAGGAGGGCACCTCAGGAAGGAGACAGCCTGGGCCAGGTGGCAGGGGCTGGGGCTGACTGGCTAAGGTGGCCAGAATGGAGACTCAGGCCCAGGTGGCTGTAGCCCCGGTTCTGGGTGATGCCTTTATTCCCCTGATACCTTTGCAGTCCTTACATGTCCCCATGAGGGAAATAGAGCAGGTATTGGTAATCCCACATTGTAGATGGGAGAAGAGCTACTTGTGGCAACTCCACGTGAAAGCTGGGCTTAGGTTCAGCTTGTGTAATGTCATGCTTGGGTAGGATTCCATCTAATGGAAGATGCCACCATCTTGAAGCCCAGCTTGCAAGGTGGAGGTAGCCACATGGCCACACTGGCCAGAATCTTCTTTCTAGGATGAAGAACAAACATGATGGTTCCTCAGTGGTAACCTCTATTCTACTTCTGTTGCTATGAATTTGGCTACTCTAGATGCTTTATATAAATGGACACATACAGCATTTGTCCTTTGTTGGGCTTATTTCACTTAGTATATAGTGTTCTCAAGATTCAACCATGCTGTTGGGTATGTCAGAATTCCCTTTGTTTTTACTGCTGAACAATGTTCCATTGGATGGATGCGCCACATTTTGTTTATCCATTCATCTTTCCATGGGTAGGAATGTGCTCTTTTAAGAAATCACCCCCAGGCAATTCTGATGACACTGAAGTTTAGGGACCTCTACTCTAGTCCAACTCCATGATTTTATTTCTTGGAGCCGGAGTCTTGCTCTGTTCCGCAGCCTGAACTCGCACTCCTGTGCACAAGCGATCCTCCCCTGTAACTGGGACTACAGGCTCATGCCACCATGGCTACCCCAACTCTCTTAAAAATGGGAAATATGGGACTTAGAGAAGGAAAAGGTCTTGCCCCGGTTAGTGGCAGGGCTGGAACTAGCCCCTAGAACTAGTGTCATTTCCCATCTCACTCTACCTCTCTGCTCGAGGTTCTTTGGCCTGAGTAACTGTGATTGTCTCCTCTTGGCCATTCTCCTATCTCCCTCCCCATTCTCTCCTGCCTTCCAGTGGACCCTTCTGTGAACACCCCCCACCCATGGTCCTACTGCAGACCAGCCCATGCGACCAGTACGAGTGCCAGAACGGGGCCCAGTGCATCGTGGTGCAGCAGGAGCCCACCTGCCGCTGCCCACCAGGCTTCGCCGGCCCCAGATGCGAGAAGCTCATCACTGTCAACTTCGTGGGCAAAGACTCCTACGTGGAACTGGCCTCCGCCAAGGTCCGACCCCAGGCCAACATCTCCCTGCAGGTGTGTCCCGCCCTGCCCTGCCCTTGGAAGGACCTCAACATGCCCACAAGCTCTGATAGTTCAGAAAATTGCTGGAATGCCCCATCTTAACAGTAAAGCACCATCAGGGACAACACTCAGCTTGAGGACATCTGGACCAACTCATCCAGAGAGTTCTATAGATAACTCCTGACCAGCTCTCGCTGCAAACTGCAGCCCCCACTTCCAGCCTCATTCACTCATTCCTCCAGAAAATATGCATTCAACTATTGTACACCAGACACTGTGCTGCAGAATTGGGATTCAGTTCAAGACAGACAAAACCCCTTGTCTGAGGCCTATCCACTAATCCAAGAATCTCATTCTGGGTGGCTGGCTGTGAGTGCAACTTCTGAAACCAGCAACTTTCAACCTTGGCAATACTTTAGAATCACCTCGAGAACTTTTTAAATTATCTTTGGCCAGGTGTGGTGGCTCATGCCTATAATCCCAACACTTAGGGAGGCTGAGGTGGGTGGATCACTTGAGGTCAGGAGTTCAAGACCAACCTGGCCAACATGGTGAAACCCAGTCTCTACTAAAAATAAAAAATTAGCAGGGCGTGGTGGTGCATGCCTGTAATCCCAGCTATTGGGAGGCGGAGGCATGAGAATCGCTTGAACCTGGGAGGCAGAGGTTGCAGTAAGCCGAGGTCATGCCACTGCACTCCAGCCTGGGCAACAGGGCAGGACTCTGTCTCAAAAGAATAAATAAATAAATAATAAAATTATCTTTGCCTGGGCCCCACCCGCAAGAGATTCATGTGTAGCTAGTCTGGGGTAAAGTCTAGACACTGGAATTTTTTTTTTAATTCCCCAGATGACTCTTAGCATAGTGCCTGGTTCCTAGCAAACATTGAATTAATTATCATTGTTAGCATTTTCTTTATAACTCTTATTAGCCAGGTGCAGTGGCTCACGCCTGTAAGCCCAGCGCTTTGGGAGGCCAAGGTGGGTGAATCATTTTAGGTCGGGAGTTCAAAACCAGCCTGGTTAACATGGTGAAATCCCGTCTCTACTAAAAATACAAAAATTAGCAGGGTGTGGTGGTAAGCACCCGTAGTCCCAGCTACTCAGGAGGCTGAGGCACCAGAAACGCTTGAACCCAGGAAGTGGAGGCTGCGGTGAGCCAAGACTGTGCCACTGCACTCCAGCCTGGGCCAAGATTCTGCCTAAAAATAAATAAATAAATAAATAAGACTTATTATTCTTCTTTATACAGAGAAACCAAAGAAGGGCCTGAACTTGGGCGGGATCATGTTATGCACCAGAGGGAGAGGGCAGATTAGAGTTCGGGCCTCCTGACATACATTAATATATGAACATAGTGGTGCACAGTAGGCACTCAGTAAAAATGTGTTGAACTGGTTTGCTCAGTCAGCACTTGCTGAGGTGTAAGTCTAGGCCTTACCTTCTGGGGATTTACTGACTAGATGGAGGAGGAAAGATGGACATGAATTTAGACGCAGCACAGATTCAGAAGCTGCTGCCTGGAAGAGGGCTCTGTGAGATGGGCAGGGAAGGTTCAGTCTCAGGTAAGCCCTTACTAACACGCCCCGGCTGCTTTCTCCAGGTGGCCACTGACAAGGACAACGGCATCCTTCTCTACAAAGGAGACAATGACCCCCTGGCACTGGAGCTGTACCAGGGCCACGTGCGGCTGGTCTATGACAGCCTGAGTTCCCCTCCAACCACAGTGTACAGGTAAGGGCCTCTCTCCCTCCTGACCCACTGTGTGTTCCTCCGCATCCTTCTGCCTCTGGGCCTGCAACTCAGAAGGGGGATTCAGGAGAACTCGGGTGTCCCTTCTCCCCGCCCCTACCACGCACATGTGCGCACACACACACTTCCTCCTCACCGAGTGGTGAGTGGGAGGGAGAAAGGCGTGTCAGAGGAAGAGGCAGAGGAAGGCAGGCCCGCAGAGGGGAGGTGACACCTCATCACCATAAGATAAACAGGCAGCTGGCTACTGTGCGGGAGTGCGCGCTGCAGTGGGGACGAGGCTGCTTAATGAGGTGCCCTTTTCAAAATGTCATCTTAATCTTTTATTAGTTTAAGAAAGACAACAGGGCACAATTAGCATGCAACTCAAGGGGAAGAAACTCAAGGGCACGGAGGGAGCAGGGCCACCCCTTAGGTGACTTTCAAACCATCCTGAAGGGCAGCTTTTCCTAAACTTCAGCCTCTCCAGCAGCCACCCTGGCTTGTGTGTGATGGGTGTGGCAGCTGGACTTTCACTTCAGATGCTGCCTTACAGCAACTTTCAACTGCTCACTTTCTTTTCTTTTTTTTTTTTTTTTGAGATGGAGTTTTGTTCTCTTGCCCAGGCTGGAGTGCAATGGAGCAATCTCGGCTCACTGCAACCTCTGTCTCCCAGATTCAAGCAATTCTCCCGCCTCAGCCTCCCTAGTAACTAGGATTAATTACAGGTTCATGCCACCATGCCTGGCTAATTTTTGTATTTTTAGTAGAGATGGGATTTCACCATGTTGGCCAGGCTGCTCTCGAACTCCTGACCTCAGGTGTTCCACCCACCTCAGCCTCCCAAAGTGCTGGGATTACAGGTGTGAGCCACAGCACCCAGCCAACCGCTCACTTTTTGCATATAGCTGCTCCTTAAGGAATGAACATCTGGGGAATCACAGATATGTTAGTTGGATATGTTAGATTTTTTTCAGCTTCTCAGTAAAATAAATGCTAAATATTAAAATAAAAATTTAGTTATAAATATTTTTATAATAGTAATAAAAATGACTACTAAAAGTTAAAAATGTCTGTGTTACACCTAAAATCATGTCAAACTACCAGTAGAAGGAGAGCCAAACCTTAGGGAAACCACAGTACAAAAGAGAGGCCACACTGTCCCCTCAGAGGCAAGAGCACATTTCATAGGGATTGGTGAAGAGCTGCAACTTTCAGACTTTCTTCCCCCTGCTAACTAAATCTTTTCTTCCATTAAAATCTTATATTAAACTTAAGAATTGTAAATACTTAGAAGCAAAACCGCCCTGCAGTGTTGAAGCAAAGATCCCCCCTCCACACACACTGTTGTCAAGGCCCCTGATAAATCATCCAACAAACCCAATTTGAAAGCCATTGGTTAAAACCAGTGGTTCTCAAAGCGTGGTCCCCAAGGCAGCAGCACCAGCATCACCTACAGACATGATAGAAATACACATTTTCAGACTCTACCCCAGAACTACTGAATCCAAAACCCTAGGGGTTGGCCCCAACACACCTGTGCTTCAGAGATCCTTCCAGGTAATTCTAATGCACAAGTCTAGGAAACACCAGTTTCCAAAGGAAAACTTCCTGCAGAAAGAGCAGTCTGAGTTGGGCCTTGAAGAAAGGGAAGAACTTGTGAGAGCAGAGAGAACAGGTGGGCAAGGCATGCTGGGAGGTCAGCAAAGACAGATGAGGAGCAAAGAAAAGGGTGTTGACCAGAGCAAGAGGCTCCCAGTGGAAGGTGGATAAAGACCAGGCAGGTTAGGACAGTTGGGCACAGTGGACACCAGAAGAAAGAGCTCACCCTGGTGGTCTCCCTAGAGCCTGGGCCGCCTAACATCTGTGTCCCTGGAGCCACAGGTCCTGGCCAAGTGGAGAGGACAGAGAGCCAAGGAGGCAGGGCCAGGGCAGCCTGTGAAGCATTTGCTATCACATAAATCCAGATGTGAACAAGTGATTCAGCCTCTTTGTGCCTCAGTTTTTCCCCCTCCCCCTTCCCATGTAATGTGAGCAATAGCAGGATGTACCTCTTAGGGCAGTCACTGAGGGTTGAAATAACACTGGAGGAAGTGCTTGGCAGATTAAGCCTTTACGCAGACATGTCAAGGACAGAAGGTGAAAGCCAGGCTTCCAGAAGCAGCTGAGCCCTGCCCTGAGCTGGGGGCCTTCCCAAACAGAGCCCAGCCTTTGCCCTCTGCTGACGTTAGCTGTCAGGGCTGGTGATTTGGTAGAAGGCTGGTGTGGGTGGTAGGAGTGTCGCAGCACTGTGCTGAGTTATGAAATGGAAAGTCAGAGAATTGCTGTCCAGAAGCTGCTGTCAGGGAGCCCTGAGTTTGAGCAGGTAGGTGGCCCTGGAGAGACACCAGGCTCTGTCTTAGCCACAGGGAAACCAAGCTAAGGATGCCCTGGCACTCCTGGCCTAGATCTTCATGCTGAGCCTGTAACAGATCTTTAGTACCCTTCATTCAGTTTCCAATCCTCAGGGGCCCAAGGCTCTAGCAATTCCAGATTAAAATGATTTTGCTTCCAAACACTTTTCCCTGAGGCAGCCCTGTTTCTGTTGCCATTAGTACACTCTCACTCATTCCACATCTACCAGGCCCCATGTTTGGGCCAGACCCTGGGCTAGGTGCAGGGGCCACAGAGCTAAACAAACACAGTCCAGGGAGGAAGACACACATATCAACAAGCAGTGGTTCCACAGCAAAATCAAATCATTCTCACTGGAGACACTGGTGTCATGCTACAGGAACACCAATGATGAAGCAAAGTTTTTTTGTTTTTTGGGTTTTCTTGGAGACAGTGTCTCACTGTGTCACCCAGGTTGGAGTGCTGTGGCATGATCACAGCTCCCTGCAACCTCCACCTCCCAGCCTCAAGTGATCCTCCTACCTCAGCCTCCTGAGTAGCTGGGACTGCAGGTGTGCATCACAACGTCTAATTTTTGTTTTTTTCTGGAAGAGACAGGGTTTCATCATGTTGCTCAGGCTGGTCTTGAACTCCTGGGCTGAAGCAGTCTGCCCACCTTGGCCTCGCAAAGTGCTGGGATTACAGGTGTGAGCCACTGTGCCCACCAGGAGCAAATATTTTTGCTTGGAGGACCTTGGAGGAGGAGGTGGTGTTTGAGCTGAGACATGACCTGTGCCTCAGAATCATTTTCTCAGGCTGAGCAGCGAGGAAGCCCTGGGGAGGAGGAGGCCCCATCAGCCTGCATGGAAGCCATGTGGGAGGGCTGGGGTTAATGGAGGGCACAGCCTGAGCTGACCAGCAGCCGAGGGGGCCAGGAGGCCAGTCCAACCACAAAAAATGAGATCTCCTCCTCAGCATCAGTACAATAACCTCTAGCCACCCAGGAAGGCCACCTTGGCCTCAGGGCCAGAGTCAGGGAGCCCAGCCAAAGCTATTCTAACTGGGGGAGTTGGCAGCCACCAGCTTTTGGCTCACTAAGGCCCACTGACCAGCTTCAGAGTGAGGATGTCAGCCTGGGTTCCCAGCAGGGACCTGCAGGCTAGATTCCATGGTCTCCATTCTGTCCATGCCTGATGTTGTTCATCTGCACAGCCATAATCACAAATGGTGATGAGGGCACATGAAGATTCTATTCCAGGCCCCAGGGCAAATACACAGAGAAGCCCACCTGAGCCCCTCCTTGCCCCAGAATGGGGACAGACTTCACTGTTCCTTGGCACTGAGACTTGTGAGAAGGCCAGACTCACATGCCAGCAAGGCCAAATGGCCACATAGGTAACAGACATGGGGAAAATGGGCTGGAGTCCCCATAGGGAGTGGTGGGGGCTACAGTAGCCTAAAGGGTGGAGCCCCATCCAAAGGAGTGGCTGACCTCAGCTCCAGCAGACACTGCCATGTGGGAATATAGATTATCAAGAGAAGCGGGACCACCGGGGTTTCTATGTGAGATATCTAAGTTTTTGAGTGTTGGCCATTTTAAAACACCGCGTGGGTGTGCTCTTTGAATGCAATGCAGTGCATGCTCTCTGAGTCTTGATTTCTACAATCCTGTCCACTGCCAAGGTCTTTGTCTCATTGGATCCTCACTCCTGTTTTAGGGATGAGAAGCCTCATATTAGAAGCCCAGTAAGTGGCAGAGCTAGGATTTAAATCCGGGTCAGTTTTCCACCCAAACCAGCTCTCCCACCGTGCTGGCTCCGGGACATGAAAGACAGAGCCGAGAGAGTGTGGGCTGTGCTACAGGAGTAGGGGGTTGCTGCAGTGGGGCCTGAGGTCTCCGCTTGCTGCCTACCCGAAATCCCAGGAACTTTTTGTTACTGCGAGGCTCTATCGCCACCTAGTGGTCACGACTCAGCATTCAGGTTAGAGCAACCAGCACCTAGAGGAATAACAAACCCTTCCTCCCTCAAGTCCCTTAAGACTTCAGGCTGAACACCTAAAGTCTCTGACCCTTAAGTCTTTTATTTGAAAAATGGAGGAAAAAGTGTGCCTCCTTCCTGGGGGTTGTTAGGATTAAATAAGAGAATGCAAGTTAACTGCTTAGCATAGGGTAGCACAATGCCTGGCCTCTACTAAGGGATTAACACGTATCCACCATTATTATTAAAAGCAAAAGAAAGCCAGGCATGGTGGCTCACGCCTGTAACTCCAGCATTCTTGGAAGCCAAGGCAGGAGGATCGCCTGAGCCCAGGAGTTTGAGAGTATCCTGGGCAACATATTCAGACTCCATCTATGCAAAAAATAAAAAATTACCCAAGCATAGTAGTGCACATGTATGGTCCTAGCTACTTGAGAGGCTGAGGCAGGAGGATCACTTGAACCCTGGAGGTCAAGGCTGCAGTGAGCTGTGATTGCACCACCGCACTGCAGCCTGGGTGAGAGAGCAAGACCCGATCTCAAAAAATAAATAAATGCAAAGGCAAAAAGGCCATGGGCCACTCTGGCCAATGCCTGTGGTTATGCCAGTTCCAGGCAGGATGCGTCCAGCCCCACCCTGACAACTCCAGAGCTCTCCACCTCCCACTTGGCACCAGTTCAGTCTGGCCCAGTAGATAATGAGGAAGACCCTCAGAGCCCCCTTCTCTCCCCTGAAATCCTTAAATATCTCTCCAGGAGACTAATCATTGGGGCTTGGGACCACTATATCATCATTTCTTTTAGTGTGAACCTTAGGTTGTTACTATTTTTTCCTTTTTTTTCCTCTACTTTTGTCACAGTAGAGCCATTTTCCCATTATTTTGTTTCAAAGGCTAAGATTTAATAATGATTTTTGTTTGTTTGTTTGTTTTTTTGAGACAGAGTCTCACTCTGTCACCCGGGCTGGAGTGCAGTAGCGCGATCTTGGCTCACTGCAACCTCCACCTCCTGGGTTCAGGTGATTCTCCTGCCTCAGCCTCCCGAGTAGCTGAGACTACAGGCACCCGCCACCACGCCCGGCTAATTTTTTGTATTTTTAGTAGAGATGGGGTTTCACTATGTTGGCCAGGCTGGTCTCGAACTCCTGACCTTGTGATCCGCCCGCCTCGGCCTCCCAAATTCCCAACAGGGATTTGTCAGGGAGAATTCAAGGATGTAATCCCAAAGTGCTAGGATTACAGGTGTGAGCCACCGTGCCCGGCCATGATTTTATTTTTTTATTTTTTAAGGCAAGTAGAAATGGAGGCATCCTGACTTAGGGATGCTGGTAAAAAGCCAGAGCCTTTAGCACTGCCTACCCTGAACCTCCAGGGATCCACAGTTTGAAAAACACTGGCTTCAGCCATTATATCCAGGAGATCTGGTTAAAAGTTGCCAGGAAGAGGCGACCTGTTAACCCATGAGCACCTACCGGCATAGATAACATTATGGGAGGTTTGGATTTGGAAGCAATCCTGACTTTGAACCTGAGTTCCAGCACTTCTTAGCAGTGTGGCCCCTATCGGGTTACTTAGCTTCCTTCCCTAAAATGGGACTCACAAGAGTCCCCTCCTCAGAAATGGGAATGAGCCAGTGGGAGTATACAGAGCCCTGAGTGGCTCAAAGCCACTCAAAGCCCTGGGTGGCTGTAAGTTTGCCAAATCCATAGGCAGGTTCTTCCAGGGCCCACTAACCTACTCCCCCACCCCAGTTGCTGCCACACCCAGCTCCAGCAAGCCCAGAGTAAGGTCAAGGAGTCATCATTTCCACCTTTCACTGAGCACTTGCTAGGTGTCACAGGCCACGTATTGCCCATTAAAACCAGTGTAGGGCCAGGCACGCTGGCTCACGCCTATAATCCCAACACTTTGGGAGGTCAAGGGAGGAGGATCACTTGAGGTCAGGAGTTCAAGAACAGCCTGGCCAACATGGCAAAACCCCATCTCTACTAAAAATATAAAAATTAGCCGGGGATGGTGGTGGGTGCCTGTAATCCCAGCTACTTGGGAAGCTGAGGCAGGAAAATTGCTTGAACCAGGGAGGTGGAGGTTGCAGTGAGCTGAGATCACGCCAATGTATTCCAGCCTGGGCAACAGAGCGAGACTCCATCTCAAAAAACAAAAACAAAACAAAAAACAGTGTAGGCCGGGTGCAGTGACCTGTAACCCCAGCACTTTGGGAGGCCAAGGTGGGAGGATGGCTTGAGCCCAGGAGTTCAAGGCTGCAGTGAGCGATGATTGCACCACTACATTCCATCCTGGGCAACAGAGCAAGACCCCTGTCTCTTACTAAAAACAACCAAAAAACCAATGTTGTAAGATGAGTATAAAACTCATTGAATAGAAGCAGAAACAGGGGCTTACAGAAGTGATATGACTTGCCCAGGGTCCCTCAGCTGGCAGGCCCAGTGTGATCCCAGATCTCTCTCCTCAAAGCATGACCTGGCTGAAGGCTATACCTCGAGCCTACCTAGGATTCTCCCATGTGGGCATCAGATGAGGCCCTCCAGGAAGCCCAGCACTGGGGCACTGCAGAACCCAGCACTTTGTCTAGGGCAAGAGCCAGTGACCACACAGCCCTCTCTGATCTGTGGCTTCTGCCAGACCACTGTCTCCAGGCTGGGTACCCCTGCAGGCTATTCACCAGCACCTGGGATGGCAGGAAGGGAAGAAGGAGTTGGGCCTGGAGCCAGCTGCCAGGCAGGAGTAGGTGGTATGTGTTCGCTGTGTCTGTGTGTGTGTGTCTGTAATGGGAAAACAGCTGCCCTGACTCCCTGAATCATAATGTTGGAAGCGAGTGCCTGAGCTGCAGTCTCTTGACAACTCCCTTTCTGACAGGTGGCTGTCCAGCATGTTGACACACCTCCAGGGTGGTGAGCTCATTTGCATCCAAACAGCATCCATTTCTAGGACGCTGTGGGATATACCTGCATATTTTTGCATGTGTGGTTAGAAAACTGTCTGAGGGCTCAAGGTCACAAGTTTATGGTCTCTGCACGGGGCCATCCCTCCCCTTCCTGCTTTTACCAGCCCATCTGTAGGATCAGAGGCCTCTGCCTTGCCCTCAGCTTGCAACTTGGTGCAGCTGGAGGCTTCTGAAATAGAAATAGCTCTACCTTCATAGGGCTTTTTGGCTCCCCATCAAAAAACCAGATTCCTCAGTGGACTCTTTTACCCACCACTCCACCTCCCACTACCCTATCTCTTGGCTAGACCTTACATTGATAAGTTGTCATTTACTTTATAGGAAAGGCTAAGGAAAGTGGAATGGAAGCTTTGTGAGTGCAGTTACCCTATCTTCCCTGTTTGTCACTGATCCACAGCACCCAGGACGAGGTGGCCCATAGCAGACACTTGGTGGGTGGGCGGATGAAGGGTAGATGAAGGATGGATGGATGGATGGATGGATGGATGGAAGAGAGTAGATAAATAAGTAGGTGGGTAGGTAGAGAGATGGATAGGTAGATGGATGCAGAGGAGGGTGGGTGGGTAGATGAAGGATGGATGGATGTGATGGGATGAATGGATGAAGAGGGTAGATAAATAAGTAGGTGGGTGGGTGGAGAGATGGATAGGTGGATGGATGGAGAGGAGGGTGGATGGATGAATAGGTAGAATAGATGGAAAGGAAGTATAGATGGTTGAATGGATGGTTGGATAGTTGGATGAATGAGTGGGAGGAGAGATTTCCCAATGGATTTGAGTGGGTCCTGGGCTCCTGCATGTCCTCTGCCATCACTTTCTCCCAGGGATCAGCACTAGAACAGGGATCACTAGCTTTGCAGGCAATGGTCCTTGTTAGTCTTCTAACACTAAAATAACTGCTCACATTTTCCCAGTAATTGACAAAGCGCTCTTTTGTTGTTGTTGTTTTTTAAGAAATAGGGGTCGTGCTATGTTTCCCAGGCTGAACTTGAACACCTGGGCTCAAGTGGTCTTCCTGCCTCAACCTCCCAGCTTGTCAAGTAACTAGTGATACAGGCACATGCCAGCATGCCTGGTTACAAAGCACTTTCACGTACCCTCTCTTATTTTATTTGAACATCACAATAGTTCTGTGAGGTTATTATCCCCCTTTTACAGATGAGGAAACTGAGACCGGATGTTCTATTCCTATGGTTGGTTATGGTTCCATCCAGCAGTAAGGGGCTAGAATGGACTCTGTTTTCTTCAGTATACCCCAATTTAGCCTGTCTTCTCCCAAGCATTTCTCTTGCCTTTTTGGCTGCTGAGATTTCTAAATCTGAGTTAGTCACTGAAATGGTCCCTGCCTGCCTAATCAGTGCCACCCCCTGCTGGGATCCTCTTGTTGGAGCCAACAAGGATTTGTCAGGGAGAATTCAAGGAGAGAGGAAGCCTCCATATGTATCCCTGATACCTGAATAGATAAGACAGAGCTCAGTCTACTCCTCAGAGAGCTTCAGGGAAGGAAGAGGTGTCACATTCCCCAACTCCCATCATCTCCCACCACTGTTCCCTCCCAGCCCCCGCCGAGGGTGGAGCGCTGGAAAGAGCACAATTTGGGAGTCAAAAGTGTTGCCTACAAATTCTGTCTCTTGCCTGTACTAGCTGGGTGACCTCAGGTAAATCACTTAACCTCTCTGGGCCTCGGTGTCTTCATCTGTGAAATAGGATATCTGGCACCCACTTCATAGAATTATTGTAAGGTTCAAATAAGTGAACCACTTAGCACCATGTCTGGCTCATCTGGGCCCTCGGTGAGTGGCTCTTGGCCCTGTTAGAGACAGCATGGGCAAGTAGGATGTGCACACTGAATATCCCATAACCAGCCAGGCACGGTGGTTCATGCCTGTAATCCCAGCAGTTTGGGAGGCCGAGGCAAGTGGATCACGTGAGGTCAGGAGTTCAAGACCAGCCTGGCCAACATGGTGAAAACCCCATCTCTACTAAAAACATAAAATTAGCTGTTTGTGGTGGCATGAGCCTGTAATCCCAGCTACTTAGGAGGCCGAGGCAGGAGAATTGCTTGAACCCAGCAGGCAGAGGTTGCAGTGAGCCAAGATCATGCTACTGCACTCCAGCCTGGGCGACAGAGTGAGACTCCATCTCAAAAAAAAAAAAAAAAAAAAGTGAATATCCCATAACCAAAACATTTGGGACCCAAAGTGTTGAATACTTGCATTATGCTGGTTCAGCATCTCTAATCCGAAAATCTGAAATCCAAAATCTTCTAATGAGCATTTCCTTCAAGCATCATGTGGGTACTCAAAAAGTGTGGGCTTTTGGAGCTTTTCAGATTAGGGACATTCGACCTGAACCTCAGTTCAAATCCTTGCTCTATGTCTTACCAACTGTGGTGCCTTAGGTAAATTCCTTAGCCTCCCTGAGCTACCGTTTCCTCATTTCTGTAGTGGAGATAACAAACTTACCTAGCATGAGTATTATAAGGCAGTATTTCCCCAAAAGTGGCATGCATACCACTGGTGGTACCTGAGGTGACCTTAGGGGGGACAATAGCAAACTATTGAAATTTTAACTGTGAGAGAGTTTGTTTTATATGTACTAGAAAAAAATATAAAAACCACATCAAAACTATTTTTTAGAACAATGCTAACCTTTATCCTTGCTGATATTTAAGGGGGAAATTGGGCAATTGAAAAGAACAAGCGTGTTGAGTAAATAGTGGTCCAGGCAGCATGCAGATAGAGCAGGATTGAGAAGGTGGTCTGGGAATGGAGTTTGCTTAACTCTATGAAATAATAGAAAAGAATACAAATAATGATAGCCAAATGCAATACCTGACCCTAGACTAAATCTTGGACTGGAAGGAAATAAATGCTGTAAAGGACAGTATTGGGTCCAATGCAGAACTGGAATACAGATAATAGACTAGATAACAGTGTGGTATCCATGTTAAATTCACCAAAGTTGACAACTGCACTGTGCTTATATAAGAGAATATCTCTGTCCTTAGGAAATGCACACTGAGGTATCTAAGGATAAAGGGCTGTAATGTATGTAACTTACCTTTAAATGGTTCAGAAATGTGTGTGTGTATACATAAAATGCACAGAGAAAACCATAAGCACATTGGAGTAATGGGAGAAACTGGGTAATAAGCATCTTCTGTACTGTTTTTATTTTTGCAACTTATGTAAGTTTAAAGTTATTTCCAAATAAAAAGTAAAACAAAATGTAAGCAATGCAGGTCAAGTCCACAGCACAGGGCCCAGCCATGGAAGGCCCTTAGTGAACTCTCCGGCTTTCTCCCCTTCTCTACTGGCCAGTGTGGAGACAGTGAATGATGGGCAGTTTCACAGTGTGGAGCTGGTGACGCTAAACCAGACCCTGAACCTAGTAGTGGACAAAGGAACTCCAAAGAGCCTGGGGAAGCTCCAGAAGCAGCCAGCAGTGGGCATCAACAGCCCCCTCTACCTTGGAGGTAATGCCCTCTTTCCCTACCACCTCTACCTCCCTCTGGCCCTCTGTGCTCCAGTACAGAAACCCAGGCCACTGCCAAAGCCAATCAGGGAAGGCTTCCTGGAGGAAGGGACAACGAAGCTGATCTCTAAAAGGTGAATAAGCACTAGCCAGGCCATGGAGGAAAGAGAATGTGGGACAGGTGCTTGGAAAGGAAAGAGAACAGGACTCCTGGAAACTACACGTTGTGACGGGCAAGGGTGAGAAGGGGGAGGCAGGAGATGGAAGCAGGGTCTAGGCTCTGCTGAAGTCTGCCAGCTTCAGGTCATATTCCCTCTGCTCTGCCACCTCCTCAAACCCTCGGAGGTTCAATTAATGAATGTAGAAGAATTTGAGATTAAAATCAAAGGCCAAAAATGGAAGTAGGCCAGGTGCAGTGGCTCACACCTGTAATCCCAACACTTTGGGAGGCTGAGGTGGGAGGATCACTTGAGCCCAGGAGTTGGAGGCCAGCCTAGGCAACACAGTGAGACCTCATCTCTACAAAATATTTAAATTAGCTGGGCACAGTAGTGAGCACCTGTAGTCCCAGCTACTTTGGAGGGTGAGGCAGGGGGATTGCTTGAGCCTGGGAGGTTGGGGCTGCAGTGAGCCATGATTGTGCCACTGCCCTGCAACCTGGGTGACAGAGTGAGACCTTGTCTTTAAAACAACAACAAAACACAAAAAAGTAGCCATCAGTTAGGCAGACTCTGGGCCTGAAATGCAGCCCCTGCACTGATAGTTCTCAAGGGGTTAAGTGTAAAAAAAGCTACCAAAACTGCTCGTTCAATCCTAAGATTCCCAAGACTTTACCCAGAGTCCACCTGCAGAGACTAGCACGGGCCCAGAAGAGGGTGTTGTTAATGGGTGGTTCAGATGTAGGGAGGCCAGGGAAAGCTCTGTGCCGAGGGCAGCCCCAGAAGGGACACCACTTATCCCTGGAGGAGGACCGTGCCCTGTGCCCCACCTGCTCCAGGTGCACCCAGAACGGAACTGGGTGCCCTGCTTCCAGGCCAGTCCCAGGCTCTCAACTATAGAAGGTGGGCAGGGAATGGTGTAGAAGGGGAGCGAAAATACAAATTATTGAAAAGCAAATTAGGTCTTTACTAACAGTCTCTTGAAGATCCTGAGAAGAGGGGTACACCGCACATAAGGCAGCAAACTGGTCTAAAAACCCTGAACCCCAAAGTTTCGTTGATCAAGCAGCTCCCCAAAACCTTATCTTATCTCCTCAGCTGTAGCTCACCTGCCCTGGATTCTCTTGTGAGGCCTGGATCAAAGGGCTGAGGAGCCTGGTGGGGACAGCAGGTTATTTGGTGCACTTGCCTATTGGGGGGAACGGTCTCCTCAGTTCAGCCAGTGGGATCATAGGGCAATGGGTGACCAGATCATCTCATTTTTTCTAGGGAAGTCCAAGATACAAATTTTTATGGGAAATTTTCTAATATTACATATTGGCAACAAATTCACGTTTTTTTAAGGAGTCCCAGTGCAGGACCAAGGATGCACGTCCCTGTATGGAGGAGGTCCGAGGTTTTGGCCCGTTAACCTCGTTTGAACAGCAGAGGCCCAGAGTTCTGGCCATGAATGTGTGAAAAGTGCTTTTTCGCTCTGAGGACAGCAGGGTGGCAGGGGAGGGTCTTCAGGCCACTGTCCTGGCTCCCCTCCCACAGGCATCCCCACCTCCACCGGCCTCTCTGCCTTGCGCCAGGGCACGGACCGGCCTCTAGGCGGCTTCCACGGATGCATCCATGAGGTGCGCATCAACAACGAGCTGCAGGACTTCAAGGCCCTCCCACCACAGTCCCTGGGGGTGTCACCAGGCTGCAAGTCCTGCACCGTGTGCAAGCACGGCCTGTGCCGCTCCGTGGAGAAGGACAGCGTGGTGTGCGAGTGCCGCCCAGGCTGGACCGGCCCACTCTGCGATCAGGAGGCCCGGGACCCCTGCCTCGGCCACAGGTCAGTGTCCCAGGAGCCCTGGCTGTGTGCTCGAGCTCCCAGAATGGCCTCAGTCCCTACCCCACCTGAGAAATAGGCACTACTGGAGGCTGGAGGAGTTGCAGTCAGACCGCAGATAGGATCTGTGTAAGTGTAACTGCTTAAGAGGTCAAGAGGCTGAGCTTACACATCTGAGCAGCCAGACCTGCTTGGAGGGATCAGCATAAGAGGGCCCTGCTCAAAACACTAGTCTCTGCCAGGTGGCCTTTAGAACCTGTCCAGAGCCACAGTGAGCCCCCACTGTCTCTGTGGGAATTAAAAAAGGCACCCACATGGGCAGACTCAGCCTGTGCAAGGCACCAGGTGTATATAACCACACATCAAACCACATTTAATAGTTTAAGCAACTACTCATTCAACAAAGATTTACTGAGGTCCTACTACGTGCCAGGCCTCATGCTAAATATAGGAGATCCAGTACTGTCAGTGTTAAGAAACCTGAATCAGCCAAAACTAACACCAGAGCCAACACTGGAAATGTGGTTGGCTAAACCAGTCAGGAAATGATTTTTTGGATCAGGAATAAGGGACAGCTATACAGGGTTTGAGCTTCTTGTGTTGCTCTTGAGCATATGTGTGTGTGTGTTTGACTCTATAATACGGATCCTGGCTCTGCATGTCATCTCAATAGGGGCAGTGGTGCATCATGATTCAGAATATAGGCTTTACCTTCATTTTTTTCCATGGGTGAAATGTACTGCATAGGAGCAGCAGACAAGAGGTTATGATGGAAATTCAGAGCAATACTGGGTGTAAAGCACTTAACACAATTCCTGGTACATAGCCAGTGGTACCTGCTGGTAGTAGTGGGGTGGTAGTAATTCTTATTTAAGATGGTAAAGCAATTAAAATGTTTAGAGAATGGCTAGATTCTTTCAAGCAGTTGTTTGCTACTTGGCTGCATGAGGTGTGTGTGTAAATCAGCAAGCCAGCCTCTGCTGTGGTCACAGCTCACAGTGGACACTGGGTGACACTCGCAGGCTTCTGGCTGGTTGGCCAGGGGAACCAAGGTGGTTAAGAAAAGAGATGCTCAGCCTAGGAAACAGAGAAAGCTATTGGACTGTACTCAGCTCCGGGTCCCCTGGTCCCTGGCTGGGTGGACAGAGGGAGTCCCCAGCAGCACCAACTCTGATCCAGTTCCCTTCTCATCCTCCTCTCTGCCCCTAGATGCCACCATGGAAAATGTGTGGCAACTGGGACCTCATACATGTGCAAGTGTGCCGAGGGCTATGGAGGGGACTTGTGTGACAACAAGAATGACTCTGCCAATGCCTGCTCAGCCTTCAAGTGTCACCATGGGCAGTGCCACATCTCAGACCAAGGGGAGCCCTACTGCCTGTGCCAGCCCGGCTTTAGCGGCGAGCACTGCCAACAAGGTGGGTCTACTGTGCCTGTGGGAGGGAGGAAGTGGGGGTCAGAGTTGGACTTCACATCCAGATCACCTCAGTTCCAGTTCTGGCTGTGCCACTTAAAGGCTGCATGACCTTGGTTCAGTCACTTTCTGAGCCTCAATTCCCTCAACTTGAAAACGGAGGCAATACTATACCTTCCTGTATCAGTTATCTAGTGCTGCATAACAACTTAGCCCCAAACCATAGCAGTTCAAAACCACAAAAAACATTTTTTTTAGCCTACATTGTTCCTGTGGGTTGGGAATTCAGAAAGAGCGTAGCTGGGATCTCTCAGGGTTGCATTCTACACAGCCATGGCTGCAGTTCTCTGTAGGCTAACCCAAGGCAGCAGGATATGCTTCCAATGTGCTGCACTCCCATGGCGCTGGGTGTTGGCGGGAGGTCCCAGTTCTGCCCTGCATGAGTCACTACACAGGCTCTTTGAGGGTCCTTGCGCCAGGGCAGCTGGCATGTCCCAGAGTGAATGGTCCAGAAGAGAGTAAGCCACTTGTCTTGTATGACCTACAATTGGAAGTCACTCACACCATCATTTCCACCACATTGCATTGGTTACATCAGTCAGGTACATTCAGTGAGGGAGGGGACCACATAAAGGGCATCAATACCAGAAGGTGGTAGTCACTGGGGGCAATCTTGGAGGCTAGCTACTGTGCTTCTTTATAGGGTTGTTGGGAGGAGTACGTGAGATGTTGAGATGTAAAGTCAGAAGCAACATTGTCACGATGAAGGCCAAACTGTCATTTAGAATCTGCATGACCTTGACTATCCTGGCCAACATGGTGAAACCCTGTCTCTACTAAAAATACAAAAATTAGCTGGGCATCATGGCGGTCGCCTGTAATCCCAGCTATGCTGGAGGCGAGGCAAGAGAATCATTTGAACCCAGGAGGCGGAGGTTACAGTCAGCCAAGATCAACCTGGGTGACAGAGTGAGAGCCTGTCTCAACTCTGCATGACATTGAGCAGCATACTTGTGGTTCACTTCCTCATCTAGATAGGGCCAGGAGTGGTGGCTCACACCTGGAATCCTAGCATTTTGGGAGGCCGAGGTGCAAGGATTGCATGAGCTCAGGAGCTTGAAGCTGCAATGAATGCACCACTGCACTCCAGCCCAGGTGACAGAGACAGACCCTGTCTCCAAGAAAAGACAAAAGTGCAGATAACTCATACTGCCAAAGTTAAGATTCTAAAGCATGGACTTTTTAAAGATGAAACAAGTGTAGAAAATGGTCCTCAGTGGACCTCTGCAGGGAGAACACATGAGCAGTCTGGATGGTTCTTTTCTCCTCTTTTCCAGCTGTTGGCCCTTGAGATGCCATGCCTTCAAAACTAATGAAACCCTAGCCACTCAGAGTGGCCCCCTGACATTGACCAGCACCACTGACATCACCTGGGAGTCACCTGGGGCTCCCAGGCCCCACCCCAGCCCTTTTGAGTCAGAACCTGCATTTTGCAATGATTCGCATATGTATCCAAGCTGATGGCATTGCTCCACAGCCTCCATCCAACCCTCTTGCCCTTACTGGGTCAGCAGAAGCCAGTTCTTTGGTCTGACCTAAACAAAGGAAATTATATTAATATTAAAATGGTTGTCTTACCTTGGGGGATCTTTCTCCTGCATGGACACTGAGAAGTCTTGCTCCCTGCCACCAGGATCCCAGGCAGTCCACCCCGTGCCTTGAGGACTTTTCCACATTTTATACCTACACGAAATACTATTCTTAACCAAAACTCATTTTTAAAATGTTATTAAATAGCTTATTCTGAAATAATTTCAGACTTACAGAAAAACTGTCAGGACAGTATAAACAGCTTAATCCCTTCACCCCAGTCATTAGCATGTTGCCCCATCTGCACTCCCTGTCTCTCCCCATGTTATACACATGCACATGCACACATTGTCATTAACCTCTTTCTAATCCTTTTAACAATCTCATAATTTTAAAGACTTTTAACAACACCTGAAGCTTTAAAATGCATAAAGCCCTTTCTCCTTCACAATCGCCTCTGGTGCCCGTAACAGCCTGGGAGTTGCTGGAAGGACAGGTAAATGTGTTACCACTTTGCAGACACGGAAACTGTGACTTGCTTGTCAAGGGTCAAGGGTCATGGCTCCCTTCCTCAAGTGCCTTGCTGCAGACATTCTCCCACTGTAGTGAGGACAGTAGAGGGGTGGAAATGAAAAGCTGGGTCAGGGTCCAGAGTGTTTAAGCAGATACAGGGGTGCCCTTTCCCAGCCTGCAGTTATTTCTAGGCCTTCTGGAAAAGCTCATCGCAACACCTGCTTCTTATTCAGATATCAACTCCAGCTCATTTCCCAGAGAAGCCTCCCTGGCCCCTGGGCCAGGTCAAATGCCTTTTGAATACAAATGTCTTATAGCATACAAAAACATATACTGTATGTTCTTGTATGAACATCTTCCCTTTCTTTATAGCATCTACCTCAGTTTCTTTATTAAATATATTCACTTAAATAGTATCTAGACTCTAGGCCAAGAGAGACAGACTATTGGGAGTGGTAGTGACTGGGGCAAACTGGAGATTGCCTGCCCCATCTAAAGCACTCAGCTTCAGCCATCACTGCAGTGCAGGGTTGCAGGCTCAGCTCTGCCAGACCTCCTTGTTTTCAAGGAAGGCAGAAATCCAGATTTTCAGGTGAAATCTCCTGCTTTTTGAATGTTGACATTTAATTAATTTTTAGGCACATGTAGGGTGATCCAAATTGGTCTGGGGTCAGGATTTGGCCCACAGTCTATCAGTTTGCGTCATCTAGTTTTAGTTTTGACTTTAGGTTTCTTGAAGGAAGGGACCAAGCCTGCTTTTGTCATCATTATATCCTCACGGCTTAGGTGTAAGCCTGTCAGAGAGCCTGGTACAGGAAAGGCACCTGTTTGTAAAATAGATGGGTGGATGGAGGGGAGGGTAGGCAGATGGATGAGTGAATAAATTCTTACAGTCTTCAGAGCACAAGTATTTCAAAGCAGCCTACCTGGGAACTGCTCATGGTCCTGCTGGCCACCTAGACCACCAATGCCCTGACTTCTATGCCCTCTGCAGAGAATCCGTGCCTGGGACAAGTAGTCCGAGAGGTGATCCGCCGCCAGAAAGGTTATGCATCATGTGCCACAGCCTCCAAGGTGCCCATCATGGAATGTCGTGGGGGCTGTGGGCCCCAGTGCTGCCAGCCCACCCGCAGCAAGCGGCGGAAATACGTCTTCCAGTGCACGGACGGCTCCTCGTTTGTAGAAGAGGTGGAGAGACACTTAGAGTGCGGCTGCCTCGCGTGTTCCTAAGCCCCTGCCCGCCTGCCTGCCACCTCTCGGACTCCAGCTTGATGGAGTTGGGACAGCCATGTGGGACCCCCTGGTGATTCAGCATGAAGGAAATGAAGCTGGAGAGGAAGGTAAAGAAGAAGAGAATATTAAGTATATTGTAAAATAAACAAAAAATAGAACTTATTTTTATTATGGAAAGTGACTATTTTCATCTTTTATTATATAAATATATTACACCATCTGCGTATATGTACCATATAGTGAGTTATTTTTACCAAGTTTTGTGTTGTGTATTTGTTGTGTTTTTAAAAATAGCTGTTTAAAAATTTAAGAAAAAAATAGACTAATAAAAATGCTTTAAAACAAAAGGATAAGAATAAAGAATGATAGCCTGTCTGAGGAAGGAGGAAGATGTTTTCATGTTTATGAAACGGTATTATGTCGGCAGTAGACCAAGAGCTGCTCATTGAGATCAGAAAAAGGAATAAGAGGAAGAGAGAGAAGGAAAAGACCTTTGTTTCTTGTTTTTTAACTCCCTTTTATTTTTCCTCCCCTAAAATTACCCAGCTTTTCGGAGTCCTGGATGTCAGTGCCCAAAATGCCCAGTTCTTCCAGGAAAAGCTGCTGAGCCCTGGCCTTCTCAGTCTCACTGCCACTCAAAAATATTGCTGTCCCTGTCTGTCCCAGACCCCCCTTCAGGGTATCTGAACCCACTGGGGGACCCCTCTTCTCCTTCCTGGGTGGCCCTGGCTTCCGTATCTGAACCCACTGGGGGACCCCTCTTCTCCTTCCTGGCTGGCCCTGGCTTCCAATCGAGGACTGACTATTGAAGTCTGCTACAGGTGTCATTTGGAACTGTCTTACCAAATTTTAAAACAGCTGCTATTTTTCCTGCTCCTCCCCAGGAGAGGGGTCTTCCTAGAGGAGGCGAGGGAAGAGAATATCATGGTGTCTCCTCAGGACCCATGCACTGGCCCTCTCTCCTCCTTCCAGGTAATTTTTCATTGGAATGTATCCCAGTAGAGAAGGTAGTCAGCCCTTCTTGGAAGCGGAAGGCTGGGAGCCAAGTCAAGTCTGCCCACAGCGCTAGATGTCCAACTCTGGAAGGTTCTTGGAGGCTCTTGTTGTAAGACAGGCCTCTGCCACCTGATCCTCCAGGTCACCAGCATGACGATAGAGACTCCTTGCCCATCTGTGACACTTTCCAATGCATATCCAAACTTTACCTTATTTTATCTATGCAACCCCTGCCTCCCTGGGAAGGATAAGGGAGTAGAGCTGGGTTCACTAAGAAGGAAGTTTAGGCCCTCACAGGCTCTGGAACTTGCCTTAAGCCACACACCAGATAAGTGGAGGAGCCAGACCAGAAGTCCAGACCCAAAGCTTGAGATTCTTCCTCTAGAATGGGTGAGCACAGGTGATTCAGGCGGCTTAAATCCATCAGAGCAGCCCTGCCGGAAAAGGAAATAATATGATGTTTTTTCCTGCTCTTGTTCTGCCTTGCTCACTCCTTCTCCCTCCGCAGTATCTGGAAAGATTCTGGAGACCAGGGCTTATGCATCTAGGGAAAGTGACCAAGGGCAGCCTATCCAGCCTCTGCCTCCATTCCTGAAGGGGACTTCCCTGCCCCTGTTTCTTTCCATGTCTCTCCCTCCCTCACTCCCATTTGCCCCCTTCCACCCCATCAGGTTAGCCACATATCTTCCAGGGCTCAGCTGTTCACACCAACTCCCTGGCTCTTATCATCCATCCCTCCTTCCCCCAGGAGCTTCCACTGTAGGAGTTTCAGGGAGAAGAGTTTGGAATTCATTGGACCTTTCAGCCCTCAGGTTCCCTAGAGGAGCCTAGTTGATCTGTGAGTACCAATGGTGGGCCAAAGACGCAGGGAATAATGAAGGGAGAAAGAAAAGAAAGGAAGATGGAGGAAAACGAGGCAACTGGAAGAAGGAAGGAAGGAAAGAAGGAAGGGATGGAGGGGATGAAGAGAAGGGAGAGAGGGATATAGCTGAGGAATTTATCTAAAAATGTGCATGTAAATCTCCATTATGTTCCAGGTACTGTGCCTTATGATGGCTTTGTTTTTTGTTGTCATTAGAGACAAGGTCTTGCTTTGTCACCCAGGCTGGAGTAGAGTGGTTCGATCATAGCTCACCGCAGCCTCAACCTCCTAGGCTCAAGCCATCTTCCTGCCTCAGTCTCCCAAAATGCTGGGATTACAGGTGTGAGCCACTATGCTCAGCCTGTTTCAAACATTATTATAATAGCAGATTTATTTAGTACTTTATTATACATCAGATACCACTCTAATTGTGAAATAGATATATATTCATTTAATTATTGAAACAACCATGTAGTTAAAACACTATTAACTCATTTTACAGTTGAGTAGACTGAGACACAGAGAAGTTAAAGAACTTGCCCAAGAGTAAATGTCTAATAAACCGTAGAGCCAGGATCTGGGCCCAGGCTGTCTGACTCCAGAACTTGCTCACTCAACCACTAAACCATCCTGCTTCTCATGGGAAAGAAACACATCCTGCCTTTGAGGATCCTACAGCCTGTGACAAAAACAGTCATAAAAATGGACAATTGCCTTATTACACAAGGAGCTCTTAAGTGGCAATACAAGCAATGGAAGTGGCTGTCCAGAGGAGGGAACTTCTAGTCCTAGGTCTTTAAGGATGAATAGGAGTTTGCCAGAGTGAGAAAGGGAATTGAACTTTCCTGGGAGTGGCCTTTTAAAAAGCAATGAGATATGGCCAGGCCTGGCTTGTTTGGGGAAGAGTCAAAATCTAGGGTGGCAAGAGTATGGGAAGCACACTGAGGAGCAGAGAGAAATGGGGTAGGTAGGAAGGTAGGGTTTTGACCACAAAGAGCTGTGCATGCTAAACTGGGCCACAGGTGCCAGCAGGGTTGTTTGAGGAAGGGAAGAGCAAGACAAGCTCTGGTTTAGGAAGAGAGCTGTGGCAGCATAAAGGCCTGAAAGAGGAGACAGAGCTGTCACCCAAAATGGACTTGAGAGCTCCCTGTGGTTTACTCTGTGGCTAGAAAACACTGCCGGCCAGATGGATCACAAATGTCTATGGTAGCTTAGAAGCTCTGCTCTTGAAGAGGATCCTGGGATCTGCCCAACACCCTTCCCAACCTCCATTTCCCCATCCCCACCTCCATTGCCCCATCCCCCCTCTCCCCCTAGGCAGGTGGATCTGAGCCTTATCCCACCACCAATGCCCCTGCTAGCCTCTCCCCACCCAGCCCAGAGCCTACTCAGCCTGCCATCTCAAGAGCCCCACCGAGGGTCACTGGCTTCCTGGGAGGAGTCACCAGGCTGCCAGCTTTCCCTCTGCCTCCCCAAGGAACCTGAGACCTCCCTCTGCTCATCACCCTGGGCCCAATCCTGAATCCAGCCCCCATCAACCAAGACAGCAAAAGGGCCAGGTCTGTCCCTTATAATTTTGAGCCTTCTCCCTCAAGTTTGGAAGCCCTGACTTTAAGAAATGCCAAATGCAAGGACCATTAAGAAAATTCTCCCCGAAATGAGGCTCCTCTAACAAATGATGATTAAAACGCTCTCTCCTTGAGCAGTCACATTCTAGAAACAGGACATTCCATGAGGCAGGAAGAGTTCAGTTAATTTGCTCCTGAAAAAGTGTGGTTCAGTGTTTGTGTGGCAATGTACGTGGGCAGAAGAGGCCGCTCAAGCTGTGTCCCCCCTGAGCAGGATTCAGGAAAGGGAAAAGAAGTTCTCTTCAACTCAGCCAAGGGGCCGTACGATGGCCGATGAGATTATGTATTTAAAAGTTCTTTGTAAAGTGTAAACTAAAAACCTTAAATGTAAGATGCTGTTGTTATTATTACTGTTGTTGTTGCTGTTATGGACATGCCAAAAGGCCCTTGTTAGAAGACAGTTTTGCCTTTTCAATCTCATAGCAAGGAACTCAAGTCTGATGCTTCAAAAAGATGAGAAGAAGGGCAAGAAGAGGGATAACTCCCAAGCTCAGAGGGAAAAAAAAGGTGGGGGAAAAGAGCCCCAGGGTGACCTTCAGGAAAGGCCAGGACCAGGATGATCTAACCTTTCCCTTCACCAGAAACAAAGCTATTGCCAGACTGAACCCTAAAGTCAAGCAGTCACCCACTGCCTTTGCTGGGAGCAGAAGCCCATAGCAACAAGTGACCTGCCCCTCAGACTCAAGATCCCAGATACCAGAGCTGGAGGAGTCATAGGGCATTACTGGTAGGCAGGAAAACTGAGGGTCGAACAAATGGAAGAATGCGGTGATCATAGACCAAAGACACACAGATAATTAACCCCATGTGTCCACCCAGGCCAAAGTTCTTCCTGCTACCCCACAGTGGATGTCCAGGCAGATGGTCCCCACATGATGGGGAAGCAGAGGGCATAGTGTGGTTTTGTGGGACTTGTTCATGTTTTGTAGTGTGGGCTCAACAGTGCCAAAGGAAACACTAGGGAAAAGTTGGTGAAACATGCCAGCTAGCAGGACCAGTAAAGGCATAATCAGGCATTTGGCAAAGCTTGCTTTTCTAATTCAATGATAGGTTCTAATAGGAAATTTTTGAAGATTTTTTAAAACAATGTTATAGTGGCACTTCCCCAGTATGGAATAAATAACATGCATTCTTTTTTCAATATACTGTCATATTCAGATGTCATTAAAATAAATGGATGAGTCACAGAGGAGCTATCAGATGCTCTCATGACTACCATAACTCAGCCCTGCTCCACGGTGTCTGCTTTATTTTTACCCCTGATTTTCAAACCCCCTGGAACAAAGATGACTGCATTCATGGGGTCTGGGGAAAGTCTGGTGTGGAATTAGATCAAAGAATCAGTTTCTTGGATCATGAAGTAAGAAAAATGGATCCAGAGTTCACCAGAACCATTGAAGAGACGACCCAACACACAGCTTAGGGTCAGCAGGGGATGTGGTCCCTATGGCCACAGAAGGTGCCAAGGGTCATGGGGAAGAAAGCCACTACAGTTCAGAGGAAGAGAACACCCTACTGATATGTGAAGGAATATTCCTCCTTATAGGACTCCAATGCCTAATTAAATTTCTCCTTTATCAGTTCCTTCAACAAGTATTTATTGAGCATCTACTATGTGCCAGGTACTGTTCTACGCTTTGAGGACTCCAAAGATGATCAAGACCAAGTCCTTGTTCTCCTGGAGTTTAACTGAGGGGGTTTGTGCCAATCAACAAATAAAGATAACACCCGATAGTGATAAGTTCACTTCCACAAATAAAGAAGAGGAGACACTCCAGAATAGCTGGGTGGGTGCTTCATGCAGTGAGGTCAAGAAGGCCTCCCTAAGGAATTGGGACATGGGGTGGGGCAAATACCAAGAAATGGAAGGGGAAGTAACCTGGCCCTGCGGTACTCACTAGATATTTGCTTTGTGTGGGTGTCATCCGAGGGAGGCAGGCAGCCCGAGCAACTTAGGAAGCCAGAGAGGATGGCCTGGGCAAGACAGCATGAGAGGGAGGGGAGGGGCAAGCAGGGCTCTCAGCCTCTCAGCCCTGGGGCATCCTCAAGGGGCTATGCACTTTTAGAAGGAGGATTGCTAAGGGTCTGGAGGCTGCCACTGGCTGGCTGGAGGTCATCCTCACTTCCCTGGCAGATGGCCTTCCATCTGCCCTGTGGAGACCCCTCTGAGAGCAAGACACTAGTGGGCAGCAGATGCACCAGGTGCTAAAAAAGGGGCTAGACTCTGTGGCCCCCAGCCGGTTGTTCCTTCTTCCCCCAGGTCTCCCTGAGCAAGACAAGGTCACACTGACTGGGGGCCCTAAGCCTCCAGCAAAGATGCCCTTGTATAGTTTTATACATTTTAGTGTGCATTTATCTGAAATAGGTAGGGAGTGGATTCTGCACTGACACACACCATGTCAGACAGCCTGGATTTTCCTGCCAGGAGGAGCTACTGCCAAGAAACCTACAGTGTCCATCTCCCATGTTTATGCCAGGAGCCCCTCCTCCCAGGTTTGGGACCTAGATGTGTATCCCTCTATCTCAAATTCCCTATTATATCAATCGATAGCAGAGGTTCTCAACTGGGAGAGGTGTTGACCCCACCCAGGAGACATCTGGCAGTGTCTGCAGATATTTTTGATTGTATAACTGGGACACAGGGTGCTATTAGCATCTAGTAGGTAGAGACCAGGGGTGCTGCTAAACATCCTACAATATACAGGACAGCTCCTTGACAACAAAGAATTATCCTGCCCAAGATGTTCATAGTGCTAAGATTGAGAAACCCTGGCTTAGCCAAATCAGACCTTTCCCTGAAATACCTGGGTGGAATCACTCACAAGGAAAGAAGCAGGTTGGAGTGCTAAATAGGCAACAAATAGTGAACTTCTCAGGATGCCTTGGTTGGAATACACGGCAGGCTGGTGGTCTATACCTGTATTTAGAATACCATTGGTTTTTGTTGTTGTTGTTGTTTTGAGACAGAGTTTCGCTCTCATTGCCCAGGGTGGAGTGCAGTGGTGCGATCTCAGCTCACTGAAACCGCCACCTCCCAGGTTCAAGCGACTCTCCTGCCTCAGCTTCCCACATAGCTGGGATTACAGGTGCCTGCCACCACGCCCAGCTAAATTTTGTACTTTTAGTAGAGATGGGGTTTCACCATATTGGCCAGGCTGGTCCCGAACTCCTGACCTCAGGTGATCCACCTGGCTTGGCCTCCCAAAGTGCTGGGATTACAAGCGTGAGCCACCACGCCCAGCCAGAGCACCACTGTTGATGGGAAACTAAGACCAAGACATTTCTGGCAATGGGGGACCACCATGATCCTTCCTGCCATTCTTTGTTCTTACCACTTGGTCGCTGAAAATGGACACAGAGCAGTGGATCCTGGATTTAATATGCTCAGGCAACATAAAGTATGGCAGAGCATGTGACACTCACCTTTGGACCTGCTGCTGACAGAGAAATAGAGAACAGGATAAATAAAAATGCTATGCTTCTATTTCCTGAACTCTACCCTTCATTGCAGTGCTGGCAGGAGGCAAAGATCAATGGGTTCTCAAATCAAGATATGAGGACTAAGGATTTCTTTATGGTGGTTCAAAGGGGAGTGAAGATATTGTGGCTCAGAAGCCACAAGCAGCTCAACTTCAAGATTCATCCAGGGATGCTAAATCGACTCTAGTAACTGACAGCAGGATTAACTGGTTGGCAGAGGAACCTAGCCTACTTAGAGTAACCTTGTAAGGTGCTTCAGGGACAGGAGATGCTCTTATTTACACTATAAATGTCCTTATTTACCAGTCCCTGCAGGGGGACAGGAGATGAGCAAAGTGCTGGGATTACAAGCATTAGCCACTGTCCCCAGCCTGAAACTCTCTTCACTGGACTCAAAAGGCTAATTTCACTTAAAATTAAAAATTAAATTTAGGCCAGGCACGGTGGCTCATGCCTGAAATCCCAGCACTCTGGGAGGCTGAGGCAAGAGTATAGGGCTTCAGAGTAGGGTTGAGGGAGGTTCTAAGGAAGCAGGCCTCATCTCCTCCAGCTCCACTTGCCCAGTGTGTAGGGGGCGGGTGGTTTACCCCATCCTTCCCTGCATCCTGCTGCTTAACTTTGGCAATGTCAATGTGAACTTCAGTTTCTCTATCTAGGAAACAGGAATGGCAAGACTGATATCAAGGCTCTGTAGATTACAAGAGATTCAAAGCAATTCAAACCAACTTAAGGCAAAAAAGGAACATGTTGAGACAAGTAATTGGAAGACCTAGGGTAGCTCCTACTGCATCAGACACGGATGTTTGGATCCTAGAGCTCATACACTGTCATAAGGGCTCAGGGTGTCTGGTGCATACTTGGCTTTGTTTTGCCTTGGCTTCATTCTCAGGAAGCCTCTCCTATGCAAAGGGGAAAACTGACTCCCAACAGCTGCAGACCGAAAGCTGTAGATACTACTAATTTCAAGCCCAGGGGAAAGAGGGCTTCTTATCTCCAGTGCTTCTGAGATATAGCCCAGAATTGAGTCTCACTGGCTCTGATTAGCCTGCCTTGGGGCAAATGTCCATCACTGGATGAAACAGCAGGGGCAAAAAACAGTAATTTTAGTAGCAACCATGGGCTATGAAAAAATTAAAAAATAAACAGCACTCATCGGACAAGCCTGTGTCACATGAGAAATACGTGGTCGGGGATGTGAAAGAGTTTCCCCAAGGAAATGAGGGGACAGAACCTGGACCAGCAAAAATAAGACAATAACTACTCACCATAGGTAGTTTTTTAAGAAAATATGATACGATATTGATATGATATAATAAGGCTGGTATATCTACTTTGTGGACTCCAGTATAGCAAATAAATATAAGCGATAAATACAGATATTTTAGCAACAACAACAACAAAAACACTGTTTCTTACTACCATTCTCGAAAATAAGTCTATCAAACTTACATTTTTTGTTGTTTGTTTTTTTCTTTTTTTGAGACAGTATCTCACTCTGTTGCCCAGGCTGGAATACAATGGCATGATCTCAGCTCACTGCAACCTCCACTTCCTTAGCTCAATCAATCCTCCCACCTCAGCCTCCAGAGTGGCTGGGACTACAGGCATGTGCCACCACACCCAGCTAATTTTTTGTAGAGACAGGGTTTCGCCATATTGCTCAGGCTGGTCTCAAACTCCTGGGCTCAAGTGATCCACGGCCTCCGCCTCCCAAAATGCTGGGATTACAAGTGTTAATCACTGCACCTGGCCTGAAACTTTCTTCATTGGACCCAAAATGCTATTTTCATTTGAAATTAAAAATTTAGGCCATCCATGGTGGCTCATACCTAAAATCCCAGCATCTTGAAAGGCCGAGGCGGGAGGACTGCATGAACCCAGGAGTTCAAGACCAGCCTGGGCAACATGGTGAGCCCCTGTCTCTATAAGACAATTAAAAATTAGCTGGGCATGGTGATGCCCACCTGTAGTCCCAGCTACTTGGGAGGATCATGTCAGCCCAGGAGTTCAAGGCTGCAGTGAGCCATGATCACACCACTGCACTCCAGCCTGGGCCAGAGAGCAAAACCCTGTCTCAAAAAACTAAAATAAATTTTTAAATCCAGCCTAAAATATATCTGTTCTCCTAAACTGAGGGAGGGAGAAGGAAAAAGAGAATAGCTGCTAAACTCTACTTTGAGTTCTAGAATAAAATATAACTAGCTGAAGAGGGATTCATTCACCTTTGAAGTGTATCTCAGAGTGACCCCTCTCCAGCGACCTTGTTTTAAAAATGATTTCATCTCCCATGTCCTTTTGATGGTGGATGATAGGATGTAAGAGCAGCGATTAGAGAAGTGGAAGATTGCCTAGTTACAGGTGAGAAGGTGAATTCACAGAATGAGATGAAAAATCTGACATTCATTGAGCACATACTCTTCATCACACATTTATACACATCCTTTTGTGTAAGACCAAAGCAAAGCTGCCAGCAGGTTCAGTTGTCCTCATTTAAGCAGTGAGAAAGACCTGAATCACATGGCTAGGAGATGGCAGAGATGTGATTTGAACCAGGTTGGACTAAGCCCAATGCCATGTCCTTTCCACCACAACACCATGATTTGCACATAACAAGCCCTTGATGAATGCCTGTTGAACTCTTTCCCACATACAGGATATCTTGTGCAAGATACTGGAACTCATGGGATTAAGGAAAGCTGACGAGCTAATTAATTGGAAGACTGAAACCAGACCTTGTGTAAGCATTGGAGTAAAGCCAACGCAACTATGGAGGAAAATAATGGGAACAGCTCTCTTTTACAGAGTGACTGGGACATGCCAGAGTTTTTGCACGTTTATCCCCATTCCTCACAAAAATTCTGCAAGGCAGGGGTTGTTACCCCCATAGTACAGATGAAGAACCTGAATCTTAGAGAAAAGGGTCATTGCCTGGAGTTCCACGGCTAGCAAACTGCAGAGCTGGGTGGGTCAGCTGAGTCTAAAAGCACATGCTTTTCCACTCTGCCAGGCTGCCCCACCTTTGGTTATGAGAACAATGATCTCTATTCTACATTTTCCATGGGTGGAGGAGAGGCTGCCAGATACGCATCTGAAGAATAGAGGAGGTTGTGGGTCTGGGCAGCCCAGATCAGTGGTGTGAGTCACATAGGCTAGGCAGGCCTTAGCCCATAAGGAGCATAGTCCATATACATCTTTGTGGACAATTAGGACTTTTCAGCTGATAGGGGCCACTGCAATGTAACCGATATCCTCTACCTCCGCCTACACTTGAGAAAAAGCAAATGAAATGGAGTCCTGGGGCTGCCACTGACTTGCTGTGTCACTAGATATGTCACTCTGAGCATCTGAAAAATAAAAAGGAGGAGGAGGGAGGGAAGGTGGCCTGATAAAATGTACCTATGCCCCAGAAAAGTTGCTGGCAAGAACTTTTTATAAGAAATAAATTTTTATGGCCGGGCGTGGTGGCTCACGCCTGTAATCCCAGCACTCTGGGAGGCTGAGGCAGGTGGATCACCTGAGGTCAAGAGTTGGAAACCAGCCTGGCCAACATGGTGAAACCCTGTATCTACTAAAAATACAAAATTACCTGGGTGTGGTGGTGCATACCTGTAATCCCAGCTACTTGGGAGGCTGAGGCAGGAGAATCGCTTGAACCCACGAGGTGGAGGTTGCAGTGAGCCAAGATCACACCACTGCACGCCAGCCTAGGCAACAAGAGCGAAACTCCATCTCAAAAAATAAATAAATAAATTTTTTATAAGGGATAAATTTATGTAGTAAATATATTTTGTAAAAACTCTAAGTGCCATAGAGGAATGGATTAATCCTAGAAACAGTATCTAATCTGTATTCCTTTCTCAGGGCTACCATAACAAAGTACCACAAACTGGCATAAAACAACAGAAATCTATTATCTCACAGTTCAGGAGGCCAGAGATCCAAAAGTCAAGGTGCCAGCAGGGTTGGTTCCTTCTGGAGGCTGAGAGAGGGAAACCGTTCATTCCTCCCTCCTACCTTCTCTTCCGACGGCTGCCGGCCATGCTTGGCATTCTTAGCTTGTGGATGCATTGCTGTCATCTCTGCCTACCTCGCCTTCACAGGACCTTCTTCCCTGTGTGTCTGTGTGTCCTTTTCTATCTCATAAGGATACTTTCACTGGATTTAGGATTCGGCCTAATCTAGCACAATCTCATCTCATATTCCTTTACCTTAATTACATTTGCAAAGACCTTATTTCCAAATAAGCTCACATTCTAAGGTTGTAAGTGGACAGGAATTTTGGGAGAGACACTATGCAACCCACTACAGAACCTAATGTCCTCATTTGAGGAAGCTGAGGCCTTGAAAATTTAAGTGACTTGCCCAACCAAGGTCATACAGTTTTATACAATTTAATGTGCATAAACAATATTAGAGGAGAGGCAGGTGCATGGTGTGATTTTCAGAGACCACGCACCACTGGACAAACCTTCATAGATCAAAATAATAAGACCATCCTGCATGAACAAAGTCCAGAGGGAGCCTGCCCAAAATATGTTCTATAACTTCAACCCATATTTCTCCCTCCTGGGGAACTGAAGGGGGTAGGTGTTAGCACCACAGAAAAATTATCGAAGCCAGAAAGATCAGAGAGCCAGCAGTGTCTTGCCAGCCATCTCTGTAACCAAACACACAGTTTGAGAGAAGCCCCCACCTCCAGTTTCCTCCCCCTACAATTTCCCCTACTTACAGTTCCAAAACCCTGCCATGATATTAATCAGAGAAGCACCCAACCTGGCCCACACTTTATGATGTGTGTCTCCGAAACCTCACCAGTTCTCATGGCCAGGTGTAGCTGTTAGGAATTTAAGTGGCAACTTGATCCTTAGCTGTTTCTCCACGATTTTCTGCCTGATTATAAATACTGCTTTGTGAAAATCCAGCCACACCACAGTCTCAGTCGAGCTGCATTTTTTCGAAACTCAGCTTTCCTTCCTGGGCATACAGCATCTGTTTCCAGTCAAGAGCCAGGGCGAGCCCGGCTTCCACGTGGCCTGCCACAGAAGGCCCAGCCATGGTACTTAAAAGCTCGTGGGCCTCAGATAATTGGCCTCCTAACCAAATTCAGCTGCTGGGGCCTGATCAGAAACTGCTGGGTTTCTTTTTCCCTAAGCCGATTTAATTCCCACCGCCAAGCCCTCTGACCTTATTTTCTTTCTTTCTCTGGCCTAATTCCTGGAAAATGGAGTCTGGAAATACCTAGGGACTACTTGGGTGGGCTCCAAAGCTTCAGGGAGAAGAGATAGGACTGAAGGATGCAAAAGGGATGAAGAGAGAAGCCAGGCACCAAGGCCACATCTTGTGACTCCATTTACAGGAAATATACCGTTTAGGTAAATGCATATCGGTGGCTGCCAGGGGCTGGGGGAGACGGAACTGGGAGTGACTACCTCATGGGTACAGAGTCTCCTTTGAGGGTGATAAAAATGTTTCGGAGCTAGATAGAAGTAATGGTTGCACGACATTGGGAAGGTACTGACACTGAATGATATGCTTTAAAATGGTTAATTTTATGGTATGCGAACTTCACCTCAAAAAAAACAGAAAGAGGGAAGGAAAAAAGAGGGGGTGGAGTAGGATGAGGAAGGAAGCCCTGGAGCTCAGGAGCAAGAGCTACAGAGATGTTCTGGAACAGAACACAGCTAATACTAAATTAACCCCTTGCTTTCCAACCCAATGCCTCAGGCCGAATGCCTAGAGCAGTTTCCCTAGGCACTGTGGCTGAGGAATTGTGCCCTGGGCCAGCTGGTGGGCCCCCTAAAGCTAAGAATGTTCTGCCTCTTCAAAGCATCTGCTCAATCCTGGACTCTTTTCTCTGACAATGTTTTCAGAGGGAGGTGCCCTCCCTATTTCAGGAGCAGAAAATGAACTCAAGTGTCGTGAATTACAGTGGGGGAAAAAATTTATTTTTTTTAAATTTAGGCTTCTCAGCCTTCTTACTCAAAAATACTAAAAATATACATTGCCTTTTCTAAATTAAACTTAATTCCTACTTTGAGCCCCCATCCTGCTTCATAGCAAAAACTTAATTATCTCATTCAGTTCAGTGTCTGGCATTTCTCTTCTCCAGGATACCCCTTGAGTTCCAGGTGCCTCACATCCTGTGAAGATGTTTGCTCCTTGCTGTCTTCATGTATTCATGCCAGCTGCCACGATGGCCTGGACATCTAGACTACGTTTGCTTTAACTCTGCAGCAAATCTTTTCCAGGTCTGCAGAGTCTATATGTCATGACTCTGCTCCCCCTGGAAGTCTGGGGACACCTGGAGGCTGCTATGCCATACTGGCACTACAAGAAATGAGGTGGAGGCCAGGCACGGTGCCTCACACCTGTAATCCCAGCACTTTGGGAGGCCGAGGTGGGTGGATCACCTGAGGTCAGGAGCTGGAGACCAGCCTGGCCAACATGGTGAAACCCTGTCTCTATCAAAAATACAAAAATGAGCTGGGCGTGGTGGTGGGCACCTGTATTCTAGCTACTCAGGAGGCTGAAGCAGGAGAATCACTTGAACCTGGGAGGCAGAGGTTGCAGTGAGCCAAGATCACGCCCTTGCACTCCAGCCTGGGCAACAAGAGCAAAACTCCATCTCAAAAAAAAAAAAAGAAAAGAAAGAAATGAGGTAGAGCTGAGGTTGTTCACCCACTTGTTTGCTACTCTTAGACGCACAGAAAAATCATTCTACTGCTCCCACGTTACCCAGGGTATTGGGAACCCTTCAAGGCTGACTCAGACCCGGGATGGAGCAGCTATTTCACCCCTACTTCTTTTGTGCCATCTTGTGGCACAGGAAGAGATTCGTGTATGTGCCCCTTTCCCAGGTTCCACCTGCAAAGCAGGCACAGTTCTCCTCCTCTCTCCAATTTTCCAAACCTGTATGAGTCTCTGAAGTGGAATTCAAATATACATTTGACTGAAAAGCTCGGGTACTTCCTCCTACACATTACCTTGTTGGAATGTGTGTGTGTGTGTGTGTGTGTGTGTGTGTGTGTGTGTGTGTGTCAGGATCTTGCTCTGTCTCCCAGGCTGGAATGCAGCGGTGCAATCACAGCTCACAGCAGCCTCGACCTCCCAGGCTCAAGTGATCCTCCCACCTCAGCCTCCTGCATAGCTAGGACTACAGGCGTGCACCACCACACTCAGCTACCTTGTTGGATTTAATTGGCACCTTAGAAAGATGTAAATCTTTTGATAGCAGTTGAGGTAAGGAGACTTTCAGGTATAAAAACAGATAATCCTACATAGTGGAGCCTCAAGAGCATTGTTAACAGGGTGCAAAAACAGAAACTGTCAAGCAGAAGTTTGTCAATGTGCCCCTGCCTGCTCTGTGTGCACACATTTCACCAAAGCTCTGGGGTCCGGATAGGAAAGCCCTGCTGGGACGAAGTGCACTTGGAAAGTCAAAAAGACACAGGGGTTTATATAAAAATGAATATCTGAATAATTCCAGGCAATGAACAAACCTTGAAAACATGCTAAGTGAAGGAAACCAAACACAAAAAGCCACATATCCATTTATATGATATGTCCACAGTAGGCAAATCCATTGAGACACAAAGCACACTGGTGGTTGCCAGGGACTAGGAGGAAGTAGAAATGGGGGTGACTAATGGGTCTGGCATTTATTTTTGGGGATGATGAAACTGTTCTGGAACTAGTAGTGATAGTTGTACATCATGAATGTCCTGGAAGTTACTGAGTTACACACTTTATACTTGTAAAAATGGTGAATTACTATGTGAATTTTACCTCCTTAAAAAAAATCCAGGCCAGGCACAGAGGCTCAACACCTGTAATCTCAACACTTTAGGAGGCCAAGGCAGGTGGATTGCTTGAGCCCAGGAGTTGGAAACCAGCCTGGGCAATATGGCAAAACCTCATCTCCACAAAAAAATACAAAAATTAGCCAGGCATGGTGGTGCATGCCTGTGGTCCCAGCTACTGGGGAGGCTGAGGTGGGAGGATCACCTAAGCCTGGGGAGGTCGAGGTTGCAGTGAGCTGTGATCTCACCACTATACTCTAGCCTGGGCAACAGAGTGAGACCCTGTCTGAAAAAAAAAAAATCAAGATATATTTGGGTTTGGTCAGAGGTCTCAGGGAGGGAGGGAGTCTACATTGAAGTAGGGTTTGGGGGTACGCTAGCTTTTGTCTTTGGATATGCAGTTCAGGACAGTTTGTCTTTGGATATGCAGTTCAGGACAGTTTGTCTTTGGATATGCAGTTTTAGGACAGTTTTTGTTATCTCCTAGCTTTTGTCTTTGGATATGCAGTTCAGGACAGTTTGTTTAACTCCATCATCTCATCACTCTAAAAATTTTTGGTGTATCTAGTTCAGACGCTCCAGCCCTTGATAAGTCTTAACTGGAACAGAAGAAAATTCTGAGATTTAGAATTTTGCTTATTTCCAAACAACTGTGAATGTCTAGAGTTGGAGGCAAAGACTTCTAGTCCCAATAGAAGGCACCAATCTACTGTCTGGAAAAATCCTTTAGCCCTGTGTCCCTCTCCTTCTAGCCCCACTGTGAAAGAACATATCATTCTCTAGTCATAATAGTGACCATCGTGGGTTAAAAACCCTTACTATTTGCCAAGTCTGGTGCTAAGCATTTCATTTAATCCTCATCAAAAAAAAAAAAAGAAAAAAGAAAGAAAGAAAAGAAAAGAAAAAGAAAATGGCAAATGGCAATACAAGGTCTCAATCAGTTAAGCATCATTCTTAAGATCACACAGCTGATAAGTGGCAGGACTGGGATTCAAAACCAAAATTGCCTCCAAAGCCCCATCCTTAACCATTATATCATTCTACCTCTTTCCGATTAACCCTGGTGAGTTTTGCTTAGGGCTCTTATCATTGGTTCCTCTCACATTCAGTGGTGTTGAGATTCTAGGGTGAAAATTGAGCAAGAGGTTCAGGATCTGGTAATATCAGAATAGCTTATCAAACTAGCCCTCCCACATGTAACAATTATCTAATCTGGACAAAATAGTTTAACAAAACAATTGCGTTAAAGCACTCTGCAGCAACCAAAAGAAGGCAGAAAGGGAGGGGATCCAACCCTTGAATGAAAGACAGCACATTGAGTGAGAGCTGCGTTCACTGGCTCTTCCCCTGAAGGTGTGTCCCCATCTATACACTGCATGGGGAATGGAGTGGCTGGAAATTTAGGGAGAAAAATCTTAATCCTAAGTGACGGAACCATGGAAGGGGTGCCCTAAAATCTGTGTACCAATTATCTTCAAATCCTTGGCTGACTGCTAAACAGTTCATATGCAGGGTGAGATTGTAAGTTTCCCAGAGGCAAGAAACTGCATCAAGACGAAAGAGTCAAGCCCTGCCAAGGTAGAGAAGCTTTGTAGACACAGCGCCCTTTTTGTTGAAACACTTGCAGGGCCACACCTTAGGAATAAGGACCACATCTTAGAATTTAGGTCTATACCCTAGGAATAAGGACAAAACTGAAAGAGATCCACTCCAATAAAGGCTAAAACTAAGCTTCCACAGGACTAAGATTGTCTGTCAACGATTTAGCCATCTGCTAGGGCAAAACTCAATGCCTTTCAAAGAAAGATAGTAAACTCCAGAGACTCTAGAGTGTGTTACATAGAATAAACATATAGTATAAGCCAGACACAATGGCACATGTCTGTAATCCCAGCTACTGGGGAACCTAAGGCAGGAGGATTGTTTGAGCCCAGGAGTTCAAGACCAGCCTGGACAATATAGTGAGCCCTTGGCTCAATTTCTTTTTAATTACTTGGCATATGATATGGTTTCAATATTTGTCCCATCCAAATCACATGTTGAAATGTAATCCCCAGTGTTGGAGTTGGGGCCTGGTGGGAGGTGTTTGAGTCATGGGGGTGGATCCCTCATGGCTTCGTGCTGTCCTCACAATAGTGAGTAAGTTTTTGAGAGATCTTGTTAAGAATGTGTGGCACCTCCCCCGCACTCTCTCTTGCTCCCACTCTTGCAGTATGAGACACCTGTTCCCCCTTCACTTTCTGCCACAATTGTTAAGATTCCTGAGCCCCACCCTACCAGAAGCCAAGCAGATGCTGGCACCATGATTGTACAGCCTGCAGAACCATGAGCCAATTAAATCTCTTTTCTTTATAAATTACCCAGTCTCAGATATTTCTTTATAGAAATGCAAGAATGGCATAATATAGCATACAAACAGCCAGAAAAATATGACAGTCAAGAGAATAGTCAACAGAAGCAGACCCAAAGATGAGTCAGATATTGGAGATAGCAAAGACCTTGAAAAAAATTAGAAAAAACTTTAAAAATGCAACATACAAACAGCCAGGAAAATATGACAATACAATCATGTGTCACATAACAACAGAGGAACGTTATGAGAAATGAATCATTAAGCAATTTTATGTATGAATATCATCGAGCATACTTACACAAACCTATATGGTATAGCCTACTACATACCTAGGCTATATGGTATAACTTATCACTCTTAGATTACAAACCTATACAGCATGTTGCTGTACTGAATGTTGTAGGGAATTATAACACAATGACAATTATTTATGTAGCTAGAAATATCTAAACTTAGAAAAGTTACAGTAAAAATATGATATACAAGATTAAAAAAATGATACACCTATATAGGGAACTTACCGTGAATGGAGCTTGCAGGACTGGAAGTTGCTCTAGGTGAGTCAGTGAGTGGTGAGTGAATGTGAAGGCCTAGGACATTACTGTACACTACTGTAGACTTTATCAACATTATACTCTTAGGCTGTACTAAATTTATTTTTTAAATATTTTTTCTTCAATAATAAATTAAACTTAGCTTACTCTAACTTTTTTCCTTTTAAACTTTTTAACTTTTTAACTCTTGTTACAAAATAATGTGTTTGTGCTTAAAATAAGTTTTGTAATAATTACTTTGTAACTAAAGTTATTTCATAAGTAAAATTAATACAAATATAAATAATACAAAATACAAATTAATACAAAATAATAACAGCTGTACAAAAATATTTATAAACCTTATAAGCTTTTATCTATTTTTATTTTTTTTTACTTTTTAAACTTTTTTATTAAAAACTAAGACACAAACACATTAGCCTAGGCCTATACAGGGTCAGGATCAATGTCACTGTCTTCCACCCCCATATCTTGTCCCACTGGAAGGTCTTCAGTGGCAATAACACACACAGCTGTCATCTCCCATGACAACAAATGCCTTCTTCTGGAATAACACCTAAGAAACCTGCCTGAGGCTCTTCTTGTGGAGGTGTCACTCTTTTCAGAAATATGTCTATGGTCACTTAGTAGATTTGCTTCATTTTTTCTCACAGATTTGCTTGTAAGCAGATTACGCACCATTCCTCTCTATTAATGAAAATTTTTTAGTCCCCATGACAGTTTACCTATATAACAAACCTGCACATGTACCTCTGAACCTAAAATAAAAATTATGATAAAGAAGACTGTTTGGTGTTGCCTCCACACTTCCAAGCTTTTAAAGGAACTTGCTAAGGTCTGAAAAAGCTTGTGCTACAAATCCTTCACTGTCCATTTTCTTGGGGGTTCTTCTTTTTCTTCCCCTGCAGCGATATGGTTTGGCTGTATCCCCACCCAAATCTCATCTTGAATTGTAGTTCCCACAATCCCCATGTGTCATGGGAGGGACCAGGTGGAGATAATTGAATCATGGGGGCAGTTTTCCCCATACTGTTGTGATAATGAGTGAGTTTTCATGAGATCTAATGGTTTCATAAGGGGCTTCCTCCTTCGCTCTATTCTCATTCTTCTCTCTCCTGCCCCCTCCTGAATAGGTGCCTTCTGCCATGATTGTAAGTTTCCTGAGGCCTCCCAAGCCATGCAGGACTGTGAGTCAATTAAACCTCTTTCCTTTATAAATTACCTGGTCTTGGGCAGTTCTTTATAGCAGCATGAGAACAGACTAATACATGCAGTTTCCTTTTTTCTTGCCTCTTCTTCAGCTATGCATTCCTGTTTCATTTCCAACAACTCCTTATTAGTCAATTCCTCAAGAACCACCTCTAGGAGCTCCTCAGTGTCATTCTCATCCACACCCAGGTCAAAGCTGTTTGCCATCTCAACCACAAACTTGTTGATTTTTGCAACCTCCTCATCCTTGGCAAATCCTCTGAAGTCATGGAGAAATGCTAAGTGTCTTCTTCCAGATGCCATTCACATACTTCTTGGTGACATCACCCCAAGCCCAACCAAGGTTCTTGATGCAATCATACCTGTGTTGTAATCCTTCCAGAATTGCATCACTGTCATCTCAGTCTCTCCCTCAGGTGTAGCAACAGCCTGGACAAAGGTCTTCCTCAGGTAGCAGTCCTTAAAAGCTGATATAACACCTTGATTCATTGGTTCAATCAAAGAGGTAATGTTTGGAGGGAGAGACACTACCTTGGTATTGGGATGAAGATCACCAATAAAAGGAGGATGTGTGGGAACATTATAAACCATATGCAAAACCTTGAAAGGTATCTTATTCTCCAAATAGTACTTCATTTCACTGGCATAGCAATTCAGGAGTAGCTGGGTCATCTGTGACTTCTTATTGCTCCTGTGGTGTGCTTACTGGTATGCTTGAAGGCCCTGGGGTTCTCACTGTGCCAGATCACAAAGGATTTCAGTTTGTAGCCTGCAGCATTGCCTCTGAGAAAGACTGTTGTCCTGTCCTTAAAAGCCTTGAAACCTGGCATTGACTTGGTCTCCTTCTAGATAAAAGTCTTTTCAGGCATCCATTTCCAAAATAGGGGGTTTTCATCCATATTGACGATTTGCTCTGGCAAGTGATTTTCCTCCATAATCAGCCTTTCTAGAGTTTCCAAAAATTCTTCAGCTGCCTTCACATCAGCATGCACAGACTTGCCACTCACTTTCACAATATGTAATGAATTACGATGCTTGAACTGTTTAAATCACCCAGAGCTAGCAATACTTCAACACTGTAGTTAGGTCCGGCCTTTTCTCTGAACATTGCAAACAAACTTCGTGCTTTGGCCATGATTGTCGTAGTGCTGAGAGGGATACACTTCTGTGCCTGGTCTCCAACCCAGGTCATCAGAAGTTTCTTCATATCTTATAGAGGACCTTCCTGAATTTCTGTTATCTCATTGCCTTCAATGAAGCAAATCCTTTAACAGCTTTCATCACTTTTTTTTTTTTCTGAGAGAGAGTCTCGCTCTGTTGCCCAGGCTGGAGTGCAGTGGCTCAATCTCGGCTCACTGTACCCTTTGCCTCCTGGGTTCAAGTGATTCTCATGCCTCAACCTCCCAAGTAGCTGGGATTACAGGCGCATGCCACCACACCCGGCGAATTTTTGTATTTTTAGTAGAGATGTGGTTTCACCATGTTGACCAGGCTGGTCTCAAAATCCTGGCCTCAAGTGATCCACCCACCTCAGCCTCCCAAAGTGCTGGGATTATAGGCGTGAGCCACCACGCCCAGCTAGCTTTCATCACTTTGTTCCTGTCCTTTCAGATCATAGCTAGGGTCGATGGGGCAGGCATTTCTGGCAAGAAATAACCATCACTGATTTTCCACTTTCATAGTCCTTAATCATTTTTTTAATTTCTTTCTTTTTTTTTTTTTGTAGAGACAGGGTCTCACTATGTTGCCCAGACTGGTCTCGAACTCCTGGTCTGAAGCCATCCTTCCACCTCAGGCTCTTGAAGCACTGGGGTTATAGGAATGAGCCACTGTGCCCTGTCCCTTAATTAATCACTTTTAATTTCATTTCCAGGTCAGTTACTCACTGTGGCCTCCTACTGACAACATTAGCAGGATATCTTGTACGCTTAGGGACCCATAATGAACAAAACAAAATGAGATTAAATCATACACAAGAGAAAACTGTGCAATCAAGAGCTACAATAAAACACAAGATACATGAAGCTGCTGCTGGTGTAACACAGCATACCATTTTACAGTAAATTTTTTTTACAACTAGAAGACGTACACGCTAAAATAACAATAAAAGTATAGTATAGTTATATCTTTATCAAGTATTATATACTGTACATAATTGTATGCACTATACTTTTATATCACTGCCAGCCCAGTAGGTTTACACCAGCATCACCACAAACACCTGAGTAATGCGTTGTGTGGAGACATTATGATGACCACAGTGTTACCAGGTGATAGGAATTTTCCAGCTCCATTATAATTTTATGGGACCACTGTCATATGTGGTCCATAACTGACCAAAACATCATTATGTAGTACATAACTGCAACTTTTTTTAATCTTATAGGAAAGGATTAATGTGACAGAAGAAGAACTGTGAATTATAAGAGAAATAAGAAAACTCTAAAAAGTAAGCCAAATGTAAATCCAAAAATTGAAAAATATAGCAATTGAACTTAAAAATTCACTAGACAGAATAACAGCATATTGGATACTCTGAAAGTATAAGAGAAAACAGGTTGATAGAAATTATTCAAACTGAGCAATAAAGGAAAAAAATGTTTTTAATATGAGCAGAGCATCAATGGGACAACCTAAAGTAGGCTGACATATGTGTCAGACTCTCAGAAGAAGAAGAGTAGAGAGAAAAAATAACTGCAGGAATGATGGCCAAAAATTTTGCAAATTCAATAGAAAAAAATTCAGTCAAGAGATTCAAGCCAGGCACAGTGGCTTATGCCTGTAATACCAGCACTTTGGGAGGCCAAGGAGGGGGGATTACTTGAGGCCAGGAGTTTGAGACCAGCCTGGCAAACATGGCAAAACTCCCTCTCTACAAAAAAAATAGTTGGGTGTGGTGGCACATGCCTGTAATCCCAACTACTCAGGAGGCTAAGGCATGAGAATTGCTTGAACCTGGGAGGCAGAAGTTGCAGTAAGCCGACATCTTGCCACTGCACTCCAGCCTGGATTATAGAGCAAGACTCTGTCTCGAAAAAAAAAAAAAGGAGATTCAAGAAACTCAGAAAGGCCCTCTCCCTCTCCCTCTCCCTGTCCCTCACCCTCTCCCTCTCCCTCCCCCTCTCCCTCTCCCTCTCTCTCCCCACGGTCTCCCTCTCTTTCCACGGTCTCCCTCTCATGCGGAGCCGAAGCTGGACTGTACTGCTGCCATCTCGGCTCACTGCAACCTCCCTGCCTGATTCTCCTGCCTCAGCCTGCCGAGTGCCTGCGATTGCAGGCACGCGCCGCCACGCCTGGTTTTGGTGGAGACGGGGTTTCGCTGTGTTGGCCGGGCCGGTCTCCAGCCCCTAACCGCGAGTGATCCGCCAGCCTCGGCCTCCCGAGGTGCCGGGATTGCAGACGGAGTCTCGTTCACTCAGTGCTCAATGGTGCCCAGGCTGGAGTGCAGTGGCATGATCTCGGCTCACTACAACCTACACCTCCCAGCCGCCTGCCTTGGCCTCCCAAAGTGCCGAGATTGCAGCCTCTGCCCGGCCGCCACCCCGTCTGGGAAGTGAGGAGTGTCTCTGCCTGGCCGCCCATCGTCTGGGATGTGCGGAGCCCCTCTGCCTGGCTGCCCAGTCTGGAAAGTGAGGAGCGTCTCCGCCCGGCCGCCATTCCATCTAGGAAGTGAGGAGCGCCTCTTCCCAGCCGCCATCACATCTAGGAAGTGAGGAGCGCCTCTTCCCAGCCGCCATCACATCTAGGAAGTGAGGAGCGTCTCTGCCTGGCCGCCCATCGTCTGAGATGTGGGGAGCGCCTCTGCCCCGCCGCCCCCTCTGGGATGTGAGGAGCGCCTCTGCCCGGCCGCGACCCCGTCTGGGAGGTGAGGAGCGTCTCTGCCCGGCCGCCCCGTCTGAGAAGTGAGGAGCCCCTCCGCCCGGCAGCTGCCCCGTCTGAGAAGTGAGGAGCCTCTCCGCCTGGCAGCCACCCCATCTGGGAAGTGAGGAGCGTCTCCGCCCGGCAGCCACCCCGTCCGGGAGGGAGGTGGGGGGGGTCAGCCCCCCGCCCGGCCAGCCGCCCCGTCCGGGAGGGAAGTGGGGGGGTCAGCCCCCCGCCCAGCCAGCCGCCCCGTCCGGGAGGGAGGTGGGGGGGTCAGCCCCCCGCCCGGCCAGCCGCCCCGTCCGGGAGGGAGGTGGGGGGGTCAGCCCCCCGCCCGGCCAGCCGCCCCTTCCGGGAGGGAGGTGGGGGGGTCAGCCCCCCGCCCGGCCAGCTGCCCTGTCCGGGAGGGAGGTGGGGGGGTCAGCCCCCCGCCCGGCCAGCCGCCCCGTCCGGGAGGTGAGGGGCGCCTCTGCCCGGCCGCCCCTACTGGGAAGTGAAGAGCCCCTCTGCCCGGCCAGCCGCCCCGTCTGGGAGGTGTGCCCAACAGCTCATTGAGAACGGGCCAGGATGACAATGGCGGCTTTGTGGAATAGAAAGGCGGGAAAGGTGGGCAAAAGATTGAGAAATCGGATGGTTGCCGTGTCTGTGTAGAAAGAAGTAGACATGGGAGACTTTTCATTTTGTTCTGCACTAAGAAAAATTCTTCTGCCTTGGGATCCTGTTGATCTGTGACCTTACCCTCAACCCTGTGCTCTCTGAAACATGTGCTGTGTCCACTCAGGGTTAAATGGATTAAGGGCGGTGCAAGATGTGCTTTGTTAAACAGATGCTTGAAGGCAGCATGCTCGTTAAGAGTCATCACCAATCCCTAATCTCAAGTAATCAGGGACACAAACACTGCGGAAGGCCGCAGGGTCCTCTGCCTAGGAAAACCAGAGACCTTTGTTCACTTGTTTATCTGCTGACCTTCCCTCCACTATTGTCCCATGACCCTGCCAAATCCCTCTCTGTGAGAAACACCCAAGAATTATCAATAAAAAAATAAATTAAAAAAAAAAAAAAAAGAAACTGAAAAAAAAAAAAAAAAAGAAACTCAGAAAGAACCAAAAATATGGTAAATACAAAGAAAACCATGTCTAGGCACATTATAACCAAATTACTGATGACTAAAATAAAAATTATAAACATATCCAGAGAAAAAGACAAATTACATACTGAGGAACAACTTATTCATCAGAAACAATGAAGGCCAAAAAACAATCAAATAGCATATTTTAAATGCTTGGAAAAAAGGGAGGGGTCCACCCCTCCAACACCCGTGGAAAACTTACCCACACATAAAAATTACTTTCTTCATCCATCTGCTCCCAATATAGAAATGTTTTATACTGTCTCATTTATACAAAAGCAGCCCTGAGCTTTTTGTCTAAGTCCCAGTTCTATAAGTGCATTGGCCATGTGCCATTTAACCTCCCTGAACCTAAGCCCTTATCTGTAAATGCAGATGATAATAGCATCTATACTTCACAGGGCTACTGTGAAAATTAAATGAAATTAGAGATGTGTATTAGTCCATTCTCACACTGCTAAAAAAAGGCATACCTGAGACTGGGTAATTTATTAAGGAAAGAGGTTGAATTGACTCATAGCAGCATGGCTGGGGAGGCCTCAGGAAATTTACAATCATGGCAAGAGGGGAAGGAAACACGTCCTTCTTCACATGGTGGCAGAAGAAAGAAGTGCCAAGCAAAAGTGGGAAAAGCCCCATATAAAACCATCAGATCTCATGAGAACTCACTCACTATCATGAGAAGAGCATGGAGGGAACCGCCCCCATGATTCAATTACCTACCCCTGGGTCCCTCCCACAACACATGGGGATTATGGGAACTACAATTCAAGATGAGATTTGGCTGGGGACACAGTCAAACCATATCAAGATGTAAAGTCCTTTAGCACAGGACCAGTCCTAGCCCAATATACAATGGGCTAGAGACCACACAGTGGCAGAGGATGGAGAAGACAGCATGGCCTGTGCCTCCCAAAGACCTTTCCAAGTAGCCAGGCAACCAAGCTGTATGGCCAAGGAGATGGGATATTCTCATACACCATGACCTTGATCACAAGCATCTCTGTGATAGGTGAATGGGACCACATCTGAGCTACCTGGATAGAGAATGAAGGAATGCAAGGTAGTACCCCAGATTAAAACTAGAAGCTGTTACTAAAAAAAAGAATAATGGAGGTGGGAAGGCAAACAAGTGTTCACCCTGGGCTCCAAAGATGGATCACAGTTTTTCCTGCAGGAGCTCATGAATTAGGAAACGAGTTGTTAGACAGGCAGAATACAAAGCACTAGGTATTAGGACAGAGGGATGCACCAGTTATAAAGAGGCTAAAAGGGAGAGGAGAAATGACGGCCAGGAAAAGCTTCCTGGAAAAACTAAAATTAGAAACGAATATTGGGGGACAAGTTGGAGTTCACAAACAAGGAAGAGGAAAAAAAAATTGTCAGGCAATTGAGAAGAGACCTGGAATAGTCGGCAGTAGATTAAGCAGTAGAGAGAAGAAACAGGTCATGCCCGGCCATGCCGGGCCTTGTAAGGCATGCTAAGCAGTGCTAAGGAATTTGACTTTTTCCTCTAATGAGTAGCTTTCAAAGTTTATTTGTGTTTGTTTTTGTTTTTTTACCAAGACCCATAATAATAAAATTATTTAACATGGCCACTTGGACCACACATATATATATACATACATCATAAATACATAGACATATCCCAGCCTGGCCAACATGGTGAAACCCCGTCTCTACTAAAAATACAAAAATTAGCCAGGTGTGGTGGTGGGCACCTGTAATCCCAACTACTTGGGAGGCTGAGCCAGGAGAATTGCTTGAACCTGGGAGGTGGAGCATGCAATGAGCCAAGATCACGCCACTGCACTCCAGCCTCGGCAAGAGAGTGAGACCCTGTCTAAAAATAAATAAATAAATACATAGACATATGTATGTGTAAGTCTCAAATGTAACCACTTTGGAAAATTGTTTGGGAGTTTTCATAGTTATCATACATCTATCTACCCTGTGACCCAGAAAATTTATTCTTGATAGTATTGAGTGGATATGTCCACAAAAGAATTGAGTGGTTATGTCCACAAAAAGACATGTACAAGAAGCCAGGCCCATAGTGGCACATGCCTGTAGTCCCAGCTACTCAGGAGACTAAGGCAAGAGGACCCCCTCAAGCCCTGGAGTTCAAGATTACAGTGAGCTATCATCATGGTACTGTACTCCAGCCTGGGCAACACAGTGAGACACCATCTATAAAAAATAAATAAAAATAAAATTTAAATTTAAAAAGGACATGTACAAGAGCTTTGTTTATAGTAGCCAAAAATTTGAGAAACAGCCCATATGTCCATCAACAGGAGAATTGGATCATTAAATTCTGGTGTGTGTATACAATGAAATACAGCAATGAAAATGGACAAACTACTTCTATCTGCATCATCATGAATGCATCTCATGGACACAATGTTGAGCCAAAGACCCAAACCCCAAAAAGTATACATTCTTAGATTCCATTTACATGGAATTCAAGAACAGGCCAAACTAACTGATGGTTATAGCAGTCAGAATAATAATTGACTAGGAATGGGCATGAGGCCTTTTTGGGGTACCAAATATATTATATATCTTGACTTAAATGAGAGTACGCATATGTAAAAATTCATAAAGCTGTACCCTTAAGACTTGTGCACTTTACTGGATACATGTTACACCCAATACAAAGTTGTTTAAAATCATCACATATTTGACAGCATGTCAAAACTATCCCAAATCACAGTCAAATATGGTGTCTCAAATTCCCACTTAGAATATATACTTAACATTTTTTAAACTCTGAAACAAATGTTTCACAGAGCAATAATTACATGTGATTCAGGCTGGCATTCAGCCTATTAAATAGTTTAAATCCTGGTTACAACTCACTAAATTGATTCTACAGCCCACAAACAGGGTCATAACTCATTATTGAAAAACACAGTTCTAAACACTAGGAAGCCACTGAAAGTTTTTAAGAGGAGGAGAGACACAAACAGGATAGTGTTTTAGAAAGCTCCCTCTTGGGCAGTGTGGAAGATGGATTCAAGGTGAAGTCTGAGCCAGGGGATCTGGTGAGGAGGCCATTAGATTTCGGAAAGGGCCCTAGAGGAGAGGGCCTGGAGCCAGATCCTTCAGGTCATGGGTTTTTACCTGTCCCTTTGGGCCTCTGCATTGGCCTCTCAGTCTTCATCACACCTGGCCCCTGATGTCCCACATGGTGTCATCCCCACTAGTTCTACAGGTGAAGGCATTCGCCACTGGGAGTGGCTGGCTGGGAAGAACTGCGCCTATTACAAGGGTGTGGGGCAGAAACCTTTCCTCCCTGTCTCTTCCCAACAAGCAGCGGTTTCCCAGTGAATACTATTAGAGACATTGGTGTGGGGAAGAGCTAACATGGAAAGAAAGCAACTTGTGTGCCTATTCTTTCCAGGCACTATGAAAGTCACTTTATGTGTGTTATTCAATGCATCCTTACAACAACCTTTTTTTTTTTTTTTTTTTGAGATGGGTCTCACTCTGTCACCCAGGCTGGAATGCAGCAGTGGCGCAATCATGGCTCATTGCAGCCTCGACCTCAGGTGATCCTCCCACCTCAGCCTCTTGAGTAGCTGGGACTCCAGGCACACACCACCGTTCCCAGAGAATTTTTTTGTATTTTTTGTAGAGATGGGGTTTTACCATCTTGCCCAGGCTGGTCTTGAACTCCTGGGCTCAAGCTATCCTCCTGCCTCAGCCTCTTAATAAAAACACCCTTTAGAATAGTGTTATCTCCAAGGATAAAGAAAGTGAGGCTCCGAAAGGGAGCACCACACACACATCCAAGATCCCACAGCTGGTATGTGATAAAGCCAGGCCTAGAATCCAGGTCTGTGGATGCAGTGGCTCACCTCTGAATCCCCACACTTTGGGAGGCTGAGGTGTGAGGGTCACTTGAAGCCAGGCATTTAAGATCAAACTGGTCTACATAGCAAGACCCTGCCTCTATAATTTTTTTTTTTATTTAGCCAAGTGTGGTGGCATGCTGCTGCGGTCCTAAATACTTGGGAGGCTGAGGCAGGAGTATCCCTTGAGCCCAGGAGTTTGAGATTACAGTGATCTATGATTATGCTACTGCACTACAGCCTAGGCAAAAGAGGCTCTGTCTCTTAAAAAAAAAAAAAAAAAAAAAAATTCCCAGTGGCTGGGTATAATCCCAGTGCTACGGAGGGCTGAGACAGGAGGATTGCTTGAGGCCAGGAATTTGAGACCAGCCTGGACAACATAGTGAGACCCAGTATCTACCAAAAATAAAATAAGAGTCTAGGTCTGCCCAACAAAAGAAATCTAAGCTCTTTCTCAACAAGAGGCCTAACAATGTGAGTACATCCTGTCTTGGTTTGGGTTGCTGGCTGGAGAAGAGGGGCCTTGTTCATGCATGTGCCCGGTTTGTGGATGTGCCCATGGGCTCTGTGAAATCTTTCAGGGAGGGTGGAGAAACTTCAACTATGCAGTCTGCTGTCTGAATGGCACTGAGATTTCACACACACTGTTGAAGTGTGGTAACTTATGACTTTTCCCCACTTCTTTAATCCTTTTCTCAGCTAAGCCTAAGTGCAATAAATCTCAAGGCTCCAGCACCCAGCACTGGCAACTTAGGTGGTTGCTCTTTTACCCCATGTCCTTGGCCAGGGATAACAGGTTATGTGATGGACAGCAGGAAGCCTGGAAGCTCAAGGAAAGTGGAGGTCTGGAAGGGCCATATCCCTGGAGACCAGGCCCAGGCTGACCCAACAACCATCCTTATATTTGCACATGAGTGTTACAAATGAGAAGAAGCTGCCAAAATGTCTTGGCTCTGAGCTAAGCACCATGTTTCTTTCTAGTCACCTCCAAGAGAATTCTAGAAGGAGAAGAGGATACTAGTTGGAAGTCCTGAGGTCATTCTAAGCTGGGGCTCTCTGAAGGAGGATGCTGAGAATAATGGGTGTCTCAGCTGAGGTTCGACTTTGTAAACCAAAAATAAAACTCTAAGCCTTTCAACCAACTGAATGCACCCCTCCTTTCTGCCAAGGGCATTCCAAAGTTAACTGAAAAAGTACTTCAGGCCATGATGGGAAGCAGGGGTCAGGTATGTCTTATTATAGCCTCCTCCCTTTGGAATTCAGGCACAGCTGATCAGCATTAACATTAAAACAGAGAAGTTAAGACTGACAAAAAAAGACTTTTCTTTAGCAATAAAACACCAAATTCCAGCCTGAATCTAGTATAGCATAACATGACAGACAGCAGGCCCTGAAAGAAACTAAAGTATTTTACGCCAAAATATATTTATTTGACATTTTTTGAAAAGGCCCTGCAAAGCTATCTCTTGAGGGGAAGATCTACATTCTGTAGAGAAGCCCCTTCCCTTTCCAGGTCGTTTCCCTGATCCAGGAGAAAATTAACCAAGAATCTGACCTTTTTTAGGTCTGGTAAGAGCTCTGAAGCCTACTACCCGGAGGCTTTATCTGCATGATAAAACCTTGGTCTTCACAACCCCTTATCTTAACCCAGACATCTCTTTCTATTGATTCCAGGTCTTTGGATAATTCTTTTTTTTTGTTGTTCTATACTTTAAGTTCTAGGGTACATGTGCACAACGTGCAGGTTTGTTACATATGCATACATGTGCCATGTTGGTGTACTGCACCCATTAACTCATCATTTACATTAGGCATTTCTCCTAATGCTATCCCTCCCCGCTTCCCCAACCCCACAACAGGCCCCGGGGTGTGATGTTCCCTGCCCTGTGTCCAAGTGTTCTCATTGTTCAGTTCCCACCTACGAATGAGAACATGCGGTGTTTGGTTTTCTGTCCTTGAGATAGTTTGCTCAGAATGATGGTTTCCAGTTTCATCCATGTCCCTACAAAGGACATGAACTCATAGTTTTTTATGGCTGCATAATATTCCATGGTGTATATGTGCCACATTTTCTTAATCCAGTCTATCATTGATGTACATTTGGGTTGGTTCTAAGTCTTTGCTATTGTGAATACTGCTGCAATAAACATACGTGGGCATGTATCTTTATAGCAGCATGATTTATAATCCTTTGGGTATATACCCAGTAATGGGATGGCTGGATCAAATGGTATTTCTAGTTCTAGATCCTTGAGGAATCGCCACACTGTCTTCCATAATGGTTGAACTAGTTTACAGTCCCACCAACAGTGTAAAAGTGTTCCTATTTCTCCACATCCTCTCCAGCACCTGTTGTTTCCTGACTTTTTAATGATCACCATTCTAACTGGTGTGAGATGGTATCTCATTGTGGCTTTGATTTGCATTTCTCTGATGGCCAGTGATGATAAGCATTTTTTCATGTGTCTGTTGGCTGCATAAATGTCTTTTCAAAAGCATCTATTCATATCCTTTTCCCACTTTTTGATGCGGTTGTTTGATTTTTTCTTGTAAATTTGTTTAAGTTCTTTGTAGATTCTGGATATCAGCCCTTTGTCAGAGGGGTAGATTGCAAAAATTTTCTCCCATTCTGTAGGTTGCCTGTTCACTCTGATGGTAGTTTCTTTTACTGTGCAGAAGCTCTTTAGTTTAATTAGATCCCATTTGTCTGTTTTGGCTTTTGTTGCCATTGCTTTTGGTGTTTTAGTCATGAAGTCCTTGCCCATGCCTATGTCCTGAATGGTATTGCCTAGGTTTTCTTCTAGGGTGTTTATGGTTTTAGGTCTAATATTTAAGTCTTTAATCCATCTTGAATTAATTTTGTATAAGGTGTAAGGAAGGGATCCAGTTTCAGCTTTCTACATGTGGCTAGCCAGTTTTCCCAGCACCATTTATTAAATAGGGAATCCTTTCCCCATTTCTTGTTTTTGTCAGGTTTGTCAAAGATCAGATAGTTGTAGATGTGTGGTGTTACTTCTGAGGGCTCTGTTCTGTTCCTTGGGTCTATATCTCTGTTTTGGCACCAGTACCATGCTGTTTTGGTTTCTGTAGCCTTGTAGTATGGTTTGAAGTCACGTAGTGTGATGCCTCCAGCTTTGTTCCTTTGGCTTAGGATTGTCTTGGCAATGCAAGCTCTTTTTTGGTTCCATATGAACTTTAAAGTAGTTTTTTCCAGTTTTGTGAAGAAAGTCATTGGTAGCTTGATGGGGATGGCATTGAATCTATAAATTACCTTGGGCAGTATGGCTATTTTCACGATATTGATTCTTCCTATCCATGAGCATGGAATGTTCTTCCATTTGTTTGTGTCCTCTTTTATTTCGTTGAGCAGTGGTTTGTAGTTCTCCTTGAAGAGGTCCTTCACATCCCTTGTAAGTTGGATTCCTAGGTATTTTATTCTCTTTGTAGCAATTGTGAATGGGAGTTCACTCATGATTTGGCTCTCTGCTTGTCTGTTATTGTTGTATAAGAATGCTTGTGATTTTTGCACATTGATTTTGTATCCTGAGACTTTGCTGAAGTTACTTATCAGCTTAAGGAGATTTTGGGCTGAGACGATGGGGTTTTCTAAATATACAATCCTGTTATCTGCAAACAGGGACAATTTGACTTCCTCTTTTCCTAATTGAATACTCTTTATTTCTTTCTCTTGCCTGATGGCCCTGGCCAGAACTTCCAACACTATGTTGAATAGGAGTGGTGAGAGAGGGCATCCCTGTCTTGTGCCAGTTTTCAAAGGGAATGCTTCCAGTTTTTGCCCATTCAGTATGATAGTGGCTGTGAGTTTGTCATAAATAGCTCTTATTATTTTGAGATACGTTCCATCGATATCTAGTTTAGTGAGAGTTTTTAGCATGAAGGGCTGTTGAATTTTGTCGAAGGCCTTTTCTGCATCTGTTGAGATAATCATGTACTTTTTGTCTTTGGTTCTGTTTCTGTGATGGATTACGTGTATTGATTTGCATATGTTGAACCAGCCTTGTATCCCAGGGATGAAGCCAACTTGATCTTGGTGGATAAGCTTTTTGATGTGCTGCTGAATTCGGTTGGCCAGTATTTTATTGAGGATTTTCACATCGATGTTCATCAGGGATATTGGTCTAAAATTCTCTTTTTTTGTTGTGTCTCTGCCACATTTTGGTATTAGGATGATGCTGGCCTCATAAGATGAGTTAGGGAGGATTCCCTCTTTTTCTACTGATCAGAAGAGTTTCAGAAGGAATGGTACCAGCTCCTCTTTGTACCTCTGGTAGAATTCGGCTGTGAATCCGTCTGGTCCTGGACTTTTTTTGGTTGGTAGGCTATTAATTATTGCCTCAATTTCAGAGCCTGTTATTGGTATATTCAGAGATTCAACTTCTTCCTGGTTTAGTCTTGGGAGGGTATATGTGTCCAGGAATTTATCCATTTATTCTACATTTTCTAGTTTACCTGCATATAGATGTTTATACTATTCTCTGATGGTAGTTTGTATTTCTGTGGGATCAGTGGTGATATCCCCTTTTATCATTTTTTATTGCATCTATTTGATTCTTCTCTCTTTTCTTCTTTATTAGTCTTTCTAGTGGTCTATCAATTTTGTTGATCTTTTCAAAAAACCAGCTCCTGGATTCATTGATTTTTTGAAGGGTTTTTTGTGTCTCTGTCTCCTTCAGTTCCGTTCTTAGTTATTTCTTGCCTTCTGCTAGCTTTTCAATTTGTTTGCTCTTGCTTCTCTAGTTATTTTAATTGTGATGTTAGGGTGTCAATTTTAGATCTTTCCTGCTTTCTCTTGTGGGCATTTAGTGCTATAAATTTCCCTCTACACACTGCTTTAAATGTGTCCCAGAGATTCTGGTACATTTTGTCTTTGTTCTCATTGGTTTCAAAGAACATCTTTATTTCTGCCTTCATTTCGTTATTTACCCAGTAGTTATTCAGGAGCAAGTTGTTCAGTTTCCATGTAGTTGTGCGGTTTTGAGTGAGTTTCTTAATCCTGAGTTCTAATTTGATTGCACTGTGGTCTGAGAGACAGTTTGTTGTGATTTCTGTTCTTTTACATTTGCTGAGGAGTGCTTTACTTCCAACTATGTGGTCAATTTTGGAATAAGATGAGTTAGGGAGGATTCCCTCTTTTTCTACTGATTAGAAGAGTTTCAGAAGGAATGATACCAGCTCCTCTTTGTACCTCTGGTAGAATTCGGCTGTGAATCCGTCTTCACGGATTCACAATCTGTGTTGCTGAGATTCACAATGTGTTGCTGAGAAGAATGTATATTCTGTTGATTTGGGGTGGAGAGTTCTGTAGATGTCTATTAGGTCTGCTTGGTGCAGAGCTGAGTTCAAGTCCTGGATATCCTTATTAACCTTCTGTCTCATTGATCTGTCTAATATTGACAATGGGGTGTTAAAGTCTCCCATTATTATTGTGTGGGAGTCTAAGTCTCTTTGTAGGTCTCTAAGGACTTGCTTTATGAATCTAGGTGCTCCTGTATTGGGTGCATATATATTTACGATAGTTAGCTCTTCTTGTTGAATTGATCCCTTTACCATTATGTAATGGCCTTCTTTGTCTCTTTTGATCTTTGTTGGTTTAAAGTCTGTTTTATCAGAGACTAGGATTGCAACCCCTGCTTTTTTTTTTTTTTGCTTTCCATTTGCTAGGTAGATCTTCCTCCATCCCTTTATTTTGAGCCTATGTGTGTCTCTGCACATGAGATGGGTCTCCTGAATATAGCACACTGATGGGTCTTGACTCTTTATCCAATTTGCCAGTCTGCATCTTTTAATTGGGGCATTTAGCCCATTTACATTTAAGGTTAATATTGTTATGTGTGAATTTGATCCTGTCATTATGATGTTAGCTGGTTATTATCCCGTTAGTTGGTGCAGTTTCTTCCTAACATTGATGGTCTTTACAGTTTGGCATGTTTTTGCAGTGGCTGGTACCGGTTGTTCCTTTTCATGTTTAGTGCTTCCTTCAGGAGCTCTCGTAAGGCATGCCTGGTGGTGACAAAATCTCTCAGCATTTGCTTGTCTGTAAAGGATTTTATTTCTCCTTCACTTATGAAGCTTAGTTTGGCTGGATATGAAATTCTTAAAGAAATCCTTTTCTTTAAGAATGTTGAATATTGGTCCCCACTCTCTTCTGGCTTGTAGGGTTTCTGCCAAGAGATCTGCTGTTATTCTGATGGACTTCCCTTTGTGGGTAACCAGACCTTTCTCTCTGGCTGCCCTTAGCATTTTTTCCTTCATTTCAACCTTGTTGAATCTGACAATTATGTGTCTTGGGGTTGCTTTTCTCGAGGAGTATCTTTGTGATGTTCTCTGTATTTCCTGAATTTGAATTTGAATGTTGGCCTGCCTTGCTAGGTTGGGGAAGTTCTCCTGGATAATATCCTGAAGAGTGTTTTCCAGCTTGGTTCCATTCTCCCCATCACTTTCAGTTACACCAATCAAACGTAGATTTGGTCTTTTCACATAGTCTCATATTTCTTGGAGGCTTTGTTCATTTCTTTTCACTCTTTTCTCTCTAAACTTCTCTTCTTGCTTCATTTCTTTAATTTGATCTTCAATCACTGATACCCTTTCTTCCACTTGATCAAATAGGCTACTGAAGCTTGTGCTTGTGTCACGTACTTCTCGTGCCATGGTTTTCAGCTCCATCAGGTCATTTAAGGTCTTCTCTACACTGTTTATCCTAGTTAGCCATTCATCCAATCTTTTTTCAAGGTTTTTAACTTCTTTGTGATGGGTTCGAACATCCTCCTTTAGCTTGGAGAAGTTTATTACCAACTTTCTGAAGCCTACTTCTGTCAACTTGTCAGAGTCATTCTCCGTCCTTCTTTGTTCTGTTGCTGACGAGGAGCTGTAATCCTTTGGAGGAGAAGGATTTTAGACTTTTTATGTCTCTGGCTTTTAGACTTTTCAGCTTTTCTGCTCTAGTTTCTCCCCATCTTTGTGGTTTTATCTACCTTTGGTCTTTGATGATGGTGACCTACAGATGTGATTTTGGTGTGGATGTCCTTTTTGTTGATGGTGATGCTATTCCTGTTTGTTAGTTTTCCTTCTAACAGTCAGGACCCTCAGCTGCAGGTCTGTTGGAGTTTGCTGGAGGTCCACTCCAGACCCTGTTTGCCTAGGTATCACCAGCAGAGGCTGCAGAACAGCAAATATTGCAGAACAGCAAATATTGCTCCCCGATCCTTCCTCTGGAAGCTTCGTCTCAGAGGGGCACCCAGCTGTATGAGGTGTCAGTTGGCCCCTACTGGAAGGTGTCTCCAATTTAGGCTACACGGGGGCCAGGGACCCACTTGAGGAGGCGGTCTGTCCGTTCTCACTGCTCATACACCATGCTGGGAGAACCACTGCTCTCTTCAGAGCTGTCAGACAGGGAGGTTTAATTCTGCAGAAGTTTCTGCAGCCTTTTGTTCAGCTATGCCCTGCCCCCAGAGGTGGAGTCCACAGAGGCAGGCCGGCCTTGTTGAGCTGCGGTGGGCTCCACCCAGTTCGATCTTCCCAGCCTCCACCCAGTTCGATCTTCCCAGCCGCTTTGTTTACCTACTCAAGCCTCAGCAATGGCGGGCGCCCCTCCCCCAGCAAGGTTTGCCACCTCGCAGTTCGATCTCGGACTAGCAGTGAGCTCCGTGGGCGTGGGACCCGCTGAGCCAGGTGTGGGATATAATCTCCTGGTGTGCCATTTGCTAAGACTGATGGAAAAGCACAGTGTTTAGGTGGCAGTGTCCCAATTTTCCTGGTACAGTCCGTCACGGCTTCCCTTAGCTAGGAAAGGGAAATCCCCTGACCCCTTGCACTTCCTGGGTGAGTTGATGCCCCACCCTGCTTTGGCTCACCCTCCATGGGCTGCACCCACTTTCCGACCAGTCCCAGTGAAATGAACCAGGTACCTCAGTTGGAAATGCAGAAATCACCTGTCATCTGTGTGGATCATGCTGGGAGCTGCAGAGCAGAGCTGTTCCTATTCGGCCATCTTGGAACAGACCCCCTAAGAGCTGTCTTTGGATAATAATTCTTTTAACAGATTGCCAATCAGAAAATCATTGAATCCATCTATGACCTGGAAGCCCCTGCCCCGCCCCCACCTTCGAGTTGTCCCACCTTTCCCTACTAAACCAGTGTATCAATGTGCATCTTACATGTATTGACTGATGTCTTATGTCTCCCTAAAATGTATAAAACCAAACTATAGCTTGACTACTCTGGGCACATGTTCTTAGGATCTCCCGGGGCTGTGGCACTCCTATTTGGCTCAGAATAAATCTCTTCAAATATTTTACAGAGTTTGACTCTTCTTGTTGACAACTTCCAGTTCTCTCTCATTCTCTCTCTGTCACTCTCTCTCTCTCTCTCTCTCTCTCTCTCACACACACACACAGACACACACACAACACACACATACATAAGCCAACTCAATCATCGTTATATCTGTACCCTGAGAGGCTAATCCCAGAGGACTGCATGACTTGTGTTCCCTCGCCAGCTGGAAGCCCAGCTTGTTCTCCTGGTGCCCTTGCCTACTCAGGGAGGCTCTAGCCAGCCCCTTGCCTTTAGACAATTCTAGGAAGGAGCAGGCATCTGTCCCATATCACCCCTAAACTCCACAAGATGCTTGTTAACATTCTCCCCAGTAGTTCTCAGGGAGCCCTTCTCTTCACTTAAGGTATGTGTGGGCAGGGGAAAACACATAGTAGTTAAATAAGTTCCTGCTATTAGTCCTCTCTCCAACATCAACCAGGCTCTTTTAGATCCTTAAAGGACCAGGTTTTCTAGGTCCCCATTTAGCATGCTCTGCATAGCTTGTCTAGCACCTCCCTTTGGAAACTGAGGGTTCTTAACACCTTTTGTTCTCAGCTATATGGGTACTTATGAGTACCCATAAACAGAATATTAGAAAATCAAGAATACTATTACCCCTCCCTCACCTTTTTTAATTTTTTCTTTTTTTCCCAGAAATATTCTTACCCACACCTTCCTTGTTTGCTTGCTTTTTTTTTTTCTGCATATCTGAATGTAGTGGATAAATTCTACCTTCCAACACACACACACACCAAATAGCTGAAAACAGAATCTAAGAGGTGTTATCCCTACTAATATCATCTGAGCCTAAAATACTCTGTCACAGGCCCCCTGTGAAGACATTCAGCCTGGGTATGGTGAAATTTTGCAGGCCTGGGGTCCATTTGGCCCCCTTCAGTTGTATTTCTATGCATTCACTTTGTTGTGGGACTGTGGGAGACAGCCTGTCTCCTCAATTCTAAGCTCCCAGGGGCACCTCACAATGAAGTAGTAGTTCCCTGATAATTACAGTAGAATCACTCCAAAAAAGGAGCTTCCAGCCATAATCTGTGTCTGTGTCTCCCCAAGGGTCATCACTGGGTCTGAGCTTGAATCACTGAGTCCTGGCATGATCTCAGCCAATAACCAGGCAAAACTGGCTATCTTCAATGAATGCCTTTCCCTCATCAGCACTAATGGCTCACAATTCACGGAGCCCTTCCCCACACCTGGCCTTATCTCAGTCCTGCATGGAATCTCTGTGAGAGGAATATTCCCAGTCTCTGGGAAAACTGAATATGTTAATTTTAGGCCTATTGAGCTTTTTCATCAACCAAACTGAATACACTGCAAGGACCCCTGATTATTCCTCCATCCCATTTTCCCCCATTGGAAACTTACCTACCTACAGTAACAGCCATTCTCCCCTCCCCATCTCCTGCAACTTTGGGAAATAATCCAAGCCCCACCCCCAACCCCACCCTTCTGCCTTCTCAGGGGAAGTCCTCATTAACCATTTGTTCCTTCCCTCCTCCAGCAGCCCCAATCTCAATCTCTCTCTTCTCAATCTCTCTCCCCACCTCCTCCCTGTCCCCTCTCCCCTTCTATACCCCCACCTCTGGATTTTCCTAGTCACCTAGGATATATCTTTAGAAAGATGCCAAGTTAAACATATGGACATAAACTAGAAGGAAGGAAGAGAAAAGAGGGAAGGAGGGCAGGAGGAGGAAGGAGGAAAGAAAAGGAAAAATAAATAGGGGAGATGGAACTGGCTCTTTCCCCACAAGAAACCAGCCCACTTGCATTTCTTCTGACTTGACATCCCTGCCAGCTATTGCCTTAATCTCTCTTCTTCACAGCCAAGCATTTTTGGGAAAAGGTCTATATTTGTCTCTACTTCCTCACCTCCCATTTATTTCTCAAGTCAGTGCAATCTGGCTTCTGTCCCCTTCTCTCCACTAAAACTGATCTAAGTTCACCAGGGAGCATCTACCTGAAAATTCCAATAGACTAATAGACTGGAAAAAAAAAAAAAAAAAAAAAAAAGCTGCCTTCTTGCCTTCTGCTGGGCATATGGTCCTGAGGATGGCTCACTACACACACCTCAAGAGTGTCCTTTCTCTGGCCTCTGGACTCTCCCTTTGGCAGGCTACGCCCTCCCTCTCCATCTTATTTTCTTACTCCCTCCACTAACCCTTAAACAATGGAGCCACTTCCCAAGCTTCCTTTATTCCTTACTCTATTAACTCCCTTAGGGAAATGACATTCAAATCTACCATCCAACCACCAACCTCAGCTCCCTGCCCAAATGACACCATAACAACAACAATGAATGTTTATTAAGAGATGCCATGTGCCCATGCTATGACAGCTGTCCAACAGCCTTTGAAGCAGATAATTATTCAGATTTCATACATGTGAAAACTGAGACACCGACAACTTCAGGGATTAGCCCAAGGTCACATGACCATGAAGAGGCTGCTCTTAAAGTCCAGACTCATGAACCACTCTGGTTTCTGGCAAGGTGATAAACAAGGGCTGCTGGCTCCTTCCCCTTCATCCAATTCTGGAGAAATCATGAAGGTGCTAGGAAGGTTCACGAATCTGAGGAAATGATGTAAAAACTATGATCATCTCCTGGGCAGCCAGAAGACGGTTGGGTCCCAATGTGGGATGGAAAACAGCTCAGAAAATAAGAGGGCAGGCAGGCACCCACCCAGGAACAGTCTGTAAGAGATTTTAGAGACATTCTTTTCCCTCCCCTGTTTCCATGGTTGAGGGCATGGGGTGGGGAGGAATTGCATGCTTGTCAGGGCTTCGAGAGTAGAGAACAGCAGGTATACACAGAACGCCTGGCTCTGGCCACTCCTCCTCATACCCTTAGCCAAGGAGACAAGGAGATTTCAGCCAAAAAAATGACAGCTCTTAGAAACAGCAGTGTCCAAGGGTAAAGCACAACAAGGCCTCCCAAGGACAGGGAAATAAGAAGGCCTGGGTTCAGGCTGCAAGGCCAGAGATCATCCGAGGCCTACATCCTGCTGCACATACTCACATGCTCAACACTGCCGAACACAAGCCATGGCCTACCCTTCCCCATCCCCGCATGCCCCTGGACACACATTACCAGACAGGTGAGACACCCAGGGGAAGGCTAGTGTGTCTGGGCTCATGAAGTAAAATAACATCTGAGTGGGGGAAACACCATTTAAAAAGTCAAAAGGATTGAAAATAAACAATGGAGACTGGGCCCAGTGGCTCATGCCTGTAATCCCAACAGTTTGGGAAGCTGAGGTGGGAGGATCCCTTGAGCCCAGGAGTTTGAGACCAGCCTGGGCAACATAGCAACACCATCTCTACAAAAAATTTAAACTAAGGCCGGACATGGTGGCTCATGCCTGTAATCCCAGCACTTTGGGAGGCTAAGGCAGGTGGATCACCTGAGGTCAGGAGTTCCAGACCCAGCCTGGCCAATATAGTAAACCCTGTCTCTACTAAAAATACAAAACTTCGCCAGGAGTGGTGGTGGGCACCTGTAATTCCAGCTACTCAGGAGGCTGAGGCACAAGAATCACTTGAACCTGAGAGACAGAGGTTGCAGTGAGCCGAGATTACACCACTGCACTCCAGCCTGGGCGATAGAGAGAGACTCCGTCCCAAAAAATAAAATAAAATAAATTTAAAAAATTAGTTGGGCATAGTGATGCATACCTACAGTCCCAGCTACTCAGTAGACTGAGGTGGGAAGATCACTTGAGCCCGGAAGGTTGAGGCTGCAGTGAGCTGTGATCATGCAACTGCACTCCAGCCTGGATGACAGAGCCAGACCTTGTCTTGGAAAAAAAAGAAAGAAAAAAATTAAAAATTGGTAAAGCACAGCTGATGGGTCACAGTTCAAAATAAGCACAGCAAATATCTTCAAAGACAAAACAGGAGATCACAGTTTATAAAATGTTTCAAGAATAAACACATACTGAAAAACAATGAGCAACAATGGGTCAAAATATATCTGTGGAAAAAAACAGATGAAAAATATAATGGTGTTTTAAAAGGAACTTAATAGATTAAATAGCAGAATGAAGAAATCTAAAGAATGAATTAGTGAGATGGAAGTTTGGGTCAAGAAAATCACCGAAAGAATGTTGGAAATTAAAGGGTATGAAATGTATATTTAAAAAAAGAACTTAAGAAATATGGAAGACAGAAGTAGAAGTGTCAGCATGTAGACAGTAAAAATCCTAGAAGGGAAACAATTGTGGTGAATCACACCTATAATCCCAGTGCTTGGGGAAGCCAAGGTGGGAGGATGGCTCAAGGCCGGGAGCTCAAGACAAGCCTCAGCAACACAGTGAGATCCTGTCTTTAAAAAAAAAAAAATTAAAAAGCCTAGAAGGAGAAAATAACTAAACATAGGTAAGAAAATATTTATTTATTTACTTATTTATTTTGAGGTAGGATCTCACTCTGTTGCCCAGGCTGGAGTGCAGTGGCACAATCACAGCTCATTTGCAGGCTCGAACTCCTGGGCTAAAGCAATCCTCCCATCTCAGTCTCCTGAGTAGCTAGGACTACAGGTGCAAGCTATCATGCCCAGCTAATTTTGTTTATTTTTTGTAAAGATGAGGTGTCACTATGTTGCCCAGGCTGGTCACGAACCCCTGGCCTCAAGCAATCCTCCCTCCTTAGCCTCCCAAAGTGCTGGGATTACAGGTGTGAGCCACCACACCCAGCTGAAAACATTTAAAGAAACAATAACTGAAATTTGTTCCCACGATTAGAAAAAAAATGAAAGACTTTAGATTAAAAGATCTTATAGAGGGATAAGCAGGTAAGAATAAACTCACTCTTAGTCACATTATATTAATATTTCAAAATATCAAAAGCAAAAAGAAAATGTAAACACTTCCAGAGAGAAAGAGCAGATTACCTCTTAAAATCAAACAATGGGATTTTGGAAAAACTTTTATTCAAGTATTATACATATGGAAGGAGCGGGGGGAGAGGGGGAGATGGGAAGATGGGAAGATAGGCAGAGAGGGAGAGGGAGAGAGGGAGAGAGGAAGAGAGGGAGAGAGGGAGACAGGGAAAGAGAGAGAGACAGAGAGAGAGAGAGAGAGAATGAACCCATCATAAAGTACAGCTTGATTTCGCAATGTGAACACATCTGTGTAACTAACCCCCATGTCAAGAAAGAGAACATTACCATCACCTAAAAAGTCCTCCTTGCCCCTTTCCAGTCACCATTTCCCCCCGAAGAAAACCCTATTCTGACTTCTAACTCCGTGAGTTAGTTTTGTTCTGATTTTGAATTTTACATAAATAGAAGCACACTGTCTTTACTCTTTTGTATCAGGCTTCTGTTGCTCAACATTCTGTGTGTGAGATCCACCTATGTGGCAATAGTTCATTGATTCCCATTAATGTATAGCAGTTTCTCAACCTCAGCACTGTTGACATTTGGGGCTAGATAATTCTTTGCTGTAGGTGACTATGCTGTGTATTGCAGGGTATTCAGCCACATTTCCAGCCTCTGCCAACTGAATGCCAGTAGCAATCCTCTCCCTCCCATGTAAGTTGTGATAATGAAAAAATACCTCCAGATACTGCCAAATGTCTCCTGGGAGGTGGAGTGGGGGGGCAAAATCATCAGCAGTTAGAGCCACTGCCATGTAGTATCTGGTCGTATAAATGTATCAAAGTTTATTTATCTGTTCTCTGTTTAGGTTATTTTCAATTTGGGATGATTGTGGGAAATACTATTATGAGAAGAAACAATATTTTCAAAAGTTTTAAAGGAAAATAACATGAAACCCAAAATTTTAATCTACATAACAAGCTTCAATTGTACCACTCAAAGATCCTCCATGAAAATACTGTTGTAGGTAGCATTCTAGCAAGAAGAGAAATAAATCCAGGGGAACACTGCAAGCCACAAAGGAAGCAAAGGTGAGTAAATAACACAGTAAAGTAAAGAACTTCCCCTTCTGGGTAGGCTATTGGACGTTGAAACAGGCCACACTGTCAGTAACAGCAACTATTAAGACCTAAATAAGCTGGACATGGTGGCTCATGCCTGTAACCCTAGCACTTTGGGAGGCCAAGGTGGGAGGATCGCTTTAGGCCAGGGTTCAAGACCAGGCTAAGCAGCATAGTGAGATCCCATCTCTATAAAAGATATATATATATATATATATATATATATATATATATATATATATAATTTAGAAAACAAAAAGACCTAAGTCAATTTTAAAAATCACATTTTAAAGGTGTCAAAGGGTTGTGGAAGCAGTAAGGACTAGATGGACTAAAAATCCCAGAGAAGAGAGAATAGTTCAGAGAATGGTCAAATTGGCAACTGTTATTTTCCCCTGGGTACAGCTACCAAATCTGAGCATGGGCTGAAGACTGGATCAAAGCTTTCCATTAATGCGTAAGGCTTGAGTGACAAAATCAGGAACATGAAGAGCCTCAGACACACCTGATTTTCCTCACTAGACACTCTCTGAATCCTAAGGCTAGGGGTACATGAGGCTAAAGAGCTAAGCTCAAAGTTTTTGGGAGCCAACTAGAACCTAATGCAGATGCTAGGCCATAAAACAAGTTTTGACAAATGTAAAAGGATTGAAATTATACAAAGCATGTTCCCCAACCACAATGGAATTAAATTAGAAATCAGTAACAGAAAGAAGTGTGGGAATTCCTCAAATATTTGGAAAATAACCATGTTTCTAAATAATCTATAGGTCAAATAAGAAATCACAAGACAAATTAGAAACATTTTGAACTGAATAAAAATAACAATATATCAAAATTTATGGGATGCAGCTAAAGCAATGCTTAGAAGTGTGTACCTTTAAATACCTATATCAGAAAAGAAGTCCTCAAATAGGCTAAGCTTCCACTTCTTAATAAACTAGAAACAGACAACCCAATTTAAAAAGGTACAAAAAAATCTCTTTCTAAAACAGGATACCCAAATGCCTAATAAACAGATGAAATGGTATTCAACTTTGCAACTTTCTTTTTTTATTTATTATAAAGACAGGGTCTTGCTATGTTGCCCAGGCTGGTCTTAAACTCCTGGCCTCAAGTGATCCTCCCTTCCAAAGTGCTGGGACTACAGGCATGAGCCACCATGCCCAGCCAGTTTTGGAACTTTCAACCTTATAGGAAAATGCAAACAAAAAACACATGATACAAACTCACCAGAAACAGAATGGTTAGACAAATACCACATGATCTCCTCTATATGTAGAATTCTAAAAAGTCAGACTCATGCAAGTGTAGAGTAGAACAGTGGTTACCAGGGGCTTGGAGGTGGAAGAAATGGGGAGATGTTGGTCAAAGGGTACAAACTTTCAATGATAAGTTGAATAAGTTCTGGGAACCTAATGTACAGCATGGTAACTATAGATAATAGTACTGTATTGTTTACTTGAAATTTGTTGAGAGAGTAGATGTTTAGTGTCCTCATCACACATACACTAAAAAAAAATGGTAACCATGGGTGGTCATGGATATGTTAATTTGATTGTGGTAATCATTTCACAATCTATATACATATCAAATCATTGCATTGTATACCTTGAATATCTGTAATTTTTACTTGTCAATTATATATTGTATACCTTTAATATCTACAATTTTTATTTGCCAATTATACCTTAATAAGGCTGGGGGTGGGGGAAGAATGAGAACAACTCAAATGAAAAGGATGGGGAAATATCACATGTAAGTGTGACTGTGGAGCAACTGGAACTTTTTTTTTTGAGACAGGGTCTTGCTCTATTGCCCAGGCTGGAGTGATTATGGCTCACTGCAGCCTCGACCTCCTGGGCTCAAGGGATCCTCCCACCTCAGCCTCCTGAGTAGATGGGACTACAGGCACAGACCACTACACCCAGCTAGTTTTTTTTTTCTGGTAGAGACAGGGTCTCCCTATGTTGACCAGGCTGGTCTCGAACTCCTGGGATCCAGCAATCCTCCTGCCTTAGCCTCCCAAAATGCTGGGATTACAGGTGTGAGCAACCACATCCAGCCGCAACTGAAACTCTTATGCATTGGAGATGGGGGTGTAAAGTGGCACAACTACTTTGGAAACCTGTTTAGCAGTACTAACCAAAGCTGAACTATGTATACCTCATGAACTAGCAATTCTATTCCTAGTTATATACTCAATAGGAATGCCCACCTATGCTCACCAGAAGCCATGCACTAGAATGTTCATGGTAGCTTTATTCATGATGGCAAACCAACCAGAAACTGGAAAATACACAAACGCTCATCAACAATAAAATGAATTAGTAAATTTAGTGTGTCACATAATAAAACACTATACACAAATACTATACAACAACAAACTACTACTACATACCACCACATAAATGAATCTCACAAACAAAAGGGTGAGCATAAGACAGATACAATAATATACACTGTATGATTCCTTGTATATAAAGTACAAAAACTGGTGAGGCGTATCTATTTTTTTTAGAAGTCAGCAATTGTAGTTTCCTTCATTGAGTATGAGAAGTCACTGGAAGTGGGCATAAGGGTAGCTTCTTGGGTGCTAGTAATGTTCTAGTTTTTTATCATGCTCCTTTAACTGTTGTGTTCTGTTTTGAAAATTCATTAAGCTATACCCTTATTATATGTTTGTTTGTTTTTCCTTTTTGAGAGAGGGTCTTCCTCTGTTGCCCAGGCTAGAGTATAGTGGTACAATCACAGCTCACTGTAACCTTGAACTCCTGAGCTCAAGCTATCCTCCCACCTCAGCCTCCCTAGTAGCTAGGACTATAGGCACATGCCACCATACCTCGCTAATTTTTTTATTTTTTATTGGTAGAGACAGGGTCTCACTATGTTGTCCAGGCTGGTCTCAAACTCCTGGTCTCAAGCAATCCTCCCACCTCAGCCTCCCAAACTGCTGGGATTTCATGCATGAGGCACCATGCCCGGTCTTGCTCATATCTTTATATGTATATTATGTTTCAACTAAAAAGGTTTTAAAATCATGTAGTAAGTGACCGAGACAGGATTCAAACCCAGCCAGTCAGATTTGAGAGCCCAAACCCTAAATCTTACATCTAGAATTAGAATCAGGGTTATACCATTCTCTAACAGTTTAGGAAAAAAAAGTTTTCTCTCTAAAGAAACAGAATCAACAGGATATATGTGTGTGAGAATATGTGCATGTGTGAAGAATGAGAGAGAGATTTTAAGGAACTGGTTCATGCAATCATGTGAGCTAGCAAATCTAAACTGTAGGACAAGCCAGCAGGCTGGAGACCCAGGAAACAACATATGCTGCAGTTCAAGTCCTAAGGCAGTCTGGAGGTGCAATTCCTCCTTCCTCAGGGAACGACCATCATTTTTTCCCTCAAGGCCTTCACCTGATTGGGTGAGGCCCACCCACATTCTAGAAGGTAACCTGCTTGACTCAAAGTCAACTTGTGATATTGTGATACAATAATAAATATATTTTTTGGTCTTCATCCCCTGGCACAGAGCTCCTAAAACTCTGTGAAAGGTTAAAAGACTGTCTTTTGTCATTTATCACAAGTCATTTTCAAACACACTTGAGTTTATGTTAATGAGGTGACTTTTGGAAAGCCCCTAAGGATGGAGGGGGAACTGTTTGCCAAGGGAACCAACCATGTGATTAGAGAGCTGGGAGTTACAGGCCATTTTCTCCACCTCCCCACCTCCAGAAAGAGGGGAGGACCTGGAGATTGAGCTTAATCACCAATGACCAATGACTTAATTAATCATGTCTTCATAAAACCGCTAAACTGGGCATGGTGGTGTGCACCTATAGTCCCACCCACTTGGGAGGCTGAGGCAGGAGGATCGTATGAGCCCAGGAGTTTGAATCCAGCTTTGTGCAACACAATGAAACCCCATCTCAAAATGAAACAAAAAACAAAAACCCTAATTGAGGCTGGGTGCAGTGGCTCATGCCTGTAATCCCAGCTTTTTGGGAGGTCGAGGCGGGTGGATTATTTGAGGTCAGGAATTTGAGACCAGCCTGAACAACATGGTGAAACCCTGTCTCTACTAAAAATATGAAAAAAAATTTGCCAGTTGTGGTGGCGTGCGCCTGTAATCCCAGCTACTCGGAAGGCGGAGGCAGGAGAATCGCTTGAAGCCAGAAGGCAGAGTGAGCCAAGATGGTGTCACTGCACTCCAGCTTGGGCAGCAGAGCAAGACTCAGTTTCAAAAACAAACAAACAAACAAACTCTAATCGAAGAGATTCAGAGAACTTCTGGGTTGGTAAACACATCCACGTGCTGGGAGGGTACCGGGAAGATGGCATGCCCTAACTCCCTGGGTACAAGCTCCTGCACTTGACCCTTCTGGACAGCATCCTATGTACCTCCTCATCTGGCTATTCTATATTCTTGTCACATCTTTTATAACAAATCGGTAAACATTAAGTGTTTCTCTGAGCTCTGTGAGCCTTCACAGCAAATTATCAAAGCTGAGGAGGGGGTTGTGGGGACCCTCAATTTATAGCTAAATCAGACAGAAGTGTGAGTAACTTCGGGACACTTCAGATTGCAATTGGCATCTGAAGTGGGGGGCAGTCTTGTGCTCTTAACCTTAGAGTCTGCACTAACTCTGAATAGTGTTATAATTGAGTTTAGGGTATCCCTTTGATGTCTAAACAGTTGCAGAATTGGTGTAGGAAAAACTCCCATACATCTGGTGTCAGAAGAGTTGAGTATAGTAAAGTTTGTGTTTCCTATATACTACTGATTTAAACGTTAATCTAAAAAATATCTTCAATCTAGTAACTAGCCACTGCATATAAAAAAATAAAAATATAAATATAAAAAATGCCTTCAAAGTGGCATTTAGACTGGTTTTTTATAAAATATCTGGGTACTGTGGCTTAACCAAGTTGACACATAAAATTAACAATTATATTGGTGAGACGGATGCTTTCTGAAAAAAAAAAAATCATTATCATTATAATCCCTAGCAATTCAAAACTAAAAATCTAGACAGTACTATCATAGTTGGGCAAGGGATAGGGAGAGTGGAATGAAGTGGGGCCAAGAGACAGAGAATAGGGAAATGAATGCATGCTAACATATTTGTCTTGTTCAGAAGGAAGATAGTGATGGGCTTGGTGGCTTATACCCGTAATCCCAGCACTTTGGGAGGCCAAGGTAGGAGGATTGCTTGAGCCCAGGAGTTTGAGACCAGCCTGGGCAACATAGCAAAATGCTGTCTCTACAAAAAATAAAATAAAACAAACTGGTTGGGTGTGGTGGTGTGCACCTGTAGTTTCAGCTACTTGGTAGACTGAGGTGGGAGGATTGCTTAAGACCAGGAGTTGGAGGCTGCAGTGAGCTATAATTGCACCACTGCACTCCAGCCTGAGTAACTAACGTAACAAAACTCTGCCTCTGAAGTTAAAAAAAGGAGGAGGAGGAGGAGGAGGAGGAAAAAGAAGAAGAGGAGAAGATAGTAATACTGATAAGTTTTTTAAAAGTTAGACAAGATATGCACACACATTTGTCTTAATTAGTTAAAAATAGGATGATACATTTCAAAACAGAACAAAATTCAATTTAATATAAGGCAGGAAAGGAAAAAATAAAAAATAAAGTTTAGTAAATGTGAAGTAATATAGAAATCAATCCATATATAATATTAATTTTAGTTTCAATCAAAGTAAACTCACTGCTTTGAGACAGACTATTGGATTTTTTTTTTTTTTTTTTGAGACAGCGTCCCACTCTGTCGCCCAGACTGGACTGCAGTGGCACGATCTCGGCTTTTCAGGCTCACGTGATCCTCCCACCTCAGCCTTCCAAGTAGCTAGGACCACAGGCATGTGTCACCACTCTCAGCTAATTTTTGTAGAGACAGGGTTATGCCATGTTGCCCAGGCTGGTCTCAAACTCCTGGGCTCAAGTGATCCTCCTACCCTGGCCTCCCAAAGTGCTGGGATTACAAGTATGAGCCACAATGCTTGGTCTATTTTTTTTTTTTTTTCTAGACAGAGTCTTGCCCTGTTGCCCAGGCTGGAGTGCAGTGGCTCAATCTCGGTTCACTGCAACCTCTGCCTCCTGCGCTCAAGTGATTCTCATGTCTCAGTCTCCTAATCAGCTGAGATTACAGCTGTGCCAAAATGCCTGGCTAATTTTTGTATTTTAAGTAGAGACAGGGTTTCACCATGTTGACCAGGCTGGTCTCAAACTCCTGACCTCAAATGATCCACCCGCCTCAGCCTCCCAAAATGCTAAGATTACAGGCGTGAGCCACTGCAGCCGGCCCAGGCCTGGCCTATTTTTAAAAAGATCTAGTAAGTATGTTTCCTATAAGTGATTGGTAAAATATATGTCTACAAATAGCTAAGTAAATTTGGGGAGAACAAAAGAGAAAGGAAGAGATGCTTACCTTACTAGATGTGAAGGCATATTTTAAAATCACAATAATTAATCCAGTGTGGTGGTGTTTGCCAGGTGAGGTATCAGAGCTCTGGTATCAGAAAATGGTCAACTCACAGGTTGATAAGAAGGATTTACTGACAGCAGTATAGGTTTGAAAAAGGAAAGTTTTATTAGAAAGAAAGAACACTGCAGATGGGGTGCAGGGGGGTGCCTTAGCAAGAGAGAACTAAGCCCACCGTGGTGAATTTTCCTTAGGAGCATTTATGGACTTCAAAGCAGGAGATGAAGAGTAGTTTACCTGATAAATGATTACATTTGTAGACATTCTGATGTCTTAATGTCAGCAAGGGTTGCACAAAGAGTTTTGCCATGCATGTATTCTGAGATGTATAGAAATTCTTGTTACCTGTAAATTTTAAGTTGAAAAGAGGCCTGGAACCAGGTGCTGACTTTAGATAATAGGGAAGTCTAATTACTTCTAAAATTCCTCAAATAAGGAGGTTTTTGGTCTCTAAATGGCCCACCTGATGGCCACCAGGTGGGCTTTGCTCCCTTCATTATACTTCTAAATTCCTCAGATAAGGAGTTTTTGTCTCCATGGCTGCTGTATGGTCACCAGGTGATTTTTGCTGTCCTCAGTGTTAAGAAAGAAACCAATGGAACAAAATTGAGAGCTCAAAAATAGGCCCATGAGAATTTGTTATGTAATAACAAATAAAATGGAAAGATTTTCTTGGAGATTATGTTGGGAAAACCAGTTTACCTAGAAAAATAAGGTTGGATGCTCACAAACCCCTATATGCAATGGTGAATTACAGAAAAATTAAAAACATAAATGGGAAAGGTATGACTATACAATTAATAGAAAATAATATCTGTGTGACCTGTGAGGAAGGACCTGTTAAAACAATAAAAGCACATCTTTTTTTTTTTTTTTTTTTTTTTTTTTTGGAGAGTTAGTAGAATTTATTGGTGAGTATTAAGAGGGGGGCAGCACATTGGAAGCCCTCATGAGTGCAGGGCCCGCCACTTGTCCAGAGGGCCACGATTGGGGATGTACTTGACCCCACAGCCATCTGGGATGAGCCGCTTTTCAGCCACCATGTCTTCAAATTCATCAGCATTGAACTTGGTGAAGCCCCACTTCTTTGAGATGTGGATCTTCTGGCGGCCAGGAAACTTGAACTTGGCCCTGCCCAGGGCCTCAATCACATGCTCCTTGTTCTGCAGCTTGGTGCGGATGGACATGATAACTTGGCCAGTGTGAACCCTGGCCAAAGTGCCCTGGGGCTTTCCAAAGGCACCTCGCATGCCTGTTTGGAGCCTGTCAGCCCCAGCACAGGACAACATCTTGTTGATGCGGATGACGTGGAAGGAGTGGAGCCGCACCCGGATATGGAAGCCATCTTTGCCACAACTTTTTACCATGTACTTATTGGCACAAATTCGGGCAGCCTCCAGGGCTTCAGAGGACAGCTGCTCATATTCATCTGACACCATGTGGCCACAAAGTGGAAACTCATCCACTTTTGCCTTTTTCCGCCCCAGGTCAAAAATGCGAATCTTGGCATCAGGGACACCTCGGCAGAAGCGAGACTTTGGGTACGGCTTGTTCTTACAATACCGGTAACAACAGGCGGGGCGGCGGCCCATGGCAACACCAGGATCTTCAGTGGCACACCGAAGGGAAAGAGCGCATATATCTTTTAGGAAAAAAAAAATCCTACATTTTGACTTCATCAAACTTAGACATTTTACAGGCAAAATGCACAGATGACAAATTAGGAAAAGATACTAGTAGTATTTAAAGTTGATAAGAAGTTACTATCTGAAATACTCCAAAACTTTTGAAATCCCCAAGAAAAGAACTGGAAACCCAACAGAAAAATGATCAAGTGATATACCTAGACAATTTACAAAAGAGGAAACTTGAGTGGCTAATAAGCACAAAAAAAAGAAAGAAAAATAGAAAAAGAAAAAAAAGCCTACACTTACTGCAAACAATGAAATATAAACTAACATTAGATATCTCCATCAGATTAGCAAAAATTTGGAAGTCAGAAAATACCAGTGTTGGCAAGGACAGGGGAAATGCCAACAAATCCTTTTGTATTACTGATGGGAGCGAAAATGAGTAGAACTAAACCCGAAAGCAATCTGGCAGAAGTTCCACACTCATCAATTCTAACATACACGTTTTTGGTGCGCCATGAACTGAGGAGAGGATGGCCTGCAGAAAACCTCATGTTCACTCCTCCAATGTCCTGTAAACCTTCAGTTCCTCATGATCTAAACAGAAGTCATCACCTTGCCCTACCTGCCCACTCCACCCCTACTCTGTTTCTCCTACTGAAGTCCCTACTAGTGATAGTGACAGGAGGCAGACAAATCCGAGGCAGACAAATCCTAGGTAGACAGGGATGGGTCCCCAGTAAAACCCCACCTTCAAACCAAAGACAGTTTAAAGCCTGAAAACCAAGCTGCTGCTTCCGGATGAAGTCTGGACCAGAGTGAGAACTTGCATTCCTATTTACTTGCTCTTTCCCAATTGATTCTTTCTGAATAATGGCTTTGAACCAATAAAATGTTGCCTTTTCTAATGCTACCTACATCCTGCACCTCCCCCATTGTGTGCCTATAAAAACCCCAAACTCAGCCACACTGGGACACAGAGAGACCACCCGACTTTGGGTGGTAGACCATCCTCGTGTCCCCTCTCTGCTGAGAGCTGTTTTGTCACTCCATAAAACTCTTCACCTTGCTTACCCATGGCTGTCAGCATAAGCTCATTCTTCTTGGATGCAGGACAAGAACTCAGGACCCTGCTGAATGCCCATATGAAGAAGGCAGTAACACCATAGCCCATCAGCCACCCCATGCAATGGGAAGTAGTGCTGGGGCTGAACTAGCCTCTGGGCTGCTGGCCAGAGCATGGTGATGAGACTGACAGAGAGCTCTTAATGCACCGCCATCCATCAGGCTGTGGATGGCGGGATTGAAAGAGCTATCATCACACCCCCTCTGGGGCCTCGGGGTCACAGGCACCCCTGTTTGGGACCACCACGTTCCCCTCTTCTGGACACTGGAGTCCACCAAGGGAGTTGCTTGCAACCTGCCTGGTCCAGCCACAGCCCCGCATGGAGCCTGCTCCTGGAGCAGCCAGCCAGACCCCACACTCACTCACTCACACACTTCCTCCCACCATGGGCTGAGCATGCAGTCATTGTGGCCACAAGATCTGCGCCAGAGTAGTCAGGGCCTCTCCTACCGTGGGCCCATACTTCAGCAAGGTTCATGAGGGGCATCGCCAACCGGAAGTTTCCGGCCCACAGAGTGACCAAGAAAAATCCTTCATCACTAGGTTAATGGTATCACCATGTCCCAGTGACCTAAGAAGACAACTTGGGAGTCAGCGTGTAGTGCTCCCACTCCCTCCGGGTCACTCCTCAGTCAGTTACCCATTTGATGGTTCCATCTCAGAAGGGTCATGCATCCCTCCACTTCATTTCATCCCTACTGCCACAGATTTAATGCAAGACCCAATTATTCCTCTTTTCAATGACTCCAGTAGCCTCGATCCTGCATCTTCCCCTTCCCTCCCCTATTCATTCTGCACTCCAGCTGCCAGGGTGATCTTTCTGAAATATAAATGGGTTCACATCACTCCCATGCTTAACAACATTCCAGCAGCTCACCAAAGGTCAAGTCCTTTAAATTGGGTACAACATCTTCACCATCTGGTCCCTGCCTCTCTCTTCAATCTCATTGCTCTGTTCTCCCACATGCAACCTTTGATCCCAAACATTCACTCGTGGCACCATAGTCTACTCTGCCCTGGAAGGTCCAAGGCTGGTCAGTTAAGAGAAAATTAGATTATATAAGTAGTTAGTCAGAGTAGATTAGCATAATAAATATTTACCTTAAGCATTTTTACAACTCTGGGTTTTACATCATTGCAATCTTACCCCAAAACTGCATGAGCAATATAAAAAAACTTCTGTATACCTTTTACCCAGATTCACCTATTGTTTCTATTTAGCCCCATTTGCTTTGCTTTAAAATTCTATTTTTTTATATCATTTATCTCAACTCTTTGAAAATATATTGGAGACATTATTCCCCTTTACCCCTAAATACATCAGGGTGAATTTCCTAAGAACAAGGATTATACATAATCATGTATAATTATCAAAATCAGGATATTTATCATTGATATGATACTATTTGTTATCTACAGCCCATATTCAAATTTTATCAGTTGTCCTAAAAATGTTCTTTAAAACTGTTCAGGATTACATATTACATCTATTTGTTATGCCTCTTTGGTCTCCTTTAATCAGCCCATCGTTGATGTTGTTGTTGAGATAAGGTTTCCCTCTCCCACCAGGCTGGAATGCAGTGACACCATCATAGCTCACTGCAGCCTCGAACTCCTGGGCTCAAGAAATCCTCCCACCTCAGCATCCTGAGTAGCTGGAACTACAGGCACTTGCCACCATGCCCAGCTAATTGTTTTTTCATTTTTGGTAGAGACAGGGATCTCACTATGTTGCCTAGGCTTGTCTCAAACTCCTGGCCTCAAACAATCCTTCCACCTCAGCCTCCCAAAGTGCTGGGATTACAGGTGTGAGCTGCTGCGCCCAGCTCACTGCCCTTCTTGACATTGATATTTTTTAATTGTGCAGGCCAGATATTTTGTAGAATGTCACTCAACTTGTGTTTATCTCATGTGTCCTTGTGACTAGGTTGAAGGTTTGCCTTTTTGGCAGAAGTACCAGTGAAATGATTTAGCGTGGTGCTCAGTGCACCACATCAGGAAGTACATAATGTCAGCTCCACCCAGTATTCATGATGTCAACTTTGATCACTTGCTTAAGGTGGTATCTGCCAGCTTTCTGCACTTTTAGTATTTTAGTACTTTCTCTTTACCTTAAACCACATTAATGTGTATTCACTCACCAATCTTTTCATTCAAGGCCAAGGCTTTTTTTTTTTTCTTTTTTTAGTATAGGTCTGCTAACTGGATCTGCCAGTGTGTTTTCTATAGTGGTGTTGTTTCAGATTTTCAATTTCTGATGACTTAAAGAAGAGCAAGAACTTAAAGCCACCTTCGAAGTAATCTTGAGTGCTGAATTATTCTAGAATTTCTATTTTCTCCATTTTTTACGTAAGCAACTTGGCTTCATCAATTTCTTCCAATGTTTTCAGCTTTGTTTTCATGGTAACAACTCTCTTTTCATACTCATATTAATTGATAGATATAACATTTAACTAATTTATATAATTACTACAACAAATGTGGAAGGTGTGGCCTAATCTAGCAAGGCAATTAAGTAGAAGTCAATTAACACAGCTTTTGCTGTAAATTAAGATTCCCAGAATTGAATGAGTATTCAAATTGAAAAATTCTACCAAGCATCAAGCAAAACAAATTTAAGACTCATCCCAAAGGTTCATCATTGTGAAATATCTCTTTACTGGATAAAGAAACAATCCTAAAAGAACCCAGAGAGCGAAAAAAAAAAAACTCACATATAAAGGAAAGGGAGCCATAATTGCAACCGATTTTTCAACAGGCTTGAAAATTCTTATGAAAAATTATTTTCAATCACGACCTCTCTGCAAAGCCCAGCTATCAATCAAGTGTGAGGGAAGTCCAGCCACCTACTTAGTTATGCAAGATCTCTCAAGCAATCTTTCTTATGGAAGCATGAAGAATGTATAAGGAATGCAGTAACACAGTGGAAGAGAAAATAGAGGGCTAACCCACACATGTGGCAGGTATCAGCTGGCTAGATTCGAGAAAGAAGATGTAGGGAAGCAGAAGAGAGGTCTCTTGGGGGGTGTGGAGAGAGGGGGAAGCATGGAATTGATAATCTGATGTCTTCGAACATTTATAAATCTTCTTGATAGGCATTTGACAAATCTGTGGAAACACTGGGAACAAAAAGCAGTAAGTACCTTGAAAACTGAGCAAATGCCAAAAATCGAAGCACCTCGTTAACGAGAAAGAAAAGCTAATTACAAAAGAAAAAAGAGGGCCAAGTGCGGTCGTTCACACCTGTAATCCTAACAACTCAGGAGGCTGAGGCTAGAGGATCACTTGAGCCCAGAAGTTCAAGGCTGTGGTGAGCTATGATCACACCACTGCAAAAAAGTGTCATAACACACTTATTGACTGAATAAAGGGAATATTTATCTAGTTCGTGTAATGCAATCTCTAGTGACTTAACAAAAATGATGTATACCTAGAATATGAACTTTATGACAGCTGAGATCTTGCCCTATTCCCTTCTATATCCAAGTATTTCAAAGGTCAGTATAGGGCATATTAATTTTTTTCTTTTAATTATAGCATTTGAGTCCAGAATTTTCAATAAAAGGTAACAGAGCTTTTCTTTAAGAGCTCTACTGTGAGAAAACATTAGACATTCTGGGGACATACAGAAAACTAGCTGGTGAGAAGCAGCCCACCATTCTCCCTGGCATTTCATCTATAGGAGAATATGTTGCTCCCACAGATTGTCCCCAACGTCAATTTCCTCTCGTGGCGTCCCAGCCCTGAATATTCACAACTGGGTCACTTTGTACTTATGCTATGCCTGTTAGAATAATTCACTGAACTTGAAGCGATGTCAGTCATCAGGAATGCTGTGAATGTCCTAGTGAAAATTTCTTTTCTAAGGCACACTTGTTCATGGCTTTAGCCTATCTTAACAGACAAGAAAAGCTTCTAAGGTTCTTGGGCCCCAGAGTCTGCATCATTCGGTTCTATAAGTTTTTATTCTCCATACAGCTGTAGATCTCGAATTGCTCACAACGCAGAAGATCCTTTATCCCAATTGTCTTTAACTTTTTGCTTCCTGATTACCGACATCAGAAACAAAAACCACAGAATTTTTAGAAAACGTAAAATAGAAAAACAATCCTTCCTAATAACCAGAGATGACACTCCTAAGCTTTTTCTTTTTCTAAGTGATTTTTTTTCTTCTCACCACTGAGATAGTAATATCTCAATATGACTAAGAAGCCACTGTAGGTGTCTAGTTTATTAACCATACAAAATAAATATTTTCTCACTCATTAAAAAAACTCTTAGGACCTGTAATCCCAGCACTTTGGGAAGCTGAGGCAGGCGGATCACTTGAGGTCAGGAATTCAAGACCAGCCTGGCCAACATGGTGAAACCCCATCTCTACTAAAAATACAAAAATTAGCCAGGCATGGTGGCGGGCACCTGTAATTCCAGCTACTCAGGAGGCTGAGGCAGGAGAATTGCTGGGCAATAGAACGAGACTTTGTCAAAAAAAAAAAAAAAAAGAAAGAAAAAGAAAAACCTCTCAGGAACAGTATGAAAGATTTTCAAAAATTATTCCCTTTAGGGGAGATTTATAGCTGATAGGTAAACACCTTTTTATAAAAGTGGTAACAGATTCCATATTTCTCTAAGAAGCCCTCTCACAGGGCCTTTCCTTGGCTTTTTGACTCTAGGAAAGTGCATGTGATATAGTGGGGTGCTGCTTATGATCTGGGGCTCTGTACTCAGGCCAACTTCCATCCTAATCCCAGCATGCCTCTTACTAGCTAGTGACTTCAGAAGTTTCCTTCTCTGTGACTCACTTTCCTTATCTGTAAAATAGGGATGATTATATCTCCCTCACTGGGTTATTAAGAAGATTAAAAGAAATATGGCATGTCAAGTGGTAGCCCCTTGCCTAGAAAAGAATAAGTGCTCAATGAGTACTAGCTGCCGTCATCTTCCCTCCTTTCATCATCGTCAAAATTAAGGATTAGGAGAAGCAGACATTCCTAAGGATTGGTTACATCTCCTGCTGTTAAGATGGCAGCTCCAAGCCTCTTGTCTGTTTATTTCATCCTGCATATTTCTGTTCCAATTAATACATAGCTTCTTGGAATGCAGGAGGATTGTGCCTTCTAAAGTGAGCATTTAATGAATGCTCTCATTCATTCTGTGCCCTACCTTCCTATCCTTGAGAAACTTAAAAGGCTAATTGACAGCTTTGGCCTCAAGCCACATGTGAGTAAATAGAGGCGTGGGCTAAATATGTAGTTGTAAAATGAGAAGAAGAAAGATAATTGGCATTAATTGAGTGCCAACTGTGAGCTATAACCTGGGCTAGATGTTTTACTCACCAAAATTCTGCAATACAGATGTAAGACTCTTTCTTGGTAGATGAGAACACCTTGGCTCAGAGAAGGGAAGTAAGTTGCCCATAGTCACAGAGCCAGAAAGTAGTAGAGTCAGAAATATAAGCCAGTTCTCTCCGACTTCAAGGTACTGGCTTCTTCCACTCTATCATGCTGCCTCCAGAATCCCCACTGCCCCCAGAAATTCAGATAACACTTCATTATCAATAACAGAATTCTCAGGAGGTAGAGGCAGTATTGCTTGAGCCAGGAGTTTGAGACCAGCCTAGGCCACATAGCAAGACCCTGTCTCATAAAAAATATGGCTGGGTGTAGTGGCTCAGGCCTGCAATCCCAGCACTTTGGGAGGCTGAGGCGGGTGGATCACCTGAGGTCAGGAGTTTGAGACCAGCCTGGCCAACATGGTGAAACCCCATCTCTACTAAAAGTACAAAAATTAGCCAGACTTGGTGGTGAGTGCCTGTAGTCCCAGCTACTCAGGAGGCTGAGGCAGGAGACTAGCTTGAACCCAGGAGATAGAGGTTTCAGTGAGCTGAGATGGCACCATTGCACTCCAGCCTGGGCAACAAGAACAAACTCTGTCTCGATAATAACAAAAATAATAATAATATAGTGTTTACTCAGCAGTCACTAGATGCCTAGCATGATCCCTAAGTATATTTCATGTATTATCTCATTTCATCCTCATTTCAATTCTATGAAGTAGATGTAGCTCTCATCCCCATTTAACAGAAGAGGAAACCAAGGCTCAGAGAAGTTGTCACTTGCCCAGGGTCATGCTGCTGCTAAGAGTCATCACTGCGATTTCAACCCAGGCCTGCAGGAGCAGGCTCTGAACACTATACAGTCTTCCTTCCCTGACATCCCTGCCTGTCCTGCCTACCCAGAACATCTGGTTGAAAAGCATAAAATTGGTGCTTATACCCCAAGTTCTTCAGGTTTCATGTTGATTCTCTAACTCAGTCAATAATTACTGAACATGTAGTGAACATCCCAGGAATCGAGAGAGACAAAAAAGAACACAATCCCTATGGTGTCTGTGATTATCTAACTATAGGATTGATCCCACAGGGCAAACCTGGCTCCACAGCCACATTTGCCGGGCCTCCTCATCGTCCTCATGCCAAAGACCGTCCCAGCATATCAGTGACGTGGCGTCACAATGAATTAAAATGTCTTCAAACCTGAAAGCGTTTTCCAGAGAAATTGGGCCAAAGGCCAAACCTCTTCTTGGAGCTTCTGTACCCTGAGGCTGAGGATCTCCTTTCTCCTATGACAGATTTGAAGAAGAAAGGAACAATACAATCTGTGCTTCTTGGCAGGAGAGGGGGCCAATGACTGCTTGGCATGGGGAGATAGAAAAAGCAGGCTCCCTTACCTCAAGTTGGGGCCATCTCTGTGGCACCATTTGTGCTCCAGAGAGTCACAGGGAAACCAGGCTAAAACCAGATTCCCACTGAGGCCACATTCTGAAAAGCTTAGCTTTTCACCAGCTTTATCTTGTTTCCTTCATTCCCCTTGTTTTTTCAAAAACAAAAAACAAAAAACAAAAAAACCCACTTTAACAAAAATCCCCATCTTAGGCTCTGCTTTCAGGAAAACCAACCCAAGATGAATCAGTACCAGGAGTGACTGAGAAGCAAACTCTGTGGTTAGGTCCTTCTCTGACAAGATGGCAGTAAGCACCCATCATTGGTGGCACTACTGAGAGTGACTGGTGTGCCACAGTGCGTGGGGGGCTAAGACTTTCACTTCTGGTGAACAGGGTCAGGTAACATTGGAAGGGGTACAAGAGCTGATACGGCCTCTCTGGCATTTGAGAGGTCAGAGGCAGGGGTACTGTGAACAAAGAGTGTGGAACTCAGTGGCTTGCTAAGCACTGCTGATTTGTTGAAGAGAAAAAATGATGGACACGTTGGACAACAACTTAAAGCAAAGTCTAAGAGTCAGCAGCCCATTTGGCAGCATTTAAGAGACCCTCATCGCCTGCAGCTAGAGGGTGGGCACAGTTGAAGAACAAGCACAGGACTGCATTATAAGAGTGGCAGGACTTCAACAAATGCCAATTACCAGCAAAGCATGTGTCTTTATACCAAACACAAGGCTCTAATACCAAGAGAGGAGGCCCTGAGCCTAAGAAGGGGCTATTTAAAGGTATAAACATAAGAACTTTGAATCTCCAGGTACTCCTGAACCCTTTGAAACTGCAGAAGTGTCCTTGTAACCCCTGCTGGATGATAGAGCCCCCACCTCCATGCGTCTTACTGGAATACCATGCAGAGGCCTTAAATAGGGCAGGTGCCTTATAAAACAATGCTGACCTCCCTCGGGATTGGCCCCACCTCTTCTCCTAGCCACCAAACTGATAACCCAGGCGAAAAGTGTCTGCCTAGATCAACTCAGGAAATACTGGGCCTGTTATGGAAAGAAAGGGATTGTATATCAGACCTGACCAACGTGTACAAGCCCAAACTTGCAATGGCCGGGTGGGATGGGAGTGACTGTGGAGGATTCTGGGGGATGCCTCAAGGGGGGTGAAGTATTAACTGGGTAAGGTAGAGTTTGTTGATGTGCAGGGGCTCTCTCCAGTGTCACAGGATCTAACACCCTGGCAAGAGCTCAAGGGGATGGTTCAGATGTGCTGCCCAGATGGCTCTTAAAAGATGGAAAAAGTAATGACCCACACTGAACAATGTAGAGATGCCAGAACTACCACTGCAAAGTGGAGGGAAGGATGAAAAGGCTCAGAGAAATGGGCGTGCTAGCATGGGCCTCCTGGATGAGACAGAAAAACCCACCAGCTGACCATGTCCCTGGGAAGGCCAGGAGGGCTCTCCATTGACCAAGGAGATAGGAAATGTGTGGGCAAGGAGCCAACAGTGTCATGAGAAGCTCAATGGTGGTTGTTTTCTACAGGAGATGCTGTTACAGAACTCCAAGAATGGGTTTGCCTTTCCTTCCCGCACTGTTTTAGCCAGTACAACCATCTAAGGGCTCATAGGCTGTCTGATTTACCCACATGGGGTCCTGAATAATATTGCTTAACAAGCAGACTTAAAGCAAAGCAGGTGCTATGGTGGGCCCATGAGGTCCTACTATGTGCCACACCATCCAGAAGCTGCCAGCCTGATGGAGTAATGGAATGGCCATTTGAAGGTGCAACTGAAACACCAGCTTAGAGATTTAAACCGTGTGTGTAAGGGGCATGGCATATACCTTAAAACAGTGGCCATTATATGGTATCATGTCCCCCACAAGTAGGAAATATGGGTCTTCAGACAAAGAATGACACCACTCTCAGGGATTCACTTGGGGAATTTATGCTTTCTGTTTTTGAAATTTTACTCTCTGCAGGTCTAGAAGTCCTGTTTACAAAGTGGGGAAATGTTTCCACCAAGGAGCACAGTAAGAGTCCCACTAAACTTCAAGTTACAGCTGCCTGGTCACTTTGGGTTCCTTGGGCCAGAGACCAGCAGACACTGAAAGGAACTGCCACATTGGCAGAGGTAAATGTCCCTGATGAGAAGGAAGAGGTAGGACTGCTGCTACATCACAGGAGCAGGAAGAAACATGCCTGGCACTCAGGTGCTCCATGGCATCTTGTGTGTGCCCATGCCCTGGTATAGCTGCGAATAGAAACAGCAACCATGGCCTGACGATGGCATGGTAACCAGGAAATCACACCCACCAGGAGAGACGCTCAGACCAGCAGATGTGCCAGTCAGAGGGGTGGGAAACCTAATATAGTGTTGGAGGAAAAAGGTGATGAGTATCTGTGATGCCAGGGGAAACAACTGCAGAAATGAGTGCTGCGATTTCTCCCACTCACCCTTCCCTGTGTTTTCCAGAATTGTGACCAACCAGGGATCCTGTGAAGGCATGGGGAAAATTCACATGAGAAGCAAGTAGATTTGAATTGACACAAGAAGTGGATTATAGTGGTTGCTTTTGGTGCCCAATCCAGATGCCCTTTCCTGGACCTGGGTACTTACTCCCAGCTTCTGTGTTAGCTGATGACACCTGATAACTGCTCCCTTCACTGGAGAATTGCCCTCAGCCAAGTAGGAGCCATCTCTCTAGGGAAGCTGTACCCCACACAGCCTATGAGACCATGGTCAATGACTGCAGGGTCTGGAAGTACCAGAGGCCAGCCCCTTGCCTGGAGTAGGGACTAACACTGTGGTGTATGTTGCACTCAGTTTCCCCATGGGATCAGACTGAAGCTAGTCTTTGGGTGAGACAGCATTCTTGCTAAGCTTTTTCTCCCTGCCCTATCCCCTTCTCTCACCCCAGGGCAGGAGCATCAGACCCATGCAGTCACATAGGGCCAGCTGTTCAGAAGGGCCCCATGCTTCTGAGAAGAAGAAGAAAAAGACACTCTTTTTCCCTCTTTTTTTTGTCTTGAAGGGGTCCCTCATTTTCATTTTGCTCTAGACCTCACAAATTAGGTAGTTGGTCCTGCTCCCTCCCCTCCCCCTGAAATCACTGACCCAGTGCATCACTGGAACATAAGTCCCTGCGTCAGACTCTGCTTCTTAGGGAAGCTTAACTGGGTCCAACTTAATCAGGAAAGAAAAACTAGAATTCTCAAGGACAAAAATCACAAAAGCAGCAAGAACTAGGACACTGGGTCCTGCAGCAAGAGCAGCACCCAGCTGCCCTCACCCCAGCTCCTCTCTGAAACTAGTTGTCAGTTGTCAGGAGTTGTCTCCTCGGTGCTTCCCTGACACCTCTGCCCATCCACTGCATAAACAGGTGTGAAACACCTATAACAGCTGTCATTTACAGAGTAGGGCCCACACATCTGGCAAGTGCTTCCCATACCTTACGGCCAGTGCCCGGGTCCACCCTAAACGTGGGTAACAGGGGATCCATGTTACAGAGAGGACACTCGGCCTCACTGAGGGGAAGTTCCTTGCCCAGGGGCACTCATCTAGCAAATGACAACTCAGGATTAGACTCTCGGGCCTTTACCATACTACCCGGCTTCTTTCTGCCCTATGCTACCACTGAAGCTGGAGGAGAGAACAAGACATGGTCCTTACAAAGGGACCTTGTATTAGTGAAATATTGGCTTATTTACACATATTCCAGGCTTAATGATATTGTCAAACATTTTTGCATTCCACCAGAAACTCCCAAAATAGAAAGGGAGCTCAAAGTCAGTCCAAATGTGCCCCTCCCAGTGTTGTCACACTTCTGGCTACATCAGTCCAGCTCCTCTCAGACAGCTCTAGTAACCTCTCAGACTTGGAAATCCCATCTTTACTCCAGCAATTACTATTGGAAGTAACATCCTTAGAATCTGCTCCTCTTTAACCTCCTCTCCTTGGTCTCTTTTTGTTTGTTTGTTGTTTGTTGTTGTTGTGTTTTTTTTTTTTTTTTTTTGATTGAGTCTTGCTCTGTCACCAGGCTGGAATGCAGTGGTGCGATCTCAGCTCACTGCAACCTCTGCCTCCAGGATTCAAGTGATTCCCTTGCCTCAGTCTCCTGAGTAGCTGGGACTACAGGCACCCGCCACCACACTCAGCTAGTTTTTGTATTTTTAGTAGAGACAGGGTTTTACCATGTTGGCCAGGCCTGTCTTGAACTCCTAACCTCAAGTGATCCCCTCACCTTGGCCTCCCAAAGTGCTGGAATTACAGGCGTGAGCCACCGCGCCCGGCTCCTTGGTCTACTTCTGCCTCCCTAGGAGCACACCTACCCAGACTAGACAGGCTGCCCAGTGACAGCCCCTCTAGACAGGAAATCTCCTCTTCCTCAGGCCTAACACTGCTAGGCACCCTAAGAGTTCCTGCTATGGAATGGCTCTCAGACCTCCTCCCATCCTGGCTGCCTCCTCCACACACTCCACTTTCAGAAAGTCAGATCTATGACTCAGAACTCTTTTGATTCCAAGTGTCATAAACCAAAATCAAACTGACTTAACAAACACAAAAGAATACCACCAACAAAACCCAGAGGAACTGGGTTTACTGGCTCAAGTAACTGAAAACAAGATGGAAGAATTCAAATGGTATTATGAGCATGGGTCTCTCATCTGGTTGGTCTTACTGTTGTCTCATTGGCTCCACTCCAAGATAAGCTCTCTCCAGAGGGTTAAAGCAGGAGAAGCAGCTTTCACCCCCATGGTTTAGCATCCCTGGGGAAAAGAAAGACTAGTAAAAGCATCAAAATTGAGCCTTGTTGGCCCAGCTTTGGCTCACATTGCCATCTTTGAAGCATTGTGGCCAGAGAAACAGGACATGCTGATTGCCAGGCCTGGTCACACACTTATCTGCCTGAGAGTAGGAGAAGGTTGGTTCCCCACCACCCCCCACCCAAAAAAAAATCAAGTTACTATTCCAGGAAGTAAGAATGGATATTGGATAGATGAAACCCACAGTTGCCTTCTATACACCCATAGACAAAACTAGGGTACTCATGACACATACGTAACAAACCTACACATGTACCCCTGAGCTTAAAAGTTAAAGAAAAGAAAGAAAAAAAGGCAGAGTACAATGCAGTCTGACAAGCCCAAAGATGATGAGATTCTAATTTTTTTTTATTTTTTATTTTTTTGGTCCTGGCCAAAAGGAGTTAGTTTCTGTAGCTCCAATGAGAACTGGGTATGACTTGGATATGAGTTCACATCTTTCTTTTTTCCCTCTTCTCACTACTTTCTTACCCAACCTACTAACACTGGTGCAGACTCCCTCCCGTTGAAACAGAAAGCAAAAAGAAAAGAGTCACACACTATGCCAAGGGACCTGGATTCCTCCACCACCCCCACCCCAGAACCTTGGCAGGGCACCAGTCCCAAAGACACTTTCAGGGGAAAGGGAATTGGGGACTGATGGGATTACCTAGAGGTGTTCAGGGGAGCTGATGGAAAAGAAGATGCTTCCAAGTGATCAATTTATGCAACTCACTCTTCCAGATTGGCCTCACTTTATGTAATACAGATGTTTCTGTAAAGTCAGTATTTTTAAAACTCAAATAATAGTTTGAATGCACTGTGAAAATGATAGCATAATAAATGGTAGCTAGTTTTTATTAAGTATCCTCTATTTGCAGGGATATTTTGGAACTCTGTGAACTAGGTATTATTATCCCCATTTCACAGATAAGAACACTGAGTCTCAGAAGCTGCCCAAGGTTCCAAAGACATTAAGTGGTAAAGTAAGGATTTGAAACCAGATCTGTCCACCTCTGAAGCCCCTATTGTGCTTTTTTATTGCACACTCTAAAGTAAAGGAATCCCATAGCAATGATTTTTAATAACATTCTTAATAATCCCTCAAAATATCTATCTTGTACATGCAAGTTTTATATGCAAATTTTGTTATAGTGAAGTGCATCTGTGGATGCAGAATACTGATGGTGAATGAGAATAATCAGTGCCAAATGTCTTCCAATGTTGAGGTCACAGCCATATATGACTTTGTTTCATCCCCTCAAATGTGCTCTGTGCCCTACCATGCCTTCTACTTGCAGTTTAGCGTGCTAGTCAAGAGCATCAGCTCTGAAGTCAGACTGCAAGATCCAGCTCTAATTAGACCTTGAACTAGTGATGAACTTGAAAAAGTGGCTCATCGATTCAGGCCCTTAATCATCCCTTCTATAAATTTAGTACAATAGGACCTCCCTCATAGGATTTTTTTTTTTTTTTTTTGATGACCAAACAAAATAATCTAAGTGAACTCTCAGTACCATACCTGGCACTCAGTAAGTGTTCAATGAATGCTCCCATAATATTATAACCTATGTGAAGGCAGAGAGGATGTCTGCCTTTTTTCACCATTGTAACTCTAGAACCTACAGTAGTGCCTTGCACATTGAAGGCACTTAATGGACACCTGTTCAATGAATAGTTTATTTAGGCTAGCTTGTATAATCCTTAACACGAACCTAAGAGGTAGGGATAGACAATAAGCACAATTTTTTTAAATACAAAATAATTATAGGTAGCACTAGGCAGTAAAAGCAGAGGAGAAAGAGAGTGACAGGAAAACAGGAGAAGATGTACTGTAGATGGCGAAGAGCTAAATCAAGGTAGGGACAAAGTTAGGTGAAGGTCTAACATGGAGTGTTATGAAAGGAATGTTTGTGTCCCCCCAAACTTCATGTGCTGAAGCCCAAACCCCCAGGGTGGCTGTATTTGGAGATGCAGCCTCTAAAAAAAGTAATTAAGGTTAAACAAGGCCACAAGGGTGGGTCCCTGATTCAACAGGACCAGTGTCTGCATAAGCAAAAACACTACAGTGTCCCATCACTTCACCTTCCTCCCACCACAAGCCAAGAGAAGAGGCCTCAGAGTGAATCCTACTCTGTCAGCACCTTGATCCTGGGCCTCCAACCTCCAGAAACTGAGGTATGTTTGGTCATTTAAGCCACCCAGTCTGTGGTATTTTGTTATGGCAACCTGACCAGACTAAGACAGGGTATATTCTAGGAAAAGGGAACATCAAGTGCAAAGGCCCTGAAGGAGCTTGGTGTTCAAGAAATAGCAAGATGGTCAATAAATGAACAAAGGAGAAAGTGGTAAAATAGAGTGTCACAGAACTATGCCAGTCCTACCCCACAGGGTCTGATTGTAGAATAATGCCAAAAAAAAGTCCCAACCTCAGATGAAATCATTACCACCATAATAATCTTTATTTATTTATTTATTTTTTTGAGACAGAGTCTCGCTCTGTCACCCAGGCTGGAGTGCAGTGGCATGATCTCAGCTCACTGCAACCTCTGCCTCCCAGGTTCAAATGATTCTCCTGCCTAAGCCTCCCAAGTATCTGAGATTACAGGCATGCTCCACCACCCCTGGCTCAGTTTTATATTTTCAGAAGAGATGGGGTTTCCCCACGTTGGCCAGGCTGGTCTTGAACTCCTGACCTCAGGTGATCCACCTGCCTCGGCCTCCCAAAGTGCTGGGATTACAGGCGTGAGCCACCGCGCCCCGCCACAATCTTTAACATAAACATTTTTTTCTCAATTTTATATAAAGTGTAAATAAAGGCCTTTTTTTTTTAAGAAAACTAAGATATTTTTATAGTCGTATAACACAATCTATGGGTCAATTATGTGCTTACCAAGCCAACTCAGTTTCTACCAAAATCAGATTGCTATGCCCATGGCCCCCCTGTTGTGAAATTCTGGAGCAGCCTCTGGAAACAGAACCCCTTCCCCCTCTCCCTCAGGCAATAACTAGTGTGTTGCAGCTAAGAGCCACCAAAGCCATGACCCTCAACCCCCAGCTGGGGCCCATGTGAAAGGCACAGGGGAAAGGCTCGGGTTTCTCTGCCCTATCAGATCTGGCCAAGCCTGTTGTTTTTTTATGCCAGGGTGGATCAACAGTCCCAGTCTGCTGAAATCACTGGAGGTAATTAAGAGGGCAGGACTGGGCTTGGCCTCAGAGATGGAAGGACGGAGGAGGCTATACAGATTTTCCTTTCTGCAATGCTAGCACTACAAAATTGGCATTGGTATCTAGTTTCCTCCTCATGTCAGCTTGTTTAGGAGGCAAAAACCTAGGGAAAAGGAATCATATGTGAGGAGAATAAAATCACCTGGTGACCACTGAACAGGCCCCGAGACAAAAACTCCTAACCTGAGGAATTTAAAAGGGAGCAAAGACCACCTGGTGACTATCAAACAGGCCATCCGAAGGCAAAATTCCTTACCTGGGGAAAATTAGAAGTAATTAGACTTCCCTAGTATCTAAAGCAGGCATCGGTTCTAGATTTATTTCCCCGTCGAAAAAACTTATAAGTAAAACTAGAATTTCTATGCATCTCTGGAACGCCATGTCGAAACTCATTGTGCAATCCTTGCTGACATTAAGGCACCAAAATGTCTACAAATGTAATCATTTATCATGACCTATGTGGCTAATATGGTTCAAATTACCCTTAAGCTCCCACTTTAAGGTCCATAAATACCCCTAAGGAAAAATCACTGAGGCGCCTCGCTGCACCCTTCTGCGGCATTCTTTCTTTCTAATAAACCTTCCTTTTTCAAGCGTATACTGTGGTTGGTAAATTCTTTTTACCAACCCGCGAGTTGACTACTTCTCAATGCTGGGGCTCTGACACCTCACCCCGCAATACAAATTGGGAAGTGAAGTGCAAAGGTGGGTGCTGGGGTCTGCAGCTTTAGGCATGAAGGTCTGGCATTTTATCTAAAGCAGTGGTTTGCAACTGGGAGCAATTTTGCCTTCCACCCCAGCAATATGTGGAGACATTTTTGCTTATCATAACTTGTGCTGGGGGGTAGAACTACTAGCACCTGGTGGGTAGAAGCCAAGGATACCGCTAAATGTCCCACGATGCACAGGATAGGCCCTAAAACAAAGAATTACCCTGCCCAAGATGCCATCCCTGATTTAAGAGAACAGGAACAGGAAATAAAACTCAAATATGTAAGGACTTTCCATGTGCCACATGATCTGCACACACACACATGCACACACACATACATATGCGTAATTTAATTTTCATCCCAACTCCACAAAGTGATGCCCATTTCCCAGATGGCAAAATGAAATCCTCAATTCAGTGGGAATTTCACCCAGCTAGTAACTGGCAGAGGAGGCAATTGAATTTGGCTTTGGGTGATTGTCATTAGACTGTAAGCTCCATGAGGACAGGGACCTTGTCCATTTTGTTCACCTCTATGTGTCCAGTGCCTAGCAGAAGTTATTACTTAACTGAAGTTCAGTAAAGACTTTCTTGAATTAATGGGTTAATAAATGAATGTATGACTTAATGGCCCTGAAGTCCATGCTTGTTCATCCCCACCACTCCTTGAGAATAATGAAGATCCTCAAAATGTCCTTCTAGGGCTCCACAGAAGGCAGTATGTTGCATGCCAGGAACAGAAACCTCCTCAGGCTAACTCAGGTCAAAATGGGAGTTTATGGTAGGAATGCAGAGGTATGATAGAAACCAAACACAGCCAGGACTTATGGGGTTACAAAGCCACCAGGAATCAGAGCGCCCTGTGGTCTCTGTCATCGCTGCATCTCAGTTTTCTCTCCTAACAGATGACTTCCTGTGGGTAGCCATCTTACCCATGGCTGAGTATAACAAATGCAACCCTATTTTAACTCTAAAAGTCCACACGGCCTCTCAGCATAGCTCCCCTTATTAATCAGGTTAGTCTGTCAATATCTCAGTTACAAATTCCCAAAGGAAAAACTCAATTAGTTAGCATGGGCTAACCTTCAAGATGACACTTGCCCCAGCCAGACAACTGCAACTTCACAGGCGACCCTGAGTGAGAACTGGTTAAATGAACCTTGCCAAGCCTGAGGACCAGAAGCAATAAAAATCAAATTACTGCTGTTATTTTAAGGAGCTAAGGTTGGGGTGATTTGTTACATGGCAACAGACAACTGGAACCCAATATTAATTGATATTAGAAGTGTGTTGCTACTATAACAGAAACCTAAACATGTAGCATCATCCTTGTGCTTTAGTAGCAGGTAGAAGCTGAGGGGCCTTGATGAATGTTAGTGAAGCCTAATGGGTCTTGCGGACACCTTACAGGGAAGTGAGGGAAATGCTACTGGAAAGAAGGGAAAGAAGACCTTCACAGGTGGTGGAAGGTAGAGGCATTGTTGTCAGTTGTGATGTGGGAAAGCAGGAAATGTACCTAACGAATATGATGATCTAGCCAAGCTGCATATAGTACCAGGCAAATGAGAAAAAGCAGCTTATGAGAGTCAGAGGATGAGAAAGAAAGAAAAAAAAAAGCAGCTTAAAAAATGAAACTGTTTAGATTTCAAGCAAAATTTAGAGGGTATAAAAAAGAGGCTGGGCAACGTGGCTCAAGCCTATAATTCCAGCACTTTGGGAGGTTAAGGTGGACAGATCTCTTGAGCCCAGGAGTTTGAGACCAGACCAGCCTGGGCCACGTGGCTATATCTGGTCTCCACAGAAAATACAAAAAAATTAGCCAGGCGAGGCAGCATGTGTCTATGGTTCCAGCTACTTTGGAGGCTGAGGTGGCAGGACTGTTTGAGCCCAGAAGGCGGAGGTCATGGTGACTCAGGATTGTACCACTACACTCCAGCCTGGGTGACAGAATGAGACCCTGTCTCAAAAAAAAAAAAAAAAAAAAAAAAGCCCAGATTTTTGGGGTTTGAAAATGAAATTGCTTCTCACTCCCAGCCTCTCCAGAGGGCAAACTATTCTCAAATTAAGAAATAGCTTCCCAGCAAAGGGTGGGTACAGCATCTCTTGTTAAGAACACAGAAAGGTTTAACTCAACAACCCTTTCAAACAGACAAAATCCTTCTAAGAAGCTTAAGGGGTGCTTACTGTTTCTCTTTATTAAACAATTGGATTTCTAAGAATATTAAGGGCATTGTCCCACAGCAGCCTCAAAAGGAACCTAAGGCAGAAAGGACTCATATGAGCCAAAAGGATGTGAGGTCACAGCTTTTTTCCCAATGGAGGAAACCCCAGTAAGAATCATAGAAAATTCTCAGTGTTTTAGAAGCTGCTTGGACTAAAAGGGAAGGAGACAGTACAAGGTGAAAAGGGAGCTTTGGATCTCAAAACCTCTATGGGCAGAAAGGAGGCTGAGAAAACCACCCAGGGGGAAAAACCACCCAGGTTACATTTTAGAAAAAGGAAGATTAAATTCAGAAATTGGAACCAAGAGCCCAGAAGGCAAAGCCGTAGAGAATCATTGAGTAGAAATGGACTGTGATCAAGGAACCAGCAACACGTGCCTGACAGGATTTCATAATTGCCACAAACCAGCAACTGCTGTGCACCTCCTGTTTTCTCTCTCTCTTTTTCTTTTTTGTTTTTGTTTTGTTTGTTTGTTTGTTTGTTTCAACCAAAGTTGAAATGAAGGAAAAAGTGTTAAGGGCAGCCAGAGAGAAAGGTCTGGTTACCCACAAAGGGAAGCCCATCAGACTAACAGTGGATCTCTTGGCAGAAACTCTACAAGCCAGAAGAGAGTGGGGGCCAATATTCAACATTCTTAAAGAAAAGGATTTTCAACCCAGAATTTCATATCCAGCTAAGCTAAGCTTTTTAAGTGAAGGAGAAATAAAATCCTTTACAGACAAGCAAATGCTGAGAGATTTTGTCATCACCAGTCATGCCTTACGAGAGCTCTTGAAGGAAGCACTAAACATGGAAAAGAACAACTGGTACCAGCCACTGCAAAAACATGCCAAACTGTAAAGACCATCAATGCTAGGAAGAAACTGCATCAACTAATGGGCAAAATAACCAGCTAACATCATAATGACAGGATCAAATTCACACATAACAATATTAACCTTAAATGTAAATGGGCTAAATGCCCCAATTAAAAGACACAGACTGGCAAATTGGATAAAGAGTCAAGACCCATCAGTGTGCTGTATTCAGGAGACCCATCTCATGTGCAGAGACACACATAGGCTCAAAATAAAGGGATGGAGGAAGATCTACCAAGCAAATGGAAAACAAAAAATAGCAGGGGTTGCAATCTTAGTCTCTGATGAAACAGACTTTAAACCAACAAAGATCAAAAGACACAAAGGCCATTACATAATGGCAAAGGGATCAATTCAACAAGAAGAGCTAACTATCCTAAATACATATGCATCCAATACAGAAGCACCCAGATTCACAAAGCAAGTCCTTAGAGACCTACAAAGAGACTTAGACTCCCACACAATAATAATGGGAGACTTTAACAACCCACTGTCAATGTTAGACAGATCAACGAGACAGAAGGTTAACAAGGATATCCAGCACTTGAACTCAGCTCTGCACCAAGCAGACCTAATAGACATCAACAGAACTCTCCACCCCAAATCAACAAAATATACATTATTCTCAGCACCACACCACACTTACTCCAAAATTAACCACATAGTTGGAAGAAAACCACTCCTCAGCAAATGCAAAAGAACAGAAATCACAACAAACTGTCTCTCAGACCACAGTGCAATCAAATTAGAACTCAGGATTAAGAAACTCACTCAAAACCACACAACTACATGGAAACTGAACAACCTGTTCCTGAATGGCTACTGGGTAAATAATGAAATGAAGGCAGAAATAAAGATGTTCTTTGAAACCAATGAGAACAAAGACAAAATGTACCAGAATCTCTGGGACACATTTAAAGCAGTGTGTAGAGGGAAATTTATAGCACTAAGTGCCCACAAGAGAAAGCAGGAAAGATCTAAAATCGACACCCTAACATCACAATTAAAATAACTAGAGAAGCAAGAGCAAATAAATTCAAAAGCTAGCAGAAGGCAAGAAATAGCTAAGATTAGAGCAGAACTGAAGGAGACAGAGACACAAAAAACCCTTCAAAAAATCAATGAATCCAGGAGCTGGTTTTTTTAAAAAGATCAACAAAATTGATAGACCACTAGCAAGACCAATAAAGAAGAAAAGAGAGAAGAATCAAATAGATGCAATAAAAAATGATAAAGGGGATATCACTACTGATCCCACAGAAATACAAACTACCATCAGAGAATACTATAAACACCTTTACACAAATAAACTAGAAAATCTAGAAGAAATGGATAAATTCCTGGACATATACACCCTCCCAAGACTAAACCAGGAAGAAGTTGAATCTCTGAATAGACCAATAACAGGCTCTGAAATTGAGGCAATAATTAATAGCGTACCAACCAAAAAAAGTCCAGGACCAGACGGATTCACAGCCAAATTCTACCAGAGGTACAAAGAAGAGCTGGTACCATTCCTTCTGAAACTCTTCCAATCAATAGAAAAAGAGGGAATCCTCCCTAACTCATTTTATGAGGCCAGCATCATCCTGATACCAAAGCCTGGCAGAGACAAAACAACAACAAAAAAAAGAATTTTACGCCAATATCCCTGATGAACATCGATGCGAAAATCCTCAATAAAATACTGACAAACCGAATCCAGCAGTGCATCAGAAAGCTTATCCATCACGATCAAGTCAGCTTCATCCCTGGGATGCAAGGCTGGTTCAACACACACAAATCAATAAACATAATCAATCACATAAACAGAACCAAAGTCAAAAACCGCATGATTATCTCAATAGATGCAGAAAAGGCCTTCAACAAAATTCAACAGCCTTTCATGCTAAAAACTTTCAATAAACTAGGTATTCATGGAATGTATCTCAAAATAATAAGAGCTATTTATGACAAACCCACAGCCAATATCATAATGAATGGGCAAAAACTGGAAGCATTCCCTTTGAAAATTGGCACAAGACAGGGATGCCCCCTTTACCACTCCTATTCAACATAATGTTGGAAGTTCTGGCCAGGGCAATCAGGCAAGAGAAAGAAATAAAGGGCATTCAATTAGGAAAAGAGGAAGTCAAATTGTTCCTGTTTGCGGATAACATGATTGTGTATTTAGAAAACCCCATCGTCTCAGCCCAAAATCTCCTTAAGCTGATAAGCAACATCAGCAAAGTCTCAGGATACAAAATCAATGTGCAAAAATCACAAGCATTCCTATACACCAATAACAGGCAACCACAGAGCCAAATCATGACTGAACTCCCATTCACAATTGCTACAAAGAGAATAAAATACCTAGGAATCCAACTTACAAGGGATGTGAAGGACCTCTTCAAGGAGAACTACAAACCACTGCTCAACGAAACAAAAGAGGACACAAACAAATGGAAGAACATTCCATGCTCATGGATAGGAAGAATCAATATCGTGAAAATAGCCATACTGCCCAAGGTAATTTATAGATCCAGTGCCATCCCCATCAAGCTACCAATGACTTTCTTCACAAAACTGGAAAAAAACTACTTTAAAGTTCACATGGAACCAAAAAAGAGCCTGCATTGCCAAGACAATCCTAAGCAAAAAGAACAAAGCTGGAGGCATCACACTACCTGACTTCAAACTATGCTACAAGGCTACAGTAACGAAAACAGCAAGGTACTGGTACCAAAACAGAGATATAGACCAATGGAACAGAACAGAGGCCTCAGAAATAACACCATACATCTACAACCATGTGATCTTTGACAAACCTAACAAAAACAAGAAATGGGGAAAGGATTCCCTATTTAATAAATGGTGCTGGGAAAACTGGCTAGCCATATGTAGAAAGCTGAAACTGGATCCCTTCCTTACACCTTATACAAAAATTAATTCAAGATGGATTAAAGACTTAAATATTAGACCTAAAACCATAAACACCCTAGAAGAAAACTAGGCAATACCATTCAGGACATAGGCATGGGCAAGGACTTCATGACTAAAATACCAAAAGCAATGGCAACAAAAGCCAGAATAGACAAATGGGTTCTAACTAAACTAAAGAGCTTCTGCACAGTAAAAGAAACTACCATCAGAGTGAACAGGCAACCTACAGAATGGGAGAAAATTTTTGCAATCTACCCCTCTGACAAAGGGCTGATATCCAGAATCTACAAAGAACTTAAACAAATTTACAAGAAAAAATCAAACAACCGCATCAAAAAGTGGGAAAAGGATATGAACAGACGCTTCTCAAAAGACATTTACGCAGCCAACAGACACATGAAAAAATGCTCATCATCACTGGCCATCAGAGAAATGCAAATCAAAACCACAATGAGATACCATCTCACACCAGTTAGAATGGCGATCACTAAAAGGTCAGGAAACAACAGGTGCTGGAGAGGATGTGGAGAAATAGGGACACTTTTATACTGTTGGTGGGACTATAAACTAGTTCAACCATTATGGAAGACAGTGTGGCGATTCCTCAAGGATCTAGAACTAGAAATACCATTTGACCCAGCCATCCCATTACTGGGTATATACCCAAAGGATTATAAGTCATGCTGCTATAAAGACACATGCACACATATGTTTACTGCAGCACTATTCACAATAGCAAAGACTTGGAACCAACCCAAATGTCCATCAATGATAGACTGGATTAAGAAAATGTGGCACATATACACCATGGAATACTATACAGCCATAAAAAATGATGAGTTCATGTCCTTTGTAGGGACATGGATGAAGCTGGAAACCATCATTCTGAGCAAACTATCACAAGGACAGAAAACCAAACACCGCATGTTCTCACTCATAGGTGGGAACTCAACAATGAGAACGCTTGGACACAGGGTGGGGAACATCACACACAGGGGCCTGTCATGGGGTAGGGGGAGGGGGGAGGGATAGCATTAGGAGATATACCTAATGTAAATGACGTGTTAATGGGTGCAGCACACCAACATGGCACACGTATACACATGTAACAAACCTGCACGTTGTGCACATGTACCCTAGAACTTAAAGTATAATAAAAATATATACATTCTAAATGTATCTCAAATCATAAAGAATCTATTAGCAGGAATAAAAACATTCTGTGTGACAAGAAAAAAAATCAGAAAATGCATGTAAATCCCTTAGCTCAGTGCCTGCTACATAGTAAGTGCTCAACAAATAGCTGTCTTCATTGTTACTTGGTCATTGATATTGGTTGAGCTGGTGTTGACTGGCATGGCCTCAAATAATGAATAGGACTTCTAGGTAAGAGTACTAAGAATTCTATTAAGCATGCTGGGCAAGTGCCAGTTTGCCTTGTGCAACAGGCTCTGTGGCTGGATAACTCTGGAAGCAGAAATTCCAAACAGAGTCTAGCTATTTGTTTGGTTCCAGATAGAAATCACTCCAGTTCAGCTGCTATTGGAAACTTACTCATCTGCTAACCTTGAGGATCAGTGGCTGTGAAGGTAAACAGGAAAAAAGTAAACAAGGTAAAAGAGACAGACTTCTGTATCATGAGCGAGATCAGCCTTGCTCACAAAGGCTCAACTTCTCTAGAATGGACAGAGAATCTAGCTTGATTTTATATTAGCTAGTCATTTTTGCCAGTTAAATGTTAATTAAAAATTGACTTGCACAAAAACTGAAAGTTTGTGCTGAAGAACATCCATAGCAAAAGGTGGTGAGGCTCCTGCCACAAGGAAGCTTGTTATCTAGTAAATGCTATGAATTCACTCATTCTTACATTTATTCTCTCATTCCACCACCAGAATGCCTTCCCTTAGCTGGTTTCTTTGCCTCCTGTCCCGCCTAAGCTGTTATCTTTACCACAGCCAGAGTAAACTTTCCAAAATACAGTTCTAATCCTGACATTCCCCTGCTTTTAAATCTTTGGTGGGTCCCTTTTCCTTGAACAAAGTCCAAACTCTAACATGGTTCACAAGAAACTTTATGATCGGGCTTGAAACCTCCCAGTGGCTTTGAATTGCTTTTGAAATAGAATCCACACTCTTCCTTGTGTCCTACTAGGGAACTCAGGCAGCTTAAGGAACTTGCTTAAGTGGTAGAGCCCACTCTGACTGATTCCAAAGCCCATGCTCCAAACCAGAGCTGCTCAAAGCAGCTTTACAGTGAACTATTTGTTAATGGTCCAAGCCTAGGGCAGTGACAGCCTGGGTCAAAATGTAAATCAATGCAATGCTACCTTCATGGAGAAAGTCTTACTGTGAAGAAAATACCAGCTGAACTACAAACAGTATGATTAGTGATGCAGTTGACTTACCTCCTGCTCCATATCTTGTTGGAAGCCAAAAGCAGTCTGGGGATCAGCAGCCATCTGTGTACCACACTTTGAATAGCATTGCTCTAACCTGACCCCCACGCTGTACAGTAAGTCCTCACTTAACATTGTCAATAAAATCTTGGAAACGCAACTTCAAGCAAAACGATGTATAAGGAAACCAATTTGGCCATAGGCTAATTGATACTAACAAGAGTTAAATTCCTATGGCATAGTTCTGGTAACAGAATCATCACTAAACTTCTCATAAAGACTGAAAACACTTCTAAAAGTTAAACATTGAAACAAATGTGAGCTATACAGTCATTTAGGAAAGATTAATAAAAAGAGATAAGAGAATTATTTACCCAATTAATCCAGTTCAAGGTCCTGGGTGGCTGGGGCCTATCCTGGCAGCTCAGGGCACAAGGCAGGCACTAGCCCTGGACAGGACGTTATCCCATTGCAGAGCGCACTCACGCACACACCCACATTCACTCACACTGGGACCTTTCAGACACACCAATTAACCTCAGGTGTGCATCTTTGGGATAGTATCCTAGTGAGAGGAAAACAGAGTACCTGGAGAAAATCCATGCAGACTTGGGGAGAATGTGCAGACTCCACACAGACAGTGGCCCCAGCTGGGAAGAGATTTTTTTTTTCTCATCAACATAATGAAACGGCGTTGAAGGAAATGATGTTATTTGAAGACGTGCTGTTTTCTTACTCTTCTTATTCCTTAGCTGAGGTCTTCATATGAGGCACCTGATTTACTCCTGGCCCCTTCTTTCCTGCCTTCTGTGGACTTCTGCACAGGAACTGTCAGATAATCTGTATCATAGATGAAGAAGGGGTTTTAAAAAGTATATCCTACTTTTCAAAGCCAGCAAGAAAACCTTTTTTGGAATTATCCTCAGTTTGGGAATTTTCACAAGGCTCTAAGTTCCAGAAAGCTATTCTTGCTGGCTAGTTGGCTAAGCTTTCAGTAAAAGCCCTGATTTCCACAGCAGAACTGTGCAAACTATTCTTATATGCACTGGCCTCACAGCTAAGGCAGTGGCAGCCTCAAAAATCCTGAGATGCGGAATTCTATGATCCTGTCCTTATGTGCTCTTAGTCCTTCCTTATACTGCTGAGGAGCTCCCTAATCAGTCTTCCTCCATTCTCCATCACCATGGGCTTTCTACTAGCTTTTTCACTTCTAGCCTTACTGAATAGCCCCACCACACACACACACACACACACACACACACACACACGCACACACACACCATGCTAAGATCTTTAGTGGTAGCAGCCGTTAGGAAAGGTTTGCTTATTCATTCTTTTGTTTATTCAAATATTCGGTCGGAACTGTCTCTGTACCAGGAACTGTGTTAAAAGTTAGGAACACAATGGTAAACAATAAAAAAGACAGCCGCGCCCTCTGGGAGCTTTCTGAGCTGAGTGAGGATGTCAGACTAAATGACATCGTGATGAATGATATAAATAAAAGTATTAAAGTTCTATGAGGGCCGGGCACAGTGGCTCACACCTGTAATCCCAGCACTTTGGTAGGCTGAGGCGGGCAAATCAATTGAGGCCAGGAGTTTGAGACCAGCCTGGCCAAGATGGTGAAACCCTGTCTCTATTAAAAATTACAAAATTAGCTGGGTGTGGTGGTGCATGCCTGTAATCCCAGATATTCAGGAGGCTGAGGCACAAGAATCACCTGAACCCGGGGAACGGAAGTTGCAGTGAGCCGAGATAGCACCACAGCTTGGGCGACAGAGCAAGACTGTCTCAAAAATAAATAAATAAATAAATAAATAAATAAATAAATAAATAAATAACTTATCTGAGAAAGTAAAGCAGGCACCTATCTTAGAAAGTAAACTAATCTGTTTGCAGGCAGAAGTGATACTTACATTGAGACTTAAATGTCATCATGAATTTTTGTCTAATAGTCAACATCAAGCCAACTCTTTTGTTCCCAATGCCAAGTACTGAGTTGAACACTTTAGATGCATGAAGTGATTTCATCTTCACAAAGACTCAATGGCAAGGGAGCCATTTTTATCCCCATTTTATAGATGAGAAAACTGAGAAGCAAAATTACCACTCTAAAGTTGCACAACCAATCAGGGATTGGGACCTAATTCTGCCTGATTACAATGCCTAGTTTTTAACCACTCTACTCTAACCTGATGAAAGCCTTGATAAATACACTATTAGGCATCGCAAGTCCAGGAAGAGGGCCACCTGTAATTAGAGCTGCCCCTGATTAAACATCGTGTGAGGAAGTACATGATGGCTCCTAGGCCACACTGTCTAGTCCCACCCTTCTAAAATACCGTGATTCATTCCTACAAGAGGTGCTAGACTGCTTTTGTTGTCATTAATTATGTTTCTAGAAGTTTCTACAAGAATAAGACTTTCCAGGTTGCATCTGAAGGACCTGGGCCAACACCCATCCAATTTAATTATTTGTAAGTCCCCATATGGGGGCAGATCCCCTGCTAGGCTTGGGGACACTGAACAGAATAAGTCACAATGCTAGCCTTCAAACAGCTCATCTGGCAGTGAAAGAGACAGGCAAGTAAACGGATCACTGTATTATTTTGCAGTGAGTGAGAAAACTAGAAGCACATGCAGGGACCAGAAGTAGCATAGAAGAGAGGAAGCTTTTCTGGAGGAGGGGATTTCTAGGTTGGGTTTTAAAGTAGAAAAACGTGTTCAATGAAACTCAAAAAGAGAGTCTTCCACTTGTGAAAGGAGTGAGGACATCAGGCAGCAGCAAGCATTTAGTTTGCTAGAAGCTGCTTTTGTCTGATTGGAACATATAATGAAGGGTGAGTAGAGGCATGAGATGCAGCTAAAGAGATACACAGAGGCCAATCATGACTGGTCTTATACCCTAGGCTCAGGAGCTGGGATTTTTATCTTGAAGACAACATGTCAGGAAGAGACAAGGTCCTAAGCCCTGAAAATGATACATTCTGGTTTGCTATTGAGAAAACTCTCTCTGGCATGGGTAAAGAGGGTGGGTCAGATAAAGGCAGGCAAGAGGCAAGAAGGGTCTTTTTTTTTATTTTTTAGAGACAGAGTCTTGCTATGTTGCCCCATCTGGTCTCGAACTCCTGGCCTCAACTGATCTTCCTGCCTCAGCTACCTCAGCCTCTTGAGTCATTGGGATTACAGGCATGAGCCATCACACCTGCCAGGAAGGGTCTTGTTTGTTTGTTTGTTTGTTTGAGATGGAGTCTGGATCTGTCGCCCAGGCTTGAGTGCAGTGGCGCAATCTCAGCTCACTGCGGCCTCTGCCTCCTGGGTTCAAGCGATTCTCCTGCCTCAGCCACCTGAGTAGCTGGAATTACAGGTGCGTGCCACCATGCCTGGCTAATTTTTGTATTTTTAGTAGAGACAGGGTTTCACCATGTAGGCCAGGCTGGTCTCGAACTCCTGACCTCAAATGATCCACCAGCCTCGGCCTCCCAAAGTGCTGGATTATAGGTATGAGCCACCATGCCCACCAGAAAGGGTCTTTAAGAGTATAAATGAGAGACGCAGAGGCTGGTGCTCAGTTGAGAGCAGTGAGGTTGGACGGAAAGGAAGAGACAGGAAGGTAACAGCAGGAAGACTCGGTGACTGGTTGGATGTGCACTGTGACGGGGCAGGAGGAGTCCAGAATGACTCCTAACTTTCTGTGCTGGGCAAGTGGGTGGTGGATGGAACCACCAGCTGAAACAGGGCCTTTAGGGAAATGAAGAGGGAGTGGGAGAATGATGAAACTGGACTATTGAGGTGGAGGTGCCAGGAGGCAGGGATCGGCAGGCAGAGGAGAACTCCAGGGAGAGGCTCTTCCCTGCTCCCTAGGAAATGCCTGGTAGGATGCATTCCTGGGCAGAGCAGAAGTCTGTGACACCCACACTGGGGGCCTCTGAGATGAAAATCACCAACTGCTGAAACCAGCTGACTCCTATGGCAAGACATGCCTAGCATCCCCAACCTGAGCTGAGGAGTGGCTGGGAGAATCAACCACTTATTTACTCTCCAGGCTTCCCTTCTTAGTAAATGACACAACTACCTGTCTCCTCTGAAGTGCAAGCCCAAACCCTAAAACCTACTACACTTCCTGCCTCCTTTTCCCCATACCCATGCATCTAATCTAATTAATCTTCAACAATCACTCCATCTCAAACAGTCCCGATCATTCTTGGTCCCCTTATCTTGCCGTATCATCTTCATAGCATTTATATGATCTAAAATGATATTATACTGCTGCCTACTGGTTTACTACCTTTGTTGTCTCTGGAGCGTAGGCTCCAGGAGGGCAGGGGCCTTATCCCATTCATCTCCATATCCCTAATCCCTAGAACAGTGCCTGGTGCATTGTCAGAGCTCAATAAACGTGAATTAAATGAAGTTCATTTTTTTGTAAACTTCTTCAAACCTTTTTCAGCTTTACTAATATTCACCCTTCACTAATACCTGACATAAATTCTTAATTTTTTCTTTTTCTCTCTCTCTCTCTTTTTTTTTTTTTTTTTTTTTTTTTTTTTTTTTTAGAAATGGCATCTCACTATGTTGTCCAGGCTGGACTCAAACCCCTGGGCTCAAATGATCCTCCTGCCTTGACCTTCTGAGTAGCTGGGACTACAGGCACATGCCACCACACCCAACTATTAAATGAAATTCTTGATCCAACACTTCTCCCCGTCTCTGCTGCTCCCATAATGATTCAAGTCCCTGTACAATGCCTGGAGTGCTCCGGGAACCCCTCAGACTTGGTGACTGACTCTGTGTGGGTTGAGAAGGATGGGAGTCTCTTAGTCTTTTCATTTCCAAGTCATAACTCCTCTCCCATCCAGTCATTCTCCACAAAGCAGCCAAAATAATCCTCTAAATTCATGGACAAATCACTCCCTGCTTAAAATTTTCAGGTGGCCCTCAAGGGCCAGCAAGCTCAACTCTTTGATTAATCTCCTATCACTTTACACCTCACTCTCTACTCCTCACACATTGCTGCTTCTGTTCCTCAAAAAAAAATCTACCTTCAGGACCAGTCACACCTCTGTCGGGCACACTCTTTCCCAGCAATCTGCATGGGTCCCAGCTTAAATGCCACTTTCTGAGATTATCCTCCTTGGCCCATCCAATCTAGAATAAAGCCTGAACCCCCAACCAATCTTCCACAGCCCCAGCCACTCTTTAGCACATCAACCTGACTATTTCCTTCACATCACTTATTATAGCCTATTCTTGTTTATTGATTTGTTAACTTAATTATTGTTTCTCTCTTTTTCACCTCTCTCCACCCCCAGCAAGTACTCCAGTGCCTGGAAGATAGTTCAAGCTTAATTAGTATTTTTGAATTAAATTGTGCTTCCACTATCATGATAGTGATGATGACGATGCTGCTGCTGCTGCTGATAATGATGATGACAAGGATGATGACTGAGGATGCTAATATTCATGATGTTCTCCCCTAGCTTATTTGAGTTTGTGGATCCAATGACTGACTGAAGTATGTTCTTGACCATTTAATTAGAGACAGAATCCGCTGTTAAAAGCTTCATCTGGGCTTTGAAGGGTGTGTAGGGTGTGAGTGTATGTGTGTGTGTGTGCATGTGTGCATGTGTGCGTGTGTGCGCATGTGTGTGTGTGTGTTTATTCATACCAGGAGACCTATAGTCATCATTAGGTACAACTCACCACCTGTCTCTGTGGATACCCGCTCAGTAAAGGCAAAATGAAGATGTGTCAGGTCTCCTCTATCATTTTGCATGATGGGCTGGATTTATTGTGTTTCATAGACAATAAATATTGAGACAAGAAGACAGTCTCTTGGCCCCTTTAGATGCTTTTCCCAGCTCCTGCATTCACTCTGCCAGGAATGGGTTTTGAGGACATGCTAGAAAAGAGAGAAAATGCAATTAACCAGATGGTGCTAGGAGGAGGGACTGGGGCTGAAAGCCAACGCAGGCTGCAGAAGGAAGAGTGGCCACAAACTAAAACAGGATGACCTGTCAGTTTCAATCACACTGGTGAAAACTTTAGGAAACACATGGCTGAACACATTTCACATTGGTCCTGAAAAGGGAACAGGTTCTTAGTGAACTGAACACACTTCACATTGGTCCTGAAAAGGGAACAGGTTCTTAGTGAAATTCAAAAAGTAGAGATGAAAGAAATCTCTGGGCTGGGCACCATGGCTCATGCCAGGGTGAGCAAAACTCTGTCTCAAAAAAATAAAAATAAAAAAACCAGGCACAGTGGCTCATGCCTGTAATCCCAGCACTTTGGGAAGCCAAGGCAGGCAGATCACCTGAGGTTAGGAGTTTGAGACCAGCCTGGCCAGCAAGGTGAAACCCCGTCGCTACTAAAAATACAAAAATTAGGGAGGCGTGGTGGCAGGCAACTGCAGTCCCAGCTACGCAGGAGGCTGCAGCAGGAGAATCGCTTGAACCTGGGAGGCAGATATTAGGCCGGGCACAGTGGCTTACGCCAGTAATCCCAGTAATCCCAGCACTTTGGGAGGCTGAGGCGGGCGGATCACAAGGTCAGGAGATCGAGACCAGCCTGGCTAACACGGTGAAACCCCACCTCTACTAAGAATACAAAAAATTAGCCAGGCATGGTGGTGGGTGCCTGTAGTCCCAGCTACTGGGGAGGCTGAGGTAGGAGAATGGCGTGAACCCGAGAGGCGGAGCTTGCAGTGAGCACAGATCATGCCACTGCACTCCAGCCTGGGCGACACAGCGAGACTCCGTCTCAAAAAGAGAAAAAAAAAATCTCCAACAGTCATCTCATTTTGCAGATGGGTAATTTGAAGCCCAGAGAGAAAAAGGACTTTCCCAGGGTCACACAGCAATTGTATGGCTGATCTGAGACAGGAATTCTCACTATTCAAAGTTCAGTGATTTTCTGGCATAACAGACCAAAGAGTAGTCTCATCTTTGAACAAACAGCAAATAGATGGTTAACTCTAGTAATATCACAGGTGTATAGCCTAACTTTTAAGCTAAGTCATCCATGTGTACACTCATCTCTATGGCCACAGAAACTAGCAAGAGCCTGTGCCCAAAACTTACCCAAATTTCTGTGGCTTCTAATTTCTAGCTCTTCTTCCTTTCAGACCATGGCCAGACTATCACAAGACATACGTATCAATTCCCCTTTGACTTCCAAGCTGATACTGTCAAAGAGAACCAGAAACAACCAAAAGATATATGTTGTCAGAGAACTTGGTGTGCCCATAAGATTTATAAAAGCAGCAGGTAAATCATATTAGATAGTGAGTATTCTTTGAAGCCATGTCAGATCAGAAATCACGACTCTCATCCAATAAAACTGTGGAAAACAGGACCATTCTAGAATATCTAAGGTTCTGTGTGGGATAGAGTAATAACAGGAAATAAAAGAGGAAGTGCAGGTTAAGTCTACCATTCAGGATTCTAACTTGCCAAGTCATATTCCTGGTAGCTCAGAAAGATGTTTCTATAAAAAACAAAACAAAACAAAACAAATAAAGGCCAGGCAAGGTGGCTCATGCCTGTAACCCCAACACTTTGGGAGGTGAAGGTGGGAGGATGGCTTGAAGCCAAGAGTTTGAGACCAGCCTGGGCAACAAAGTGAGAACCCATCTCTACAAAAAATTAAAAAATAAAAAAATTAGCCGGGTGTTTTGGTCCATGCCTATGGTCCCAGCTACTCGGGAGGCTGAGGCAGGAGGATCCCTTGAGCCCAGGAGTTGGAGACTGCAGTGAGCAATGATCATGCCACTACACTTCAGTTTGGGTGACAGAGTGAGATCTCGCCACTACACTTCAGCTCAGGTGACAGAGTGAGACCTCGTCCCTAAAAAAAAATTTTCTAAACAACAAACATAAAATCTGGAATCAAAATAGTAAATCAAACATAAAATCTAGAATCAAAATCTGGTCTGATTGGTGCCATGTGGTTCCTTATCTTTTACCTAATTAGACCTATGGTCTGATCCCAAATAATGACCTTAGGCAAAATGTCTAAATACAAAAGCTTTCTTCCTTTACTTTACAATAAGAATAACAATCCAAGGCCACGGCAGGTGGATCACTTGAGGTCAGGAGTTCGAGACCAGCCTGGTCAACATGGCAAAACCCCATCTCTGCTAAAAATACAAAAATTAGCCAGGCGTGGTGGCACACGCTGGTAATCCCAGCTACTTGGGAGGCTGAGGCAGGAGAATCACTTGAACCCAGGAGGCAGAGGTTGCAGTGAGCCAGGATCACACCACTGTACTCCAGCCTGGGGTACAGAGTGAGACTCCATCTCAAAAAAAAAAAAAAAGAATAACAATCCAAATAATAAACATAATCATTACTTACTGATCACTACATATATGCCAGATAATATGTTACATACATCATAGTCCATGTTCTGTTGCTTTTTTTTTTTTTTTTTTTGAGATAGAGTCTTGCTCTATTGCCCAGGCTGGAGTGCAGTGGTGCGATCTCAGCTCACTGCAAGCTCCGCCTCCCAGGTTCACGCCATTCTCCTGCCTCAGCCTCCTGAGTAGCTGAGGCTACAGGTGCCCGCCACCATGCCCGGCTAATTTTTTTTGTATTTTTAGTAGAGACGAGGTTTCACCATGTTAGTTAGGATGGTCTCGATCTCCTGACCTCGTGATCCCCCCATCGCGGCCTCCCAAAGTGCTGGGATTACAGGCATGCGCCACTACACCCAGCCTTTTCTGCTGCTTTTAACAGAACACTTGAAACTGGGTATGCTATGTTGCTGGGGCTGGTCTGAAACTTCTGGGTTCCCAAAGTGATGGGATTACAGGCATGAGCCATCATGCCTGGTCTCACCATGTTGCCCAGGCTGGTCTCAAACTCCTGGGCTCAAGCAATCCACCTGTCTTTGACTCTTATGGTGCTAGGATTACAGGTATGAGCCACTGCACCTGGCCTCCGCCTCTTTTAATAAAGGTAAAAGATAAGGAACCACATGGCACCAATCAGACCAGATTTTGATTCTAGATTTTACGTTTGATTTACTATTACTCTTTTAATAAAGCCTCTTTTAATAAATCCATTAACTCCTTAAACCATCAATCCATGAATGAATTAATACACTCATGAGGGGAGAGTCCTCACGATCCATTCACCTCTTAAAAGCCCCACCTCTCAATACTGAATTCAGACCATGTTCGAATACAAACATTCAGACCGCCATGTTACCTTATTCGCATTTTTCACTTAATCCCCATCTCAAACCCGTGAAATGTAGGCATTATTATTTCCAACAAGAATCAGAGAGACGGCCAGGTACAGTGGCTCATGCCTGTAATCCCAAAACTTTGGGAGGCTGAGGCAGAGGATTGCTTGAAGCCAGCCAGCAGGTCAAGACCAACCTGGGCAGCAAAGTGAGACCCCATCTCTACAGAAAATAAAAAACTTAGCTGGACATGGTAACACATGCCTACAGTCCCAGCTACTCAGGAGGCTGAGACTACAGTGTAGCCACCGCCCCACCCACAGATTGCTCTTTGAGGTTACGGTGAGCTTTGCTCATGCCACTGCACTCCAACCTGGGAAACACAGTGGGACCGCATCTTAAAAAAAATTTTTTTTTTAAAGAATTAGAGAGATGAAGTAATTTGCCCATGTTTGTTAACAAGTGATAGAACCAATATTTGAATTTGTGTGAATTCTTCTTTAACTTTTAACATTTTTATTTTATTTTGGAGATGGGTCTCACTATGTCACCTAGCCTGGAGTACAGTTGTTACCAGAAAGGGATCCCGATCCAGATCCCAAGAGAAGGGTCTTGGATCTCTTCCAAGAAAGAATCTGGGGAGAATCCAGAATGTAAAATGAAAGCAAGTTTATTAAGAAAGTAAAGGAATAAAAGAATGGCTACTCCATAGGCAGAGCAGCAGCATGGGCTGCTCAGCTGCTTATACTTATTATTACTTCTTGATGATATGCTAAACAAGGGGTGGATTATTCACGAGTTTTCCAGGAAAGGGGCGGACAATTCCCAGAACTGAGGGTTCCTCCCCTTTACAGACCATATAGGATAACTTCCTGATGTTGCCATGGCTTTTGTAAACTGTCATGGCACTGGTGGGAGTGTCTTTTAGCATGCTAATGCATTATAATCAGCATATAATGAGCAGTGAAGACGACCAGAGGTTCCTTTCATTGCTATCTTGATTTTGGTGGGATTTGGCCAGCTTCTTTACTGCATGCTGTTTTATCAGCAAGGTCTTTGTGACCTGTATCTTGTGCCAACCTCCTATCTCACCCTGCAACTAAGAATGCCTTAAACTCCTGGGAATGCAGCCCAGTAGATCTCCGCCTTATTTCATCCAATCCCTATTCAAGATGGAGTCGCTCTGGTAAATGCCTCTGACACAGTTGCTATTCACAAACTCTATCACATACAGCCTCAAATTCCTGGGCCTCCCACCTTAGTCTCCCAAATAGCCGGGACTGCAGACACACACCACTGCGCCCAGCAAGTTTTTTTAGTTTTTAATCATTGTATTTCAAAAAGTAGTTGGGAGGATTAAATTTAAATTTTAAAAGTAAGGCACTTTGCAAAGTGTCAGCCCTTGGTATGTACTCAATAAATGGTAGCTTGTGTCCTCTCCTGTCCTTCTTCACATCCCTTGGCTTATCATCTGCAAGAAGGGGCAGTAAGGCTCTTTGGTAAGCGGGTTTCTTTGACTGGAATGCCCAATCCTCTACTGCCAACCCTCTATCCATCTATTGTAAAAACTACAGAATTCCTGGCCATCTAACTGGGCAACAAAAGTGAAGGCCAAGAGAAGATACCCAATGCCATCTTCTCCCATTCCAGCTGGAGGACTAAGACTCTAGGAGGCAAGGGGAAAGGGTGTCCTGGCTTTACTGTGAGAACTGGAGCAACTAAATTTTCTTCTCTGGGAGTCAGTTTTCCCTTTAGAAGGAGAGAGCTGGGCTGGAGGGCCCCAGGGGAATATGGATCGGTGGCAAAAAGAATGCTCAGCAAGCAATTTAACTCCTCAGACCGTGCCCCATCTTCAAAATGAGTGACAATAAAATGAATAATTGCACGTGGTCCACAAGGCCCCTGAATTTAAGTAAATCACACAAAGTGCTTAGCAGAGTCCCATGAACATAACGCGTTCCATAGATGTTACCTCTATTCCTGCTATTGTCATCATTCCGACCCTAACATTCAAGGTGTCTCTATTAAGCAAAAGGATTCCTTTGTGAATAATTTTAATCCGCCAATGTACTCAAGGGTCTATCTTAAGCACAGCTCTAGAGCCCTGATTGTAGCGCTTTCCATGGCCTGACGACCAGCTTTCCTGTCTCAAGGGGAAATCTGAGAATGGCCGAACAGCCATGACAGTCCTCTCGAAGAGTTCATTCCCCCTTCTCTCCGCGACCTGCTGAGGTCTGAGCCCGACTTCCCCAGCACGCCCATCTCAGTCACCATTGGTCGCCTCCTCGCTGGCGTGACTAAGACCCAGCCCTCTTCTCGCTGGGACCACTCTGAGGCGATCTGCGGAAGCTGAGGGGCCTCGGAGGAGGGGCCGCGATGCATCTCGGGCTTTGTAGTCCACCTGCACAACTACAGCCAGAGAGCGGGGCCTCACGAACCGGAGAACTACAATCCCCAGCAGCCGGGCGGAAGCGGAGCGAGGGGGGGCTCGCGTCACGTGGGCGTTCGGCCTGGGCGGGCTATTTCTCAGTGCGGCGGCGGCGGCGGTGGCGGCGGCTCCGGGGACCGGGGCCTTTTGTTTGGAGCGGCTGCGGGGGGGCCCCGGAGCGGCGAGGCCGGCGGCCTTCCCCAGCTTGCTCGGTCCCGGCCACCCCTCGCGGGGGTGGGGGGCCGCCCCCTGGGCCGGGCATCTCCTCAGGCGCCGCCGCCCCGCCCTAGGCCGGCCCCGCCCGGCCTGAGGGGAGGAACCGGCCGGGCCTCGCCGCGCGGCCCAGCCACCTCCGGAGTCGCCGCCTCTGCTCTCAGTGCCCCGGATCGGAGGCCGTCCATCGCCCCTCGGGCCGACGCCATGAAGATCAAAGATGCCAAGAAACCCTGTAAGACGGGGGCTGGGGCCCGCCAGGTTGGGAGGGCACCCTTGGGCCCCGTCTGAAAGCCCCTTGGCTGGGCGGTCGGCTTCCAAGCCCGTCGCTCCTCGCCGGCGCTTCGTCCGGTATGGGGGCGGAGGGACCATTTGAGCCACGAGTTCGAGGCTTCCGTCCTCCCCATCCCCCTATTCATGCATGGTGAATGCCTGCCGCCCCCTAGCCTTTCCTCCCACTTTCTCTTCGAGATCTGGGAGGTGCCAGAGGGAATTTCTGATTCTGATTTTTGTCAAACCAGACTAGTCTCCTCTCCCAGCTCCCCCTGAATTCAGGTTGAAAAGAGGCGGTCGCGGCTGTCAGGTTGCGCTGGCGGCTTTTAGCACCTGTTTTTAGGGATTTCCGGGCTTCCTGCTTGTGTCCTTGAAATGCCGGTGGGTTCCTGGGAGTTGTCACTGTTGTTACAGTTGGAGCTTTCAAACGTACGTGCATGCAGTCTGCCAGTGTGTAATTGCTTTGGCTTGTTTTTGTTTAGAATATCAACTAGTTCATGTTTGTTTTAGAAAACGCAGATAAACAAGAAAGATAAAGTCACCCGTATTCCCCGCACCCGGAGCGAACCGCTATTAATATTATGGTGAATACCCGTAGATATTTTTCTATGCATGTACTTAAATTCTGACTATGCTTTTAGAAAGGTCGACTTTCATTTGCTTCCTTTTATGTTTAGTCTTTTAAAAACCTTTTATTCCAGTAATTGACTTATTTAATCACCCAGCCATTGTGATTGTCACTCTTTTTAAGTATAGCCTCCCAGAAGGACTAGGAACGTGGGGATTCATGCTCATCTTAGAGTCGTATTGATACTTTTGCTGTTTTTACAGTGTTTCATGTGATCTCTTTAACTGTTAAGAAATCCACAACTATAAAACAGGGCGCTGACACCTTCCCTGCCCGCCTATCGGGGTTCCTGTAAAACTCACCTGAGAGGCAACAAGCCAAAACCCTGTGAAAACTACAAATTCCTATATAACTGTAAGGTAATTTGGTCTTAACTTCACAGGTGAGGAAATTGAACTTAGCCCCAGAGTAACTTTTCCAAGCATGTACCAACCATGTGCTATGTGGTTCATAACTCTAAGGGGACTGACTCATAATACAGTGTTCTTTCTCTTGCACCCATAGAGCATTGTCTAAGTACTTTATCTGGTAGTTTCATCTGTTAATTAAAATTTTTAAAAAATTATTTATAACTGAATAGATCCTGTCATAGTTGTTCAAGAAATCTATAAAATAGTGATGTGAAGGCTTAAATGAAAAGTAATATAGAGAGACTTTAAATTTTCATTTGCTGAATTAAACTAATGCATCTTGAACAGGTGCAGTAATTAGAACACTTGGACATTTTCCCTCACGCATACGTTTTCTCTGCTTCTCTTAGAATTTCCATTTGGTGAACAGTGTATGACCAACTCAAATTCTGACTCTTGTGGTGGTGATTATTTTCTTTTGTCATGATAGTGATTTGATTACTTAGATTTGAACAAACTAATAATCAGGTATGAGTACTACCTCCTTCAAAGGTGTTTTAGGAGAGATTATAAAGATTATTATGAGAAGTTTATAAAATAGGGCTAGGCACGGTGGGTCACACCTGAAATCCCAGCACTTTGAGAGGCCGAGGCGGGAGAATCGCTGGAGGCCAGGAGTTCGAGACCAACCTGGGCACCATAGTGAGACCTCATCTCTACAAATAAATAAATAAAAAGATTAGCCGGGCATGGTGGCACACGCCTGTAGTCCCAGCCAAAGACTTAAAAATACACATTAGGTTGAGAAATTAGAGAATACCCCCTGTTTTTCCCCAAATAAGTTGATTATTACAACATTGTGGTATGTTGTGAGACCATTAATCTTAAAATTGAATCATGCTGAAAATCTGGTCAGTTACTATGGTGTAGAAGCCTAACATTTTTATATGTAAAAGGTAACTTTACTGTCTGTTGTTTGTAGTAAAAGTAAGGAACATGACGTTTTGTGTGTGGGAAAGAAGGTATTTCAACCATGAACTGTCCCAGATAATAAAAAATAAGGCTGGACACGGTGGTTTACACCTGTAATCCCAGCACTTTGGGAGGCTGAGTGGGGCAGATCACGAGGTCAGGAGTTCGAGACCAGCCTGACCAACATGGTGAAACCCCATCTCTACTAAAAATAGGAAAATTAGCCGAGCATGGTGGCACGCGCCTGTAGTCCAAGCTGTTCGGGAGGCTTGAGGCAGGAGAATTGCTGGAACCCAGGAGGCGGAGGTTACAGGGAGCCGAGATCACGCCACTGCACTCCAGCCTGGGCAACAGAGCAACACTCCGTCTCAAATAATAATAATAATAATAATATTAATATTATTTTAACTTTAAATCACTCAGGTTAACAAAAGATATATTTGTTTTGTTTTTGAATACCTGTATGGGGTTTTTTTTGGCATAATTAAAACATTTATTGATCACATAGTGTGTGTATGGCATTTTCTTTATGTGCATTGCATCATTTAACTGCATACTAGAAGAAGCTGTATATTATATTGGCTAAACAAGTGACCTTGGCTTCACATTATTTACCTAAGTGTTAGAAAATATTTCTTCTAAATACATTACCAATATCTTAACAGGTTATAAACCCGAATGCATATATTAACCAGAAGATTTAAAAAGGAATTAGTTTCATCCTCTAAATTGTGTAACTGGAAGATTAGCATTTGAAATTATGTGTTAATTCAACGCCAGGGGAAGGAAGGAGAAAGTCAATCCTGTGTTACTCTCTTCCCTGCCTGCCATGATTTCTTAGGGTACAGATTTTTAAGATTGTGTTTGGGTTACCTGTATAGCATGTAACTGGATTAACAAGGTGATAGTAAAAGGTGATACATGTATTTAAGTGTGGTGTGATGTAGGTTTTGAGTTTGTGCTTTATTAACCCAAGTAGTAAGGTACTTGAAATTTTTGTTAAGACCAGAGAAAATGGTATAGCATATATTTGTAGTTTGTGTCTGTGTAATTTGATTGGCCTGTTGTAAACTCAGTTGTAATATGAGTCATCACTCCCAGTAGATAGTTGGGGTAGTAGTTTCTAATATAGCTCCCCTTAGAAATAACTAATTTACTAAAGAAAAAACCACTTACCTGAAGCTGTCCTAAGGAATCAGTACTGAGGGTCTGAAGATGATTATTTTCTTAAGTCTATTTCAGAACAAAACCCATTTTTGTTTGGAATGATTATTGAGAATAGTGAAATGTCTTATCCAGGAAGTTGAAGCGTTATCTAGAATATACCAGCATACATGCTAACTTTATAATTTTGTTCTTTTAAAATACCCTATGTTTCGAGCGTTTTTCATGTTGGTTTCCCTTTATGCCTAAAGAACAATTAAGTACTGATTTAGTTTAGTATCTCCCCCCTCCCCTATTTCTTTTTATTTTTTTTCTTTTGAGACGCGATCTCACACTGTCACCCAGGCTGGAGTGCAGTGGCACGATCTCAGCTCACTGCAACCTTGGCATGCCAGGCTCAAGCAATCCTCCCCCCTCAGCCTCCCCAGTAGCTAGAACTACAGGTGCTTGCCACTATGCCCAGCTAATTTTTTTGTTTTTGGCAGAGATGGGGTTTTGCCATGTTGCCCTTGCCAGGCTGGTCTTGAACTCCTTAGCTTAAGTGACCCTCCCGCTGGGATTACAGGCATGAGCCATGTTCCTGGCCAGGATCCCTTTAGTCTGAAATCTGCATGGTACCAGTAGCAATTAAATAGTTATGTTAGTGTTCTCTGCTTCCTTAGCAAACACTTAGTAGGATACTGAGTTTATCACACCTTGTTAGAAATTAACAGTCTGCTCTTGTGGCTAGATAGCTTCTGCTGTTTAGTATCTTAAAAGGTGATTGGACAAGAAGATTTCTCCTTTTGCATATATAATGCGTCTGGTAAGACATAGCACTTCATCCTTGTAGTAGTTTGAGATATTTTTGCTACATATGGGGAACTAATGTCAACTCTCATAAGACCACTTGAGACATAGAATAAGAGCTATTATTTTGTTAAAGGCATAATGAACAGGTCATGAGAGATTCTAATAATTCTCACAGTCTGGGACTGTATATTGACCATCATCAAAGTGCTTATATTTGTGTAATGTGTGTTTTGTTTTGCTTTTTAAATGTGTATTTTGGTTCTTTTTTTTCACCTTAGCAAGGAATGTTTTATTCTGAAAAAAAAAATGTTAAGGTTATATGCCGTAAGTAGGCTGCTTGTGCACTGATGACCTACTTTTCAAGGGTCTCTTGGCTAGAAGCAACAAAGCTATAAATATGTAGATACTTGCTTGATTTCCTAGGAAACTGGTATTTTTCTCTTTTTTTTTGAGATGGAGTCTCGCTTTTGTCGCCCAGGCTGGAGTGCAGTGGTATGATGTCAGCTCACTGCAACCTCTGCCTCCTGGGTTCAAGCAATTCTCCTGCCTTAGCCTCCCAAGTAGCTGGGATTACAGGCACACGCCACCAAGCCTGGCTAATTTTTGTATTTCTGGTAGAGACGAGGTTTCACCATGTTGCCCAGGCTTGTCCGAACTCCCGACCTCAGGTGATCCACCCACCTCGGCCTCCCATAGTGCTAGGATTACAGATGTGAGCTACCGCACCAGGCCAGGAAACGGGTGTTTTTCTTACCTCATGGAACTATTAGGTGGACCTGTGGTTGTACTTAATGTCTGTATATTTACTCATATTTTCACTGCAAATAAGTAAAGTTTGAGCTTCATGCCCTCCCCTTATTTTGGTGACATATATCAATCATAAGTATTTTGTAGATAATACTGGAAAATATATGTTGGTAATTAGACCACTTACTAAAAAAACAAACAACCCCATCAAAAAGTGGGCGAAGGACATGAACAGACACTTCTCAAAAGAAGACATTTATGCAGCCAAAAAACACATGAAAAAATGCTCACCATCACTGGCCATCAGAGAAATGCAAATCAAAACCACAATGAGATACCATCTCACACCAGTTAGAATGGCAATCATTAAAAAGTCAGGAAACAACAGGTGCTGGAGAGGATGTGGAGAAATAGGAACACTTTTACACTGTTGGTGGGACTGTAAACTAGTTCAACCATTGTGGAAGTCAGTGTGGCGATTCCTCAGGGATCTAGAACTAGAAATACCATTTGACCCAGCCATCCCATTACTGGGTGTATACCCAAAGGACTATAAATCATGCTGCTATAAAGACACATGCACACGTATGTTTATTGCAGCATTATTCACAGTAGCAAAGACTTGGAACCAACCCAAGTGTCCAACAATGATAGACTGGATTAAGAAAATGTAGCACATACACACCATGGAATACTATGCAGCCATAAAAAAGGATGAGTTCATGTCCTTTGTAGGGGCATGGATGAAATTGGAAATCATCATTCTCAGTAAACTATCGCAAGAACAAAAAACCAAACACCGCATATTCTCACTCATAGGTGGGAATTGAACAATGAGAACACATGGACACAGGAAGGGGAACATCACACTCTGGGGACTGTTGTGGGGTGGGGGGAGGGGGGAGGGATAGCATTGGGAGATATACCTAATGCTAGATGACGAGTTGGTGCAGCGTACCAGGATGGCACATGTATACATATGTAACTAACCTGCACATTGTGCACATGTACCCTAAAACTTAAAGTATAATAATAATTTTTAAAAAAAGATTTAAACAAAGGAGTGTATCATAATTGAGAATTTATGTCTCTTCTGTTTGTGCTGCCTTCTTTGTGCCTTTTTTTTTTTTTTTTTTTTTTTTTTTTTTGCCTTGCTGAGGTTCTGCATCTCGTGCTTTTTAATAGTGATTATTTTTCTGGCATAAAGAAATTAATTTCTGAAGTCTATTGAATTGAAAGGATTTCAGTGTAAAAGGTGGCCATTACCAGCCACCAACTTTTCTTTTTTCTTAATTGAAGTTATAGCAGGGCTGAGTTCTCTTTCAGTCCCTGCTTTGTTGATTTTAAGGAGAAAATTGTTATAACTGATATATGCTAGAAATAATAGAAGGAGCCTGCAATTTTCTGGTTTGCATATTATGGTTCCTATGAAGTCATCATCTGCAGGATAGCTCTCTAGTTTACCTTTCTTTAAAAACAGCACTCAAGGAACGAACACATTTCTAGTAGGCTAGATTTGGACCTTGTGCCTTCTGTTTAGTTTCTCAATTCATCCAAAACCGTATCCAGGCCATCACCAATCATTCTATACAACAAATGCTCCTTCTAACAACCCCACAATATCACCCCTTACCACAAAATCTTTCTTCAGTTGAATCTCTCCCACACTAGGTTCCCACGCCACCCCTAATCCCACTCGAAGCAGCCCTGAGAAACACCGCCCATTATCTCTCCATACCACCCCCAAAGTTTTTTGCTGCTCCAACACTTCACCACTATTTTGTTTTGAGTTTCTTATTAATATAAGAAGACAGGAACATCAGGCCTCTGAGCCCAAGCTAAGCCATCATATCCCCTGTGACTTGCACATATACATCCAGATGGCCTGAAGCAACTGAAGATCCTCAAAAGAAGTGAAAATAGCCTTAACTGATGACATACCACCATTGTGATTTGTTTCTCCCCCACCCTAACTGATCAATGTACTTTGTAATCTCCCCCACCCTTAAGAAGGTTCTTTGTAATTCTCACCACCCTTGAGAATGTACTTTGTGAGATCCACCCCCTGCCCTCAAAACATTGCTCCTAACTCCACTGCCTATCCCAAAACCTATAAGAACTAATGATAATCCCACCACCCTTTGCTGACTCTCTTTTCGGACTTAGCCCGCCTGCACCCAGGTGAAATAAACAGCCTTGTTGCACACACACACACACAAGGTTAGGAGATCAAAACCATCCTAGTCAACATGGTGAAACCCCTTCTTTACTAAAAATAAAAAAATTAGTTGGTCGTGGTAGTGCACACCTGTAGTCCCAGCTACTTGGGAGGCTGAGGCAGGAGAATTGCATGAACCCAGGAGGTGGAGGCTACAGTTAGCAGAGATCATGCCACTGCACTCCAGTCTGGGCCACAGAGCAAGACTCCATCTCAAAAAAAAAAAAAAAAAAAAAGGCCTATGTTGCTAGGCACTCAACAAAACTGAGAAAATATAGTCACTTTCTTCTGCTTATGTTGCTTAGTTATTTATACCTGTTTATAGTTGACGTGATGAAGTATTGTGTTTGAGCTCAAAGCTGCCCCTGGCTTCCCAAATTATGGTCTAATGTCATTTTACTTTTTTAAAAAACTTTTTTTCCTACACTGGAAGTACCTTTCCAGAATACAGAATACTGTTTCTTAAGATTATCTGTAATGTAGCTCCAGATCTCTAATTTGAGTTTCAAATATAAAGACGAACGAGCTATTTCTCCAAAAGAAGATAATGAGGATTACTCCTTCCTCGTATTAAAAATTATATACTAATTTTAGTAAATGTGTAAATTATAAAATGGAGAAATGTATAGACTTCTTTCTCATTGAATTATATGTTCCTGGTTTTGTAATGCACACACATATCAAATAAAATGAGAAAGTAGAATTTTAGAAATAATTTTTATTGGCAACTTTTACATAAAAACTGTTAAATATATTTTGTTGCCAGACATTTTAATCCATGTATCTTGAGTATTAAACTCTTTTTGAGTCTCTGTCATAATAGTTAAGATCCTAGAGAATAGAAATATATATTTTTAGGATGGAATCTTGGCACTGTCACTTAACAGTTTGACCTCAGGCAAGTTTGTAATTGCTTTGCCTCCTTGTCTAAGTGGTACACTTAATAGAGCAATCTTATAGTGGGGGTACTGAGGATTAAATGAGCCTGTGTCTGACAGGTAGTGAGCACTCAGTAAATGTTAGCTGTAATTCTATGAAGAACTGAATCAGTTGTGCTTTAAACTAATTCTAAAAATTTGAATTTTGTAATTCATAATATTATAATACTGACTTCCTTGGGAACAATTGGAAAATACTCCTTTGTGTCAGTATAAGGATTGTGGCCAATAAATATAAGGAAATCACGTTGTAAAACTGAATTTCATAACCTGAAGGAATCAGGTGACCAAAGCCAGTCATTTTCAAATGCCATTTAGATCTGACTATAGTATAATCTTCCGAATATATACAGTATATAATTTTTAATAGCATCCCGTATCTCACTCTTAAAGATTATTGTCCAGTGCCTCTGAGGTAAGACGTCAGGAATCTGTTTTTAAATGATAAGGGTTTTGTAAATGGTCTATACCATTTTTTTCAAGAGGGTGTTACTTAAGATGGCCTCTATCGCTGGCCTTACTTTACTGGCACATCTTAAGCAGCTCATTTATATTATCCTGTACACTGCCAAAGTAGAAAGTTTGTTTGCTTTCTAATTTGAAGGTAGACTGTGCCACTCTCTTACTTAGAACGTCAGTAGTGTTCCCGTTGTCTAAAAAGTTCAAGTCTAAGCTCTTTAGCTAAGTGTGCAAGGTCCTTCATCTATTTCCTTAGACTTCCCCCTTTTTCTAGTTCCTTAACCGTACTGACGTATGCCTCTTCACCTTTGGATGGGGTTTTTTGTTGTTTTAGTATTTTCTACGGTCAAACACAGGCATAGGGTTTATCATTCCTTCTATTAATCTATACTTATATAAAATTTTATTTTGTGTATCTCGTTCTTAATGTGTTTTATTTATATTCCCCTGCTACATTGAGCGCTCCTTCAGGGCAGGTATTTTATTCATATGCATTCCTGTTTCCTGGTGTAGAGGAGATGATGATTTTCTTTCTTTCTTTCTTTCTTTCTTTTTTTTTTTTTTTGAGACGGAGTCTTGCTCCGTCGCCCAGGCTGGAGTGCAATGGCGCGATCTCTGCTCACTGCAAGCTCCACCTCCCGGGTTCACGCCATTCTCCTGCCTCAGCCTCCAGAGTAGCTGGGACTACAGGCGCCTGCCACCACGGCCGGCTAATTTTTTTGTATTTTTTTAGTAGAGACGGGGTTTCGCTGTGTTAGCCAGGAAGGTCTCGATCTCCTGACCTCGTGATCCACCCGTCTCGGCCTCCCAAAGTGCTGGGATCACAGGCGTAAGCCACCGCGCCCGGCCTGGAGATAATGATTATTTACTGAAGGGAATTGCTTTTTGGGTTTGTTTTTTATGACAGGATCTCACTCTGTTACCTAATCTGCAGTGTAGTGGTGCAAACATGGCTCACCGCAGCCCCAGCCTCCTGGACTCAAGTGATCCTCCTGCCTCAGCCTCCTGTAACTGGGACTACAGGTGCATGCTGCCACGCCCAGCTAATTTTTAAATTTTTTGCGGAGACAGGATCTTGTTATATTGCCAAGGCTGGTTTCAAACTCCTGTTTTCAAGCGATCCCCCCTACCTCAGCCTCCCAAAGTATTGGGATTTCAGGTGTGAGCACCATACCTGGCAGGAATTGCTTTTTAAGGAGGTGCTTTTCTCCTGGGTTACTTGAAGTGATTATAGGCCAGTTTTATTGTATTAAAATGCTTATAGAAACAAAGATTTTCATGCCCTTAGTGTTGACCTATTTATTGAAAAAAGAATGATCTGAATTTTTTCTCATCCCTGGAGCACATGGTATTTAGTAAATGAAAAGGGGTTGCCTACCAGGCCAGGAATTAAAAGATCCTGGGTCAACTCTAAGCACCCTATACGTTTTTAGAAAATATATTAATAAAACTTTGAAGGGCCGAGCGCGGTGGCTCACGCCTGCAATCCCAGCACTTTGGGAGGCAGAGGCAGGCGGATCACAAGGTCAGGAGATCGAGACCATCCTGGCTAACACGGTGAAACCCCGTCTCTACTAAAAATACAAAAAAAAAAAAAATTAGGCAGGCGTGGTGGTGGGCACCTGTAGTCCCAGCTACTCGGGAGGCTGAGGCAGGAGAATGGCGTGAACCCGGGAGGCGGAGTTTGCAGTGAGCCAAGATCGCGCCACTGCACTCCAGCCTGGGCAACAGAGCGAGACTCCATCTCAAAAAAAAAAAAAAAAAAAAAACTTTGAAGGGAAAAAGGTAAGTTCCACATGGAACATGTGTCTTACCCAATACATATTATTGCCTGAATGCATGATTCAGAGTAAATGAAGTTTGTGGCTAACTGGTTTTTAATTTGTGTTTCTAAAATGGATATATATATATATATATATTTTTTTTTTTTTTTTTTTTTTTCCTCCCATAGCTTTCCCATGGTTTGGCATGGACATTGGGGGAACTCTAGTAAAGCTCTCGTACTTTGAACCTATTGATATCACAGCAGAGGAAGAGCAAGAAGAAGTTGAGAGTTTAAAAAGTATTCGGAAATATTTGACTTCTAACGTGGCATATGGATCCACCGGCATTCGGGATGTACACCTTGAACTGAAAGATTTAACACTTTTTGGCCGAAGAGGGAACTTGCACTTTATCAGGTTTCCAACCCAGGACCTGCCTACTTTTATCCAAATGGGAAGAGATAAAAACTTCTCAACATTGCAGACGGTGCTATGTGCTACAGGAGGTGGTGCTTACAAGTTTGAAAAAGATTTTCGCACAGTAGGTATCTTTTACTCAAAACTGAAAATTGATACCTGTTTTTAAATATGAGAGTAGGTTTCCATCTAGCATGTTCCTTAATTCTCCCTGCACATGCAGTGGGAAATATGTATCCATGGTTGCCTTTCACTTGGGGCGTTTTAAACACGTTTATGAGATGAGTAAAAATTGCCCGGATTTGGTCATGTTGTTGCACATAATATTTGGTAAAACTTGTTTAGGGCTGTACTACAAAGCTACAATAAAAAGGGGATTTGGGGACTTTAATGAATTTGGCAGTGTACAAAGCCAGATATAAATGAAGCTTGAATTATTTTCACTATTGTCCTACATTTACATGGTTTTTGGAATATTACTTATTCAAATAATATTAATCTTCCAGGGCCATCTCCTTCCCAAACCCTAAGTCTGGAAACCAATGTCTTTTGGTTAGTATAATGGACACCTGAATGAAAATCTGTTACCCTTTTTTTTCTGTTTTTATGCTGTTAATCCTGCCATGTTCCTGTGTCAAATGGGGTGATTTGAATGGATCTGGCAGGAGAACTATGAGTATTGGTTTGAGTTATGTGCTGTTAGCAGTTTGCCATCTTCTAGTCTTTTCCATTAGAATGAGAGTTCAAAGAGTGGTTTGCCAAGCTTCTAGTCTTTTCTATTAGAATAAAGAATGGCTCTGTTTAGGACCACTGAAATTTGTTTTTCTTGAAAATGTAAATGTGAATAATTTAATTTCTGAAAATCATAAGAAAATACTGTTAATGGAATATAAAGGCTGACGTGGGAGGATCACTTGAGGCTAGGAGTTGGAGACCAGCCTGGGCAATATAGTGGGACCCCGTCTCTACAAAAAATAAAAAAATTAGCTCAGCATAGTGGCCTGTGCTTGTAGTCCCAGCCACTCAAGAGGCTGATGAAGTGGGAGGATTGCTTGAGCTCTTGAGATTGAGGCTGCAGTGAGCTGTGATTGAGCCATTGCACTCCAGCATGGGTGACAGTGAGACCCTGTCTCAGAAGGAATATAAATAACTTAAATGGCTCATAGAAGCGAGACCCATATAATTTGAGGTAAAGATCTGTAGTACTGTATGAAAAGAGGTGCCTTGGGAACACAGAGGAGTAACAACAGCTAGAGAGTTGAAGAGGTTCCCAGAGGAAGTGATATCTAAGCTGCAATGTTTTATAAACGGTGTCTTATAATACGCTTTTTACTAACCTGAAATGATGAATGTAATCATTTCAAACTAGTACTCAAACTATAATATAAAGACAGGAGATTAAGGTATCAGTTATTAATCAGAAATTAATCTATCCGTGGGTAGATTAACAAACAGTATGATCATTCCAGAGGACATCATGAAGTAGTTATATGCTTGCACCTATGCATAGATTGATCATGAATACCAAAGCTACACATGCCAGATTGATATGGTATGTTCTGTTGGAAAATAAGATACCATAAATGGCATTGCTGTTGGTGACATGACCCTCCAACATGCTAAACAAACACTTGGTAAAATTCCAAACAGTAAGAAGTACAATTTTCCCTTGCTTTATGTGGTGGTTCAATTCCTAGCAAATTTAGTATATATTTAAAACTACGTGGGTTGGGCACAGTGGCTCACGCCTGTAATTCCAGCACTTTGGGAAGCCAAGGTGGGCGGATCACTTGAGGTTAGGAGCTGGAGACCAGCCTGACCAATGATGGTGAAACCTCATCTCTACTAAAAATACAAAAATTAGCCAGGCGTGGTGGCGGGCGCCTGCAATCCCAGCTACTTGAGAGGCTGAGGCGGAGAATCGCTTGAACCCACGAGGTGGAGGTTGCAGTGAGCCGAGATCATGCCACTGTACTCCAGCCTGAGTGACAGAGCTAGACTCTGTCTCAAAAATGAATGAATGAATGAATGAATGGAGTGACTGAATCCATAGGACGAATACTTTTGTATTTGTATACACAGACAGATAGGTAAAATAACTTTGTTATTCTCTAGCCTCAGATAATTATAAATAATTTTCCTACTGCCACTATAAAAATGACTGGCAGAACACTCAAAGATAATGCATAGATGGGATAATTTTTTGGTCTGCAGAAATGTCACACCCATTAAAGATGTCTGGCATCACAAGTCCCTGCCCACTAAATGTCAGTTTGGTCCTTCCTTCCTCCCCATCATTTAGAAAACTAGCAGTGAGGTGATACCACCCTCACTGAGGACCAGTGGACTAGATGAAATCCCGAAAGAGATTCTGACATGAAACAAAATGAAAATGTGGGGGTCATAGACCATTTTTAATTTTTGTAAAGTAATACAGGAAAATCATATAGTTGAGTGTTTTTGAATGTCATCCTTTTTTGTTTTTGTTTGTTTGTTTTAACAGATTGGAAACCTCCACCTGCACAAACTGGATGAACTTGACTGCCTTGTAAAGGGCTTGCTGTATATAGACTCTGTCAGTTTCAATGGACAAGCCGAGTGCTATTATTTTGCTAATGCCTCAGAACCTGAGCGATGCCAAAAGATGCCTTTTAACCTGGATGATCCCTATCCACTGCTTGTAGTGAACATTGGCTCAGGAGTCAGTATTTTAGCAGTCCATTCCAAAGACAACTATAAACGAGTGACTGGGACAAGGTAGTGACCTTTTTGGTTGTATTGCTGCATTCACATTGTTTTATACACAGAAGTTATGAAATCAGTATAATAATGTCATTTTCACCAGTAAAAGAGCATGTATTTGCACAACAGCAAAAAAAAAAAATATATATATATATATATTTTTTTTTTTTAAGTGAAAGAGGGTGCCATGTTGCCCAGGCTGCTCTTGAACTTCTGAGCTCAAGCAATCTGCCTGTCTCGGCCTCCCAAAGTACTGGGATTACAGGCATGAGCCACTGCTCCCAGCCAACAGATAATGTATTTTTATAAGATGTGTATGTCAAGACTCAAACTGAAATTATTAAATGTTTATTAGTCAGCATCAGTTGGGATCAAAATTTCCATAATGGTAAAGTGAATTTTTATCTAGAATGAGTCTGGTAACGTTTTTTCTAGAATTTAACTGGAGCATTTACTTGGAAGCAACAGTGTTCTATTGATTTTAAACTTTATTATGTTTATATTTTGTTCTTTTTTCCAAAGCATTTTTCTTCTTTACCTATTTTTTGACTTTTTAATGGATATTAATATATGTAAACCCTTAAACTGCAGTACTGGGGAACATTGTAATTTATTCTTATAGGATGAATTAATGTGATTTCTTTTTGTGATAACATTAATGTTCCCAAATAGCCCACATACTTTTCTGTAATACCTGAAATACGAATGAGAAATAAGATATAAAACTCATGATTCTTTTATGTATTTTATCAACTTTTACAGAGAGGTGAAGATTCCAGTTTAAGGAAGAAAGATTTTCAAATACTTTAGATTAATTTGTGAAAAAAACTCATTTTAATTTTAAAGTAGTAATTCTGTTTAAATTATACTTAATTAGTACTTTATTTTTATGGTGGTTAAAAGTTCACCTCTGTTGTAATTCTCTATGCCAAAGAATTGTACACTGCTATTGCCTTCTTCGGTTAACTCTAAAAGAAGTTCAGTCTGTTAACTAAATCCAACAGTGATTCAGGGGTAGAACTTGCTAGAAATTTAGATGAGACTAGGGAGCAAAGGTTTACAGTTTAGGAATTAGATATGATTTCATTCTGTGAGCATATCCAGAAGAATAATAGAAGCAAATAAATTTCTGTAATTGACATGTTGGCCAGCTGGACATAAATTTACTCATTGTATTTATGTGTAGGTCATGTGAAATATTAGTGTATCATATTGAATTGATTTCATCCATGTCAGGCCAAGTAAAGAAGCCTTTCCCAAAATCATTTCTTGGAAACGATTTAAAATTACAAAGATGGGCATGGTAGTTCATGCCTGTAATTCTAACACTTTGGGAGGCCAAAGTGGAGGATTGCTTGAGACCAGGAGTTAAGACCAGCCTGGGAAACATAGTGAGACCCCCATCTCTACAAAAATATATACATATATATTAGTCCAGTGTGGTAGTGTGCATTGTAGTCTAGCTGCTGCGGAGGCTGGAACAGGAAGATTGCTTGAGCCCAGGAGTTCAAGGATACATTAGGCTATGATCATGGTCACTGCACTCCAGCCTGAGGGACAGAGTGAGACCTTGTCTCAAAAGAAAAATTACAGATTTTCTCTTTGTAATTAATATGGTACTGATTTTTAACATTTATTCCTTTTTAATGCACACACAACAATTTATCTTTGGTAACTACAGAGTGTAAGGTATTAGGTGAAGACTTTGGGAGAGATTTAATAGGTCTTTCCTTTCCTCATGTTTCCACCAAGTGATTTTTTTCTTTGGTTTATTCTTTGATCTAACAAGTTTGGTTTTACTAAACAATTTTTGTTGCCTTCGTTATGTTATTTCAGCACTCAGCATTAGTCATAGGTTTTTTTTCTGTGTGTTCATTGAATACATGAATGATCCACCCTTTTACTTTAGAGAAAGAATATAATGTATAAATGCAACTTAGCAAGTTTCTTTATTTTCTTTAGCCTTGGAGGGGGTACCTTTCTGGGTTTATGCAGTTTATTGACTGGCTGTGAAAGTTTTGAAGAGGCTCTTGAAATGGCATCCAAAGGTGATAGCACACAAGCTGACAAGCTGGTCCGTGATATTTATGGAGGAGATTATGAAAGATTTGGTTTGCCAGGTTGGGCTGTAGCATCTAGGTAAGTTTAACATTTGTGTTATTTAAGTTACAGAAGTTAAGTAATTCAAGTTGCTTATGTTTTTGGAAAGCAATGTAACAGAAAGTTGTAAGGGTGCTTTCTCTTATCCAGTTTAGGTTCCAAGTTTTGAACATTGATGTCATTTAAAAATTAAGTATACATTAAGAAGTTTACCCTGAGTGCACCTTGTAAGAAACTTTTTTTTTTTTAATTTTTGAGTGTCTTTCCAGTGTTTATGCAAATACAAATACATATTTTTACTTTTCTCCCCATATACAAAAGGTAATCTACCATTATATGGCATACTATATATACTCTAAAGTATCCATATAGAAATCTTTACATGTTGTTGACCTTATTTTATACAGGTGTAGGATAAATTCCCAAAAGTTGGATTGCAAATGCATTTTTGAGATATTGTTAATTATGCAAAAGAGCGGTACTGTTTTTCACTCTCACCAGCGGTAAATGAAAGTGCCTGTTTCACCAGTAGAGTGCTAACTTTTGCATTTTTGCTAATCAGATGGAGAAGTGGTATCTTAATGTAATTTTAATTTACATTTCTCCTACCAACACTGGGGTTAAGAGCCTTGCATATTTTATTTTCTGTGAGTTATTGTTCATGTTCTACTTTTCTGTTGGATTGTTATACAGTTGAATTTATCAGTCTTTTCTTTTATGGCTTCTGGATATTGATTCATAGTAAGTAAGTCTTCTACATTCCAAATATATAAAGGAATAAACCCTTATTTTCTTCTGATATGTTAATGGTGGTATTTTTATACTTAAATCTTTGATTTACTTATAGTTTATCTTAGGGTATTTTGTGAGTTACAGATCATGCTTTCATTTTTCAGGTTTTTTGTTTTTTTTTCCAGAAGGCCCTAATGTCTAATAATCCATCTTTATTTCACTGATTTGAGATGGCTTTTTTACATATGCTGGCTTTTCATTCTGTTGATGTACCAGCATTATACTTTCAGCTTTATAGAGGCATAAAAAGTATGTTTTAATCTCTAGAAGGGCTAGTTTCACTCCTTTGCTTGATTTTCTGTATGAACTTGGCAAACATTTTCTCTATTACAAAAATGTTTTTGGAATCTCAGTAAGTTTACATATTAACTTAGGGACAAATGATATCTTTATAGTAAGTCTTGCTGTTGAAGAACTTAGCTTGTCTGTTTGTTTAAGGCTACTTTTGTGCCTTTCACACATTTAAAAAGGCCTCTCCAAATATGTCCATACATGGCTTTTTAAATTGATTCCTAAATATTTTAAATTTACTGTTCTGTTGTTTATCAGTCTTGTCTCCCATTATGCTTCCTAACCATTGTTGCTTGTGCACCCCAAGTTCTTTGTCAGGGAATCCAGTGCCCTTTGATAGTGGACTTTGTCTCACTCTTCAGTAATATCTCCTGCCTCTCCCTTGCATAGACGCTTCACTCCGACCAAACATCTTGTGATTTCATAGATGTTTTCATTTCTCATTTCTGTGTGCCTTTAACCTTTAGTTGCCTCTGCCTAAGATTTTTCTTCTCATTTTTTCTGGCTTTTTCTGGTCCTTTTGCTCTGAAAGCCCTGCCTCATACCTTCTTAACTTTTTTCTCTTACCACTGTAATAAAAGATATTTTTTTGTTTGTATTTCCAAGGTTAGCCTTTGTTTGGGGTTAGCCTTTGTTTGGATTTTTTCCCTGTTACTGTTAGCGCTTCTCTTGCTGTCTTTTGTATGTAGGCCTGCATTGTCCATTACAGTAGCCTCTAGCCACGTAAGGCACTTGGCTTATGAGTGCCACATGTTGAATTGATGATATTTGGATATATTGGCTTAAATGAAATGTACAATTAAAATTAATTTCACTTGTTTATTTTTACCTTTTTAATGTGGCTAATAGAACATATATGAAATTATATATTACTCGTATTTTATTTCTATTGGACAGTGCTGCACTAGACTAATTCACTGTTTGAGGGACTATCTGTCTCCAGCACAAAGCTTGGTATGTCATAAATGTTTCTTGTGACTGAATGAAAAAGAATTTGAAGTTAAAGCTGAGATACTTTTGGAAACATTTTGTAATTTTGGCTAATTTGTTTTGAATCAGGTTTAAGTGAAGATATTTTGGTAATCTTTGCTTTCTTATAATAACTAACTATGCTTTTTTTGAGATGTCATTTTAACCTTAATTCTTTGAAAGGTATTACTTTACTCTTGCATAGATTTTTTTTGTTAGTTTGTTTTGATCTTATCCCTATGTGTTTCTACTTTTTGGTCCTAATTTTATAAAAATATCCAGGTTGTAGATATATCTGTTAATACGTAAAATGTTGCTTTTTATCAGCAGATTTGACTTTATTTTTCATTTTTCTGCAGTTTTGGGAATATGATTTATAAGGAGAAGCGAGAATCTGTTAGTAAAGAAGATCTGGCAAGAGCTACTTTAGTTACTATCACCAATAACATTGGTTCTGTGGCACGAATGTGTGCTGTTAATGAGGTAAAAAAACAAAAAACACAAAACTTGAATTATCAAAAATGTGAATTGGAGTCCTATATACACCTAGCAGGGCTTCTTCACTTTCCCTAAGGAGGCCTCTGGGATTGAGATGTAACCCATTAAATGCCAAGACTCATTAGGTATATATGTTACGTATCCAGTTGCTATATTACTTTTAAAGAAAGTAGCAGATAATTCAAATTGAAATAGGAGAAATTTATTCAGAATTTTTTTTCAGAAAAACACAACCTAAATCCCTTGAGGATGTAAAAGAAAGTTCTAAGCATAAGACATTTTGAGATACTTTGTGAAAGCATTTTTTTTAGTCTTAATTTTGCATTTGGAAGGCAGCTATGCTCACCACTATACCACCAGTGCTTAATGTTGCATTTGATTAGTGAAATTCTTGGAAGTTTTCTTACTGCCCTCGGCTTCTTTACAGTGCTGCCTTGTTGCATATGGATCAAGCAGCATTGTACAGGGCTATGAAGGCATTGAGACCTGTTCTTCATGATATTTGAGTGGTGTTTATTGTTACAAGAAAAGTGTGAAAAGGATATACTGTTAGATTGACCATATAGTTGGGATTCTTTGTTTGGAAGAGAATATATATATTTAATTCTAGCTTCCTTATATAATAATAGATATATTTGCCCGTTTAATTTTTATAAATATCAAATACTTTAAATGGATTGGGAAGTACGCTTTTCGAAGGAACCCTTCATTTGTTCATTCATTCATTTATTCATTGAGTAAATATTTACTGATTACCAGATGCCAGACATCGTTCTGGGTATTTGGAACATATTAATGAAGAAAACAAAGATCTGGCTTTGTGGAGCTTGCATTCATTCTAGTGACATATTAAGTAAATTGTGTAGTGTGTATTAGGTGATAAGTGCTATTTTTTTAAAAAGAGACCATCAAACAGGATAAAGAGGATTGGGAATAGGGCAGAGAGTGGTAGAGGACAAATTGCTAAGTAATTGAGTGGTTAAAGGAAAGCTTTATTGAAAATGTGATTCTTAGGCAGAGGTTTGAAGGAGGTGAGGGGGAAACTGTGCATGTAGACATTTTGGGGAGAAAGCTTCCAGCAGAGAGAACAAATATGCAAATCCTCTGAATTATTCTGTATTTAAATCCAGAACTTGGTCTCATCAGTTTTTTAATAACTTAGAAACTTAAGTGTTAGTTGGTTGATGGAGTTACTAGTAGACCATGTTGGGAGCTGACAACAATTTGAGACCTTTATTCTTAGCCCTTTATGTCTAAATTTCCACTGACCAATTGAGTTAACAATAATTTAGGCCATGGTTTACAGTATCCCAACTTATGTACAAAGATTTCTACTCAAAAGTCAGTATAGTGTGAGAGTCGAAATAAGTTTTCTGGTGATTCAAACACCAGTTCCCCTTTGTAAGATTTCCTAATCATAGAGATAATCTAAGAAACCAAATTAGTGTGGAATCTTTGCAGAGAGAGAATGATTTGATGAATCAGGCAGGGGACGGAGAAAGAATGCTAGAATCCTAGGGGAATGCACATGCCAGTACCCCAGTCAGTATTACTCTCCAATTCTGTAGAATCCACAGTTGCATGTCATTGTTCAACATGCATTGCAATGTGTGGGCCAAGTTTGCTACTTATCAACTAAATGCATTTTATAGTACTTACCATGTTTTGATTTTTTTTTTTAATCACATCAGTAATGTGTCTCCAAATGACTTTGTAAGGGGGCTATTTATTGGCCATTTTCAAAAACAAATCTCACCTGAAATCATCTGCTAGAGTCTTTCTGGAACCTTTTTTTAAAAGTAGACTTTATTTTTTAGATCAGTTTCAGGTTCACGTAAAATTAAGTGGAAAGCTCAGTGAGTTCCCATATACCACCTTCCATACACACACAGCCCACTTCCATCCTCAGCATCCCATAGTAGAGTGATCATGTGTTACAGTCCATAACCCTGTGCACACATCATCATCACCCAAAGTCCATAATTTAGGGTTCTCTCTTGGTGTTACACATTTTGTGGATTTTGGATGATGTGTGCAGAACTAATTTTTAAATATTCAGGATTATACAGCTATATGCCAGGAATGTAGTAGGTGTTATACTAATAAAGCGTAGTTGTGTTTTTTTGCATTTTAAAATAAATTTTAAATAAATATTTAGAAACCTTTTATATTGTAAAATCTATTATTTTTACAAGTTTTTTCTTTGTTCTTTTCTTTTAGAAAATAAACAGAGTTGTCTTTGTTGGAAACTTTTTACGTGTCAATACCCTCTCAATGAAACTTTTGGCATATGCACTGGATTACTGGTCAAAAGGTCAACTAAAAGCATTGTTTCTAGAACATGAGGTATGGTAGGAAAATGTTTTTTGTGAATTTTAATAGCATGTTTTTTAAGAGACAGGGTCTTGCTCTGTCACTCAGGCTTGAGTTTAGTGGCACAATGATGGCTTACTGCAGCCTCTTCCTCCTGGGCTCATCAATCCTCCCACCTCAGCCTCCCAAGTAGCTGGGACCACAGGTATGCACCACTGTGCCCAGAAAATTTATTTTTATTAATATTTTTTGTGGAGACAGGATCACTCTTTGTTGCCCAGGCTAGTCTGGAACTCCTGGCCTCAAGCAATCCTTTATAGGTGTGAGCCACCATGCCCAGCCTTAAGTAGTAGAATATTGGTTCCTTCGCTTCAGTTTCAGTTGTGGGGAAGAGAATTACAATAACCTGTTAGGCACCCCCAGATTTTTTTGTATTCATTTACTACATGCAGTTAAGTTCTGATCTGAGCAATTATCAGTCCACATAATGTTTTGGATTAACTTAACTTGAATCATTTTGTGATCAAAGTCAAATGGCTGTATCATTACAAATTAGTAACAGAGATTCAAATTATTCTGCTCTTAAAAGCTTCCATGTCTTGGCCGGGTGCGGTGGCTCATGCCTGTAATCCCAGCACTTTGGGAGGCCAAGGCGGACGGATCACGAGGTCAGGAGATCAAGACCATCCTGGCTAACAACGGTGAAACCCCGTCTCTACTAAAAATACAAAAAAAAATTAGCCGGGCGAGGTGGCGGGCGCCTGTAATCCCAGCGACTCGGGAGGCTGAGGCAGGAGAATGGTGTGAACCCCAGGGGGCGGAGCCTGCAGTGAGTCGAGATGGCGCCACTGCACTCCAGCCACTCCAGCCTGGGTGATAGCGAGACTGTCTAAAAAAAAAAAAAAAAAAAAGCTTCCATGTCTCATTGTCACTGCTCACACAATACAAATCAGAATGGTGTGCCCTTGTGCAATTCCACATGGCATGCAGTGAGAGTGTCAGGCACAGCCACAGGAAGTTAGTTTGTTTTATTAAGTAAAGGGGAGAGGGTGCAGAATTGCTGTTACAGTCCTGGAAGCTTTAGTGTCTAAAGGCCACACTTTTAGAATACGTATTTCAGTGTGAGCCTATAGTCCCAGCTATTCAAGAGGCTGAGATGGGAGGACCATGTGAGCCCAGGAATTCAAGGCCAGCCTGGGCAAAATAGTGAGACCATGTCTCTAAAAATAATAATAATAAATAAAAATACATATTTCAAAGGTGTGTAGACATCAAGAATACAGATTCAGAAAATTTTTTATAATAGCTAACAACGCAGAAATTGGTAGGTTTCCAAATATTATTAAACAAATAGATTGTGCATAGTTGTGTGTTCTCAAGTGGTTAATATTATATGCTAACTTAAAAGCTGTACTACATAACAGTTATTTTTAAATTACACAGGGTTACTTTGGAGCAGTTGGTGCACTTCTTGGGCTGCCAAATTTCAGCTAAAGCATCAGGTCTCTCTCTCTGCTAATAAATGTCATCCAAGAGGAACTAAAACCAGAGGCATTATTACTGCATTGTTTGTCACTGGGAACCAAAGGATAAAAGAGTAGCATAAGCTGCTGAATGTTGCCATATTAAAGGAGAGAACTTGGTAACGTGAAGTATTTCTCATTGAAATGCTTTCCCTTTTGTATATAGCCAGTGTTAAATCCTTAAATGCAATACAGCCTCTGATTATTGAGCTTCCTCTTAAAAAGATTTTTTTATTTTATGTAGCCAACATTGCAGTACTGTATGCTCAAACACAAATCTTAAAGTATCGGAACTGTTTAGCTTATGAAAATAATCGACTCTGAATATTTGTTACAAGTCTGTTTTATGTGTTTTGATTACTAGTGAGCAGAAAATAACATACCCTGTATTCAAAATTACTGAAATGGCAATCAAAGATGATCATTTTTATGTGATTTTAGAAATGTTAAGGCAATACTACTAATTATTGTAGGTTTTTTTAACGTATCACCCAAAGCATGTATGTGATCTTTCCCCATTAGTATCTTTTTCTCAAATGCCATAATTAACTGAAATACTATTATTAAATTTTCATGAGAATTCTAAAATGAATCCTGGGAAATGCACGTTTGGTGATGTTGCACTTTCTGTATTTTACAGGAATTAGTCAATACATGTTGAAATGTTTAACATTTTAAGATTGGAGGCTTAATTACTGGGAGTCTGTCTAATGAAGTCCTGGGACTATTGTAATGGAATATGATTTGAGTTCACTGTGCTCTTTTTGTTTGTTTGTTTTGGTCATATATACATTCAGAACTTTTATTTTAAAACAACCACAATAACATTAATAATAGAAAATTCATCTGTAAATATTCACAGTCTAGTCACTGAAAAATGGGAAAACCTCTACCATGCCTTATTATTACCCTTTGCTGTTTGAGGAGCCAGAAATAGAGGTGCAGTTAGAGGACGGTCACTTTTTCCAACAAAACCCACTCCATAGCCATGTGGATTTTTATCCAAAGGCTCAACAACCAGAGGGAATGGTGAGACCTGATAACTAAAATACTGTTATTGGCAAGGGTTTGAAATGTGTAAGAACCTAGGAGGGAAAGGAAGATTGAGCAACATAGGAAAAGGGGAAGAGAGGCTGAGTGTCACCAAGGTCCAAACTCCATTTATAAAAATACTGCAAAACCAGGAGTTGATGGTAGAAATGCATATGATCCATGGCAGGAGTAAATCTCTCCACCTCCTCTAACTCTCTGAAAACTCTAGAGTTGGAGCAAGTCTTCCATTTGCTTCTTATCCCCTTAAAAGAATGCCTTCCACTTCCCAACAGCCCCCATCAAGGGACCCCAAGAGGCCACCATGCTCTTATCTCGCACTTTCTTTCCTATTCCCCTTGCCTGAATCTGGAGTGGGGTTGAGCCCTCTGCCTTCAACCTTAAGATTTAGGAAGTTCTTTCCCCAACTGTCTAACTTGGAAAGGTAGATGAGTCTGAATTTTGAAGTAACGAATGCAAATTCCACTCAGCAGAGGCAATGTTATTTATGTACATAGGGATAGTGGAATGAGTTTTAATAGATTCTGTCCAAAAGGGGTTTGTTCCTCTTATTTCCTCTATGTAGGAAGTTGTGTCTTAGGCAACTTTATCAGTATCAATGGAAAAATGATAGGCACTACAATGAAATGGCAGGATGCCAATATGAGATATTTCAGGAATAATAAGAAATACAGTTTGTTTGTATAAAATAAACTATCTCAAGAAAGTTTTCAACGACAGTGATAGTGTTCATTTGTAAGAGAGAGTTCTAGAACTTCGATGTCCAGTGCAGTAGCCACTACCCATATGTAGCTGTTGAGCATTTGAAATATGGTTAGTCCAAATTGAGATGTGCTCTAAAGGACAATAAAAGGTTAAATATCTCCTAATTTTTTGTATTGATTACATGTTGAAATGTTAACATTGGAAATATTGGGTTAAAGAAAAATACACAATTAAAATGAATCTTGGCCAGGCGCAGTGGCTCACGCCTCTAATCCCAGCACTTTGAGAGGCCAGGGTGGGCAGGTCACCTGAGGTCAGGAGTTCGAGACCAGCCTGGCCAGTGTGGCAAAACCCTGCCTACTAAAAATACAAAAATTAGCCAGGCATGGTGGTGCGCACCTGTAGTCCCAGCTACTTGGGAGGCTGAGGCAGGAGAATTGCTTGAACCCAGGAGGAGGAGGCTGCAGTGAGCTGAGATTGTGCCACTGCACTCCAGCCTGGGCGACAGAGTGAGACTCTGTCTCAAAAAAAAGAATCATCTGTTTCCAATTATTTTTAAATGTGCTTACTAGAAAAGATAAAATCACACATGGTTTACATTTTATTTCTATTAAGACAGCACCGTTAAGAACATAGAGCTTTGAGGAATTGTGGTATTAGAACCAAATCTATTTACCACAGTGAGCTTACAGGGAGTTACTCGAGATCTTAATAAAAAATTATAATCTTTGGCAGCCTTCATTATGATTTTGTGTTCTTATTATTCCAGTACCTCTAGATTACATATGGGAAAAGCTAAAGAGCCACAGTGGTGAGATGGTTGCTCACTCTAGCAGGTAATTTCAGTTTGAAAGGATAAAATATATGAATCATAGTTCACATTAACCAAAGTACAGTGATGAAATAACTTAGACTCTGACCATTCCATTTTTTCTTAAAGATTGCCCTAAATCTATAGATGCTAATACAGTATTTGCCACAGGTATAAAACTTGTAGTTACTGTCATTCAATTAAGATTCTTATCTGTACAGATATACAAATCAGAAACTTTTAAAATAAATTGAACTAATGGAATTTTGGCTCCAATATTTAGTCACTACAATGGAAATATTAAAGCAAGGAACATGAAGTCATTGTAGGGTTTTAAAATGGCTACTGACTGACATGAATTCAGAGTTTCAAACAGTCTAAATTCTAAAAACTTAACTTTACACGCTTTTCCTCCTAAATAACCACTCTAATAATTCATACATTCATATCTTCAGGTAAAGAAAACTGAATTTTAAACAATTGAGGCTGGGTGCAGTGGCTCATGCCTGTAATCGAATATAAGGACTTGAGTATAAAATTTGAAAACTACATGGGGAAATGTCTTTATCATGCATCTCTTGATAGTCTACTGAAAACTATTAAGTAAACCTGCGGTCTGTAAACAAAAAAACCCATAGTGATACTTACCTTGTGTAATGTAAACAATTTTTTAAGCTCTTTAAAGTACATCTAGATTTACTGGTAATGTATAGAAGTCAATTTTATCCCCAAGCATTTCTACTTCCTAAACCATTAGCAAGAGTCTCAAAACAACTTCACTAAACTATTGGACCTCCAGTGTTAACTTGCCAACATAAAAATCTGAAAAACTTTGTAATCACTATCAAAAATACAAAAGAGAGAATAAATTCCCAGGTAAAAGGCTTTACAAATTTTGGAACTATTATGCTTTTGTTTACTAAACACTGATCCTTTTAGTAATTCTGCAGTATTGCCTCAGACTCCCACAAAGTTTCAAAATAGCTCATCTATTAGATTCCTGTAACATTTATTTGGGATAAACGTGGTTTTGTTGCCGTTGTTCATAATAGAATAAAATATTTAGCTTTGATGGTTCAGATGTAATACAAAGAAATAACTAAGTTTGGGCCTGAGATAAATGTGGTAAAGCAAGAATGCAGAGATGCTGTAATGATGAGTGAGTTTTATAGCATTACTGAGGACCTGAAAACTTGCTGCCAAGGACACTTTGAAGGTTTTGTTGGCTGGAAGAAGTGTCTCTGGAATCCCACTCCTAGCTCTTCTTGAATATTTGAAAAGAATTAGATAAGGGCCATGGGGACCCAGGTCACCCCACCTCTTCTTTTCAGTTTGGCTACAACATTGGAGTCATCAGTGCTCCTGAGACAGTCATACAGGACTTTCTCAGTTACACTTTGAAAGAGAGGTCAGAAGACTCTCCCTCTGAGGTTTTGCTCATGTCCCCCTGGCCCTTGTCTGTGGCCATCTTCCCCAATGGTGATATGATTGGCTCCTTTCTGTTGCACTCTTTGTCAACCACTTTGGCAGGTGCAGTTCAATGCTTATCATAATTTGTTGGCTATTACTGGTTGCCTTATGGGATTCTGCAGACAAGCTGAGTTGGTTGAAATGCTGATCCTGGGCCACTAGATTACTGGCTTGTAATGCGGACTCTGCACAAGTTTTGTGCCCATGTACATTGGAGAGATCTCGCCTACTCCCCTTTGGGGTACCTTTAGTGCTCTCAACCAGCTGGACGTCGTTGGTATTCTGGAGATCCAGATCTTTGGTCTGGAGTTCATCTTGGGGTCTGAAGAGCTATGCCCAGTGATACTGGGCTTTACCATCCTTCCAGCTGTCCTATAAAGTGTAGCCCTTCCATTTTGCCCTGGAAGTCGTAAGTTTTTGCTCATTAACAGAAAGGAAGAGTACTAATGAGATCCTTCAGCAATTGTAGGGGACTCAGGATGTGTCCCAGGACATCTAGGAGATAAGAGTGCTAGGATGATACAAGAAAAGCAAGTCACTACACTGGCGCTCTTTAGAGTACCCAGCTACCAACAACCCACTGTCATTTCCATCATGCTCCAGCTCTCTCAGTAGCTCTCTGGAATCAATGTTGTCTTCTATTACTCAATGAGAATCTTCAAGGATGCAGGTGTTGAGAAGCCAATCTATAGATTAGTGCAGGAGTGGTTAATATTATCTTCTTGACTGTAGTCTCTCTGTTTGTGGTTGAAAGGGCAGGAAGGACTTTACATATGATAGGTCTTGAGGCATGGCGTTTTGTTCTGTCCTCATGATTGTTTCTTTGTTATTAAAGGATGAGTATGGTGGGATGAGCTTTGTCTGTAGTGGGGCTATCTTGGTCTTTGTGGCCTTCTCTGAAGTTGGACCAGACTCCGTTCCCTGGAATACTGTGGCCACACTCTTCAGTTTGCAATAGCAGTGGCTGGTTGCTCCAACTGGACCTCCAACTTTCTAGTTGGATTGCTCTTCCTGAACAATTATTATCTAGTTTAAGTGTGTTGTTGCTTTAGGGTCATGGCATGCTTATGTATTTCTGTTACCATCTGACCATGGTACTATGCCAAGTTCTCTTAGGGGACCTGAATCTTTCCAGTAGACCACATTTGAGAGAGTATGAGTCAACTGGGCATAGTTCCCAACAACCCAAAATACATACGTACTTCACTGAAGCAGATCTCATGATTCCATTGACTTCATTTCTAAAATTGGACTTTGAGCAGCCAATTTCTAAGGATTAAAAAGAAACTTTAATGCATTGTAGACCTCTGTACACAGAAAAATCTTTGTAACTTTTGGGCTTAATTTTCATTCTTAAAAAATCTGGTAACTTTTTCAAATGCAACCACTGTCAGTTTGCTGTGAGGCTAGGCAAACAACACAAGGTATAGAATTTCCCATCACCACCACCCTGACCCCGCGAGAAGATTGCCTTTTAATTAGAGACTTGTAGAACTAGTGCCTTTTAAGTTCTACACTCATCTTTTCCAAAGACTATTAGTAAACTTGCCATGTAATTTGACATGGCAGTTCCTTGCTCAGCTACTCTAAATAAAGTTGGAAATTAGGTGGTCTCTTAGTTTGGGTAAAGTCAGTACTATTGCCAGTAATATACATGGTAATTGAAAGCCCTTAAAGTGGTTCAGATTATTTGCCAAATATTAGACTCTATAAAAATTTCTGAGGTTTTTTTTCTTTTACCTTTGAGTGTACATGTGATTGCTATAATGTAAATACCAGTCCCTTAAAGACTGTTTCTATAAGCAGAATGATGCAGCACAAAGTGGAAAGGTTTTCCTCTTATTCCAGCAGTATTCTTGCCTTCAAAGAGTAGTCCATCTTGCCTTGATTTTTAAGGTTGTTTTCTTGGATGGAAAGCTTAACTGGATAGTAATTTCCATATGTTCTTTATAACCACTCTGTATATTATAAGCAAAGTTTTTTCATATTGTATCTTTTTCTGTTGAGCACTTTATGCATTTTAGTCTATTGCATTTGAGAATGTAGTTTAGAAATTCACTGTTTAAAGCCATGTGAAAACTGATAGAGGATAATGAAAATGAGTGTACATTATTTTGAATTTAACTTAACTGTTTTGTGGTGGGTGTGAACAAAACATTAGAAATATATTATCTTTTTGTGATAATACTCTCTGACCTCACTTAAAGTGATCTGCCATGAGGTATCCATGATCAAGTTTATGTTTATTCTAATACCTAAGGAATTCAGCCAACTTTGTTTCTATCATCAGATAATCTCAGAAAATAGTGTGTTTTATCTATATTACTGCCTCTTTTCAATATTTAAGAGAATAATTGTCTTCTGGTTTCTACTGAGCCTAGTAATAATCACTAAAGACCTAAAAAAGGAATTCCTTCTGTTAAGAGTATTTGGATAGCCCATTCACGATAATGGTGGTGTGAAAATCAATCATCCCAGCTTTTCTGACATATCTAAATTTTGAATAATTAATTTCCACTTCCAAAAAATTCAAATGTTTTCTCAAAGCAGTCACTACTTATTTGCATTATTCCTGCATATTCAGTGAATGTGAGGTCATATTTGGTATTGTATTAGAAGTAGTGTTGGTCACTGGTCTTGCCTCTTTGAACATTATTTTTATTTGTAAAATGAGGGAGTTGGTTTGTTATGATGGGAAATGAGTCAGTTTTCAGGGTCCTGAGAAAATTGCTTCATTCATGGCTGTGTTTGAGATAACTAAAGTAAATTTTTTTTCAGGTATTTGGTGTCATGTTTTGGAGTTAATATTTAGTGCTTATATAATTTTAAGTTATTACATAATTTTTATTGGTATATATTTGATAGGTACTAGGTATTGGATTCTCACCAAACCAGTAGAATGGTATTCTCTCTTAATATGTGATTGCCTGTAATGGCCAGGTAGATATACCTTAAAGTAATATGAAAGGTTTTATATGTATATTAAAATGTTTGTACTTTTAAATCTGTAAAGGTTATCTGGAATTTTTACTGTGTTAACTTCAGAATTATATGGGCATTATGACTTTTTCATTGTACAAAAAATTATTCATAAATGTTAGAATACAGATGTTCCTTGACTTACAATAGGGTTATGTTCCAGTAGACCCATTGTAAATTGAAAATACCGTAAGTTGAAAATACATTTAATACGCCTAACCTACTGAACATCCCAGCTTAGCCTAGCCTATCTTAAATGTGTTCTGAACACTTAACGTTGGCCTTTAGCTGGGCAAAATCATCTAATACAAAACCTATTTTATAATGAAGTGTTTAATATCTCAAATAAGAGTATTGTACCACATATCGTTATCCCAGGATAATATCAGAGTACAAAATTTGAAGTACAGTTTTTAACTGAATGTGTATTGCTTTTGCCCCATTATAAAGTTGAAAAACCATAAGTCAAACCATTGTTAAGTCGGACTGTTTGTGTTACATATATTTGGGATTTTTTAGTGGCCCTTTTTAAAAAGCTGTTTCTTATTTCTGATCATTGTGAGTGGGGATAGATGTGGGAAGAACCATGTCTCTACTAAAAATACAAAAAATAGCCAGGCTTGTTGGCACACACCTATAGTCCCAGCTACTCGGGAGACCGAGGCAGGAGAATCACTTGAACCGGGAGGCAGAGGGCAGATCATGCCACTGTATTCCAGCCTGGGCAACAGAGTAAGACTCTGTCTCAAAAATGAATGAATGAATGAATGAACGAATGAATGTACTATGAGCTGATACTGGGATTTCAGGTACCGCAGTTTGTGCTGAATGATATGTTTGGGGTAAATCAGTTTTTTTCTTATAGAATTTCGGCGTTTTTGCTGCAACTGCCACTAATTTTGCATTTAAAAGAACAAAAGAGGAATGTATTTTTCAAAGGAGTGAATGAGGTTAAAATCAAGATTTTGAATGGTATAAATATGCAACTAATTCAGTTGTAGGATATTATTAAATTTTTTATTGCTAAATATGTTTCTTTCATACGTTGCAGTGCTTACAGTTCCAACAGCTTTCCAAGAAAACATTTCCATATTTGTGTTATTTGTAAAGTATACATAAATAATGTAAAATAATTTGGGATTATTTCAACTTTACATTGTATGTCTGAATTTCATCGATGTTGTACCTGGCTCAGTCAATAGTTGTCACAGGTATTAAGCCATTTTGGAATTTGCCACTTTTTTCTGGGTAACCTGTTTTAGTTTAGTTTACAGCATTTAGAAACAGAAGGTAACTTTATAGAAGTAACACCAATATCCTAGTCTGCTTGCCCCGAATATAACTAATAGTATTAGGATGTAAGCAATATTAAGATGGTTTTTATTATTTTTTATACACTGTGTGCTTTTACTTTTTATTTAAACTACAGCAAAAAACTGATTTTTTAACTAAAATTGAATGGCGTTTATCTTAATGACCAGTTATTGACCAAAGTGTACTCAGAAGATGTTATTATGTCCCAATCTAAGGAATCCTTTAATTTGGGGATTAATTTTACTTACACATGCCATTTCAGTTTCAGTTGCCTCATTCTATTACATCATTCTTGTCAAGTCTAAGCTTTATCATGTCTGAATTCTTTTAACACTGAATCTGTGATGTAAAAATGTATGATGTGCCATAAATTTTATTCATAATAAACTAAGTTATAGCCTATTGTAATCTGTAAAACATTTCTTGTAAATTACCTAATTTATTTTTTCATTTATGTACAGTATCTTATGTAAATTTGAAAAATGTTTGCCATGGCGCATTCTGTAAACATTCCCGTATTCTTTTCCTTAATGCTTATTTGCATGAAGGTAACTTGGGTTTTGCTTGTTTGTATTGGATAACCATTAAGCCAACTTCAGTTTCTCTGCCTTTTTTTCTGTAGTTTAACCATTTCTAATTTTGTTCATATTCTAAATAGATGTTAGAATCATACTTTTTATTTTCTACTTTCTAAATAAATTATCTAAGTTGTTTACTATGTGTGCCTTTTTATTATTTAACTTACATATTCCCACATTTTCACTGTGATTAAATGCAAGGTTGTGGTTAGTTCTGTGAGAGCAAGAACTTTGTAAAGTCTTGTTCACCTCTAGATCCCCAGTACCTGGCACAGAGAAGGCATTGATGAAATTCAGGGCTTGCATTTATTAAGATGTGAAAACTTGCCCCCCTGAGACCATGTTATCCTGCATCAGAAATGAATGTTGTTGGCTTTTTGGTTTTGGGTTTGTTTTTGTTTTTGTTTTTATATATAGTCTCTTTGTTGACTGAGCTGGCGTGTAGTAGTGCAGTCATAGCTCACTGCAGCCTCAGCCTCCCAACTAGCTGAGACTACAGGCATGCACCACCATGCCTGGCTATGGTTTTGTTTGTTGGTTAGGTGTTTGTTTCATTTTGTTTGTGTGGTGTGTGTGTGTGTGTGTGTGTGTGTGTGTGTAAATGGGGTTTCGCCATGTTGTCCAGGCTGTTCTCAAACTCCTGGGCTCAAGTGATCCACCCACCTTGGCATCCCAAAGTGTTGGGATTACAGGCTTTATGGAGTATGTGAGATGTTTTGATACAAGCATGCATGTGAATTAAGCACATCATGGAGAATGGAGTATCCATCGCCTGTTAAGTTTGTTTAAAAAAATCATCTTAATATGTGAGGCAGTAAGTTGGAAACTTGATGGCTGTGTTTTCAAATTGTATGATTGTCGTGGCTCCAGGCATAGTTTTCAAATCATATTATTGTCTTTACTTGGAGCGTAGAGGAATAGTTGAAAACGTGAACATGACTACCATGTGACATGTGAAGTACATATCTTTTATTTAAAAAAAATTAGCAAGAACTAGGATGAAAAAAATCTAAGATCTGGACTAAAGGAGAACATGATGCAGTATGGAAGAGATTTGAGGTGTAGTTTAGCTATTCAAATGTAGGAAGTACTGCTGTCGCAAGCACTTAGAAATAAGCTCCTAAAGAGCATACATTCAAGGCTACACACTTAAGTCTTTCATTTAAATAAACTTTCCAAGGAGGGAAAAGTCTGTACTGGAGTCAATACACAGTGCTATATAAATTTTGAAAGTGGCCAGGAGCAGTAGCTCACACCTACAATCCCAGCACTTTGGGAAACCAAGGCAGGTGGATCACTTGAGGCCAGGAATTCGAGACCAGCCTGGCCAATGTGGCAAAACCCCATCTTTACTAAAATTACAAAAGTTAGCTGGGTGTGGTGGTGCACACCTGTAGTTCCAGCTACTGGGGAGGCTGAGGCATGAGAATTGCTTGAACCCAGGAGGTGGAGGTTGCAGTGAGCCAAGATCGTGCCACTGCTCTCCAACCTGGGCGACAGAGCGAAACTCTGTCTCGAAAAAAATAAATTTTGAAAGCAGGATGTCTACTTTCTATGATATAGTCCTTAATGAGTGTATTGTGTACTGAACAAACTTTAATATTTCTGCATTTAAAAATCTATTGATCATTTTCTATGGTAATACTATAAGTTCCTATTTTAAGATATTCCTATACATCTGGTTTTGGTGGGTGGAGAGGAGTTTAAGATTTGACTTTTTCCCTAAAGTAAACCTGGAAAACCTGACTAGCTTCTGGAACTTTACATCCTTTTCATAGAAAATTGGTACTTTCTGATAGTTTTTAATGTTACCCAGAGGTTAACAATACCCCAAAAGTGCAGTTGACCATATGTTTAGGTAAGTAAGTGCTTATCCCCAGCCAGGGCTTTAAACATAACCTTTACAGTTTCTGGAAACAGTAGCAAAAATTACCAAAACTATGAAGGCATATTCTTTTTGATTTAAGCCCATTTTCCTCATTTTCTTCTAGCAAGAGTTTGGAGTCCAGCCAACCCAGATTTCTTTGAAAACAAAAAAACACAAAACATTAAATGATACCACTAAAAGAATTCAAGCACCTGGCCAGGCGCAGTGGCTGACTCCTGTAATCCCAACACTTTGGGAGGCCCAGGCGGGTGAATCACGAAGTCGGGAGATCAAGACCGTCCCGGCTAACACGGTGAAACCCTGTCTCTACTGAAAATACAAAAAAATTAGCCAGGCGTGGTGGTGGGCACCTGTAGTCCCAGCTACTTGGGAGGCTGAGGCAGGAGAATGGCATGAACCCGGGAGGCGGAGCTTGCACTGAGCCTAGATCTGTGCCACCGCACTCCAGTTTGGGTGACCGAGCGAGACTCCATCTCAAAAAAAAAAAAGAATTCAAGCAGCTGAACTTGAAAAAAGTAACTTGGCCCTCCATATCTGTGAGTTACACATCTACAGATTCAGCCAACTGTGAATTGAAAACATTTGAAACAAAAAATAATACAACAATAAAAATAATATATGGAAGCTTGATGAGAACACCTGGACACAAAGGAGAATGACAGAAACTGGGGCCTACTTGAGGGTGGAAGCTGGGAGGAGGGAGAGGATCAGAAAAATATCTATTGGGTACTAGGCCTAGTACCTGGGTGATGAAATAATCTGTACAATAAACTCCTGTAACATGAGTTAATCTGTATAACCTGCACATGCACCCTGGAACCTAAAATAAAAGTTTAAAAAATAATGCAAGTAAAAAATACAGTATAACAGCTATTTGCAATGTATTAGGTATTAAAAATAAGGATAATTTAAAGTATATAGGAGTTCCCTAGCAAGCAGACTCAGAAGGGGAAAAAAACCATATAGGAGGATGTGTAGGTTATATACAAATACTACGCACTTTATATAATGGACTTGAGCATTCATGAATTTTGGTATCTGCAGAAGTTCCTGGAACCAATCTTCCATGGATAGAGAGACAATTGCACGTCATATAGCAGCTTTTTTAGTTGTCTCATTTTGACAGTTTGAATAAAATATTCTGACACCTTGTGTTTTCAGATTTCCTAAAGCACCTTTGCAGGTTTTCGGGACAAACCTGCAAAGTTTATTACTTCAAAAATGATTTCAGTGAATTTGTAATTAATCTTGCTGATTTTGGTTTAGTTTTGGGTTTGGACCTATTTATAATCAATTTTATTGAGGTATGGCTTATACATTAATATTCTAACTGTACATTTAAATAAGTTTGATAAATGTGTACACCCATGTAACCACCACTCCAAGGTATTTGCATCATTCCAAAAAGTTCCCTTCCTCCATCTTAGTCAGTCCCCTCCCATCCCCATCTGTAAGCAGCCACTGATTCGCTCTAGATAAAATTTGTCTTTTCTAGAGTTTTTATGTAGATATGTAGACTACATAAAAAGTCTTATGTAGACTAGATAAAATTTGTCTTTTCTAGAGTTTTTATGTAAATGGACCAATACAGTAGATATTCCCAATCTCTCTTTCTCTCCCAGCCCTAGACTTCATAGAGCTACTGTCTACTTTCTGTCCCTATAGATTTGCTGTGTTGTGTACTCTTGGGTCTGCTTCCTCTCAGCATAATGGTTTTGAGGTTAATCTATATTGTTATCAGTACTTCATTCCTTTTTACTGCTCATTAATAGTCCATTGGATGAATATACTACAATTTGTTTATCCATTCGCTTGTACATTTACATGCAAGTCTTTGGGTGGACCTATGTTTTTATCTGGGATAAATAGTGAAATTGCTGGATTGTATGGTAACTCTGTAAGAAAATGGAAAACAGTTTCCAAGAGGTTCCATTTTACATTCACTCCAGCAGTGTCTGAGAGTTCCACTTGCTCTGAATCCATGTCAACAATTGGTATTGTCCGTCTTTTAAATTGTGGCCATTCTTACCTGTGTGTCATATGGTCTGTCTGTGCTTTTAATTTGTGTCTCCTTGATTACTGATGACATTGAGCATCTTTTCAGATCCTTATTGGCCTTTCATATATATCTTCTTTTATAAAGACAAAATCTTTTGCCCATTTTTCATTGAGTTGTCTTGTTACTGACTTGTAAGAGTTCTTCATATATTCTAGTTAGAAGTCCTTTGTTGGATATATATTTGAATAGTTTCTCCAAATTTATGGCTTATCTGTTTATTTTCTTAATACTATTTTGAGGAACAGAGCTTCATCTTGTTGAAGTCCAGCTTCTTATGCTTACACTTTTTGTGTCCTAAGAAATCTTCGCCTAATCAAGATCATGGATATTTTCTCCTGTTTTATTCTAGGCAATTTGTAGTTTTAATTTTTATCTTTCAGCCTATAATCAATCAATCTTTGTGTATGGTATGAGGTAAGGGTTCAGGGTTTTTGTTTTGTTTTGTTTTGTTTTTTTGCATGTGGATTTACGGTTGTTTCAGTATCATTTGTTGAAAGTATCCCTTCTTTTTGGTTGTGTGGGTCCAGGAGCTGGAGGAAGACAGGGAGGAAACCTGTGGGTGTGGTGGATGTATTCATTACACTGTGATACTTTCATATGGGCGGGTATATATAGCAGAACTCATCAAATTGTCCTTTTTTTTCTTTTTCTCTGTGGTCCAGGCTGGAGTGCAGTGGCGCTATCTCAGCTCACTGCAATCTCCGCCTCCCAGGTTCAAGCAATTCTTGTGCCTCTGCCTCCCAAGTAGCTGGGATTACAGGTGCCTGCCACCACGACGGGCTAATTTTTGTATTTTTAGTAGATAGGGGATTTTACCATGTTAGTCAGGCTGTCTCGAACTCCCGACCTAAGGTGATCCGCCCACCTCAGCCTCCTAAAGTGTTGGGATTATAGGCATGAGCCACGGCACCCAGCCCAATTGTCTTTTAAATATGTGTGGTGTATTGTACATTGATTATACCTCAATAAAGCTCTTCTACAAAGATACAAAATAAACATTTATACTTGTGTCAACAAATTCAATTCTCTTCTCACCCTGATTATGAAATTTATGGTTTGACCCATTCTAGGCAAGCAAGTCAAACTAAATTATTGACATTCTGTTTTTTCTTGGGTTCATTTCCAATATGCTATTTTATTTATTTATTTATTTAGAGACAAAAGTCTCTCTCTGTCACCCAGGATGGAGTGCTGTGGTGCGATCTCAGCTCACTGCTACCTCCGCCTCCCTGGTTCAAGCGATTCTCCTGCCTCAGCCTCCCGAGTAGCTGGGATTACAGATGCGCATCACCATGCCTGGCTAATTTTTTTTAAAATTATTATTATTATACTTTTTAAGTTTTAAGTTACATGTGCACAATGTGCAGGTTAGTTACATATGTATATGTGTGCCGTGCTGGTGTGCTGCACCCATTAACTCATCATTTAGCATTAGATATATCTCCTAATGCTATCCCTCCCCCCTCCCCCCACCCCACAACAGTCCCCAGAGTGTGATGTTCCCCTTCCTGTGTCCATGTGTTCTCATTGTTCAATTCCCATCTATGAGTGAGAACATGCGGTGTTTGGTTTTTTTGTCCTTGCAATAGTTTATGGAGAATGATGATTTCCAATTTCATCCATGTCCCTACAAAGGACATGAACTCATCATTTTTTATGGCTGCATAGTATTCCATGGTGTATATTTGCCACATTTTCTTAATCCAGTCTATCACTGTTGGACATTTGGGTTGGTTCCAAGTCTTTGCTATTGTGAATAGTGCCGCAATAAACATACGTGTGCATGAGTCTTTATAGCAGCATGATTTATAGTCCTTTGGGTATATACCCAGTAATGGGATGGCTGGGTCAAATGGTATCTAGAAAACCCCATCATCTCAGCCCAAAATCTCCTTAAGCTGATAAGCAACTTCAGCAAAGTCTCAGGATACAAAATCAATGCACAAAAATCACAAGCATTCTTATACACCAATAAAAGACAAACAGAGAGCCAAATCATGAGTGAACTCCCATTCACAATTGCTTCAAAGACAATAAAATACCTAGGAATCCAACTTACAAGGGACGTGAAGGACCTCTTCAAGGAGAACTACAAACCACTGCTCAATGAAATAAAAGAAGATACAAACAAATGGAAGAACATTCCATGCTCATGGGTAGGAAGAATCAATATCGTGAAGATGGCCATACTGCCCAAGGTAATTTATAGATTCAATGCCATCCCCATCAAGCTACCAATGACTTTCTTCAGAGAATTGGAAAAAACTACTTTAAAGTTCACGTGGAACCAAAAAAGAGCCCACATCACCAAGTCAATCCTAAGCCAAAAGAACAAAGCTGGAGGCATCACGCTACCTGACTTCAAACTATACTACAAGGCTACAGTAACGAAAACAGCATGATACTGGTACCAAAACAGAGATATAGATCAATGGAACAGAACAGAGTCCTCAGAAATAATGCCGCATATCTACAACTATCTGATCTTTGACAAACCTGAGAAAAACAAGCAATGGGGAAAGGATTCCCTATTTAATAAATGGTGCTGGGAAAACTGGCTAGCCATATGTAGAAAGCTGAAACTGGATCCCTTCCTTACACCTTATACAAAAATTAATTCAAGATGGATTAAAGACTTAAACATTAGACCTAAAACCATAAAAACCCTAGAAGAAAACCTAGGCATTACCATTCAGGACATAGGCATGGGCAAGGATTTCATGTCTAAAACACCAAAAGCAATGGCAACAAAAGCCAAAATTGACAAATGGGATCTAATTAAACTAAAGAGCTTCTGCACAGCAAAAGAAACTACCATCAGAGTGAACAGGCAACCTACAAAATGGGAGAAAATTTTCACAACCTACTCATCTGACAAAGGGCTAATATCCAGAATCTACAGTGAACTCAAACAAATTTACAAGAAAAAAAACAAACAACCCCATCAAAAAGTGGGCAAAGGATATGAACAGACACTTCTCAGAAGAAGACATTTATGCAGCCAAAAGACACATGAAAAAATGCTCATCATCACTGGCCATCAGAGAAATGCAAATCAAAACCACAATGAGATACCATCTCACACCAGTTAGAATGGCAATCATTAAAAAGTCAGGAAACAACAGGTGCTGGAGAGGATGTGGAGAAATAGGAACACTTTTACACTGTTGGTGGGACTGTAAACTAGTTCAACCATTGTGGAAGTCAGTGTGGCGATTCCTCAGGGATCTAGAACTAGAAATGCCTGGCTAATTTTTGTATTTTTAATAGAGACACGGTTTTGCCATGTGGGCCAAGCTGGTCTCGAACTCCTGACCTCAAGTGATCTGCCTGCCTTGGCCTCCCAAAGTGCTGGGATTACAGGCGTGAGCCACCGTGCCTAGCTCTATAATGCTACTTTAGTCTAAACTCTTCTCAATGTCGTGAAGAAAAAATGGCCATCCTGAATCTTTTTTTTTTTTTTTTTTTGAAACAGGGTCTCATTCTTTCACCCAGGCTAGATTGCAGTGGCACGGTATCATGATTCACTGCAGCCTCAAACTCCCAGGCTCAAGCTGTCCTTCCACCTCAGCCTCCTGAGTATCTGGGACCATAGTTACGCACCACCATATGCAGCTAATTTTTTAAATTTACTTTTTGCAGAAATAGGGTTTCCCTATGTGACTCAGGCTGGTCTCAAACTCCTGGGCTCAAGTGATCTGCCCATCTTGTCCTCCCAAAGTGTTGGGATTACAGGCATGAGCCACCACGTCCGGCCCTGAATCTTTTTTTAAGAGACAGAGTCTCACTATATTGTCCAGGCTGGCCTCCCAACTCCTGAGCTCAAGCGATCCTCTCACCTCAGCCTTCCAACTAGCTGGGACTACAGGCATGCCCCACCACACCCAGCTATCCTGAATCTTAAAAAGACTCTTATCGTCTAAGAGCAAACTTCAAATTAGAGGTGCCCTAGGATTTTTCACATATCAAGAGCCAGTGACCAGCCAAACTTGGGAACAGAGAATCCAAGAGTTAGCAGGAATCTCACAGACTGCTGAATCAAACTCAAGATTTGTTTATAGGGAGGACAAAAAGTCCAGAGAAGTCAACTAGATTGTCCTAGATCACACAGCAAGTTATTAAGAGAACCAAAACTCAACCCTAGGTGTCCTCACCTCCATCCCAGTGCTTTTTTTTAATACCCTCTTTGTATTGGACAAATGGCATATGGCACCAGAATGTTATCCAAATAAATAATTTGGAACTGGGCGCAGTGGCTTACACTTGTAATTCCAGCTTTTTGGGAGACCAAGGCAGGAGGATTGCTTGAGCCCAGGATTTCAAGACCACCCAGGGCAATATAGTGAGACCTTGTCTACAAAAAATTTAAAAATTAGCTGGTGATGCCTGCCTGTGGTCCCAGCTACTAGGGAGGCTGAGGTGGGAGGATCATTTGAACCCAGGAGGCATAGGTTGCAGTGAGCCCAGATTGCACCACTGTACTTCAGCCTGGGCAGCAGAACAAGACCCTGTCTCAGAAATAATAATAATAATAAATTTTGTTATAACAAGAAAGAGCAATCAATACAGAAAAAGCAGGACAATTTAAATGTGGAAAAAACCAGAAAGATGAAAATATTAATGGGCCAAACTTGCCAGTTAGAGGAGTGTGAGATTTGAGTTTAAAAGGAAAACAACTTCTAGGCCAGGCACAGTGGTTCATGCCTATAATCCCAGTGCTTTGGGAGGTCAAAGCAGGAGGACCACTTGAGGCTGGGAATTCAAGAGCTACACAGGCAACATAGCAAGACCTTGTCTCAAAAAAAAAAAAAAAAATTAGCTGGGTGTGGTGGCACATACCTGTAGTCCCCAGCACTTTGGGAGGCCAAGCCAGGCAGATCACTTGAGGTCAGGAGTTTGAGACCAGCCTGGCCAACATGGCAAAACCCCATGTCTACTAAAAATACAAAAATCAGCTGGGCATGGTGGTGCATGTCTGTAATCCCAGCTACTCAGGAGGCTTAGGCACGAGAACCACTTGATCCAGGGTGGAGGATGCACTGAGCCGAGATCACACCACTGCACTCCAGCCTGGGTGACAGAACAAGACCCTGTCTCAAAAAAACAAAACAAAACAAAAATATTCTGGAGCATGAGTTCAAATCCTACTCTGACATAATTACTAGGCATAAAGTCTCAGACAAATTCTTAACCTGTGCCTTACCACATGCAAAATGAGGCTAATAATAGTATCTTCTGATGGTGGTCATTCATGTTCAGCACGGATTTCAATAAACCGCTTTTTAGCTACATGGTAGGATTGTGCTTGCTGGCTCCCTTGCAGTTGAGAGGGTGGGTTCATAGGATTAGCTCTGGCCAACTAGTGAGTGAGAGTTGTGTTTGGAAGTGGTGCATGCTACTTTTTGGCTGGAGCACTTAGTCACCTATTTGATACCCTCCAGAGCCCTCTTTTCCTGCTAATAGAAGCCAGCAGCCTTTGAGATAGTGGCTGCTCTGTCAGCCTGGATCCCTAAGTGACAAAAATTAGCAAAGCTCCTTTCTCCTCACTCCCTCACCACATTAATGAAGGTGGAGTATAAGGAAGAAAACAAACTGTTTTTTTACACCACAGATTTAGGGGTTTGTTACCCCAGCATAACCTGGCCTATCCCAACTGATACAGAAGTTGATACCAGAGATGGAATGCCACTGAAGAACAAAAACCTAAACTATGTGGCATTGGATTAGAGGCTGGCAGCAGGTGGCAAAGAAGGTGTTTTCAGAGGCTAGAAGGATGCTGTTCATTTAGGAAGAGGTGAACCTGATGACATGATACCTTGGAAGGTAGGTCATGAACCAATGAACCTGTGGCATTAAGAGAAGCTGGCAAACATTGTTAGTAGCTGGTATTGGCAGCTTTGTTTCCATTTGATGATTTTCTCCAAGAAAGAGGTAGGTTCGGGAAAGGACTGGCCAGTTTGCAAGCAAAAATGAAGGGAAAGAGGGATAAGTGTAATGTAAGGAAGTGATTATAATGATGGACCATGAAATCTCAGCCAGGCGAGGAGGGAAATGAGGACAATGGGAATTTATTGAAGGGATGGTGAAAAGATGGTGGATTGGTGGATCGAAGTCCTCATGGGTTAAGTAACTGTTGGATTTGGGGTTCCCAGAGGCAGTGAGATGGAAAGATGAGTGGGAAGGAAGGACTTTTGGGTGGGAGAAGACTAAAATCACATGAAGAGGTAAGAAAGACAGTGTTTTCCATCAAAACTACTTCAGGTTCTTCCTCAGCTCTTGTCCAATGTTTCTGGAAGCCTTCCTGTGTGGCCCAGATTAAAAAAAACAACAACAAAAACTGCCAAACACAATGGCTATTACAAGCAGCTAGAATTCTTGCATTGTGTTTTCAGGCACCTGAGTCCTCCAGGCAGGAAGCAGAGGCTCGGCTGGAGGCAGTGGGATGGGAAGGATGATAGGTGTGTCCTGAGCAGTAGACATGCGGCTTGGTGGTCACCAGGGGATGGAAGAGGCAAACATGAGAAATAAGTGAAAAGTGCGAAGGCAAGATTTAGAGAGAAGTTCATAAAATGCTTTTGCTCAAGAGACCAAAAAACCAACTGAAGTACTGGGAGCCTGTACTTACAGTCTGTAGAAGGTAAACCCCAAGGGCTCCGGCTCCTGGCCAGCACCTATGTGTGATGTTTTTAGGCCGGACCAAAGGCTTTCCCTGGCAGTCCTCAGGAGGACCCTGGTGCACTGCAGTCTCTGAAGGGAGTTGCAGTCAAGGACTCAGTCCCCTCCCCTGCTCATGCTCTGCATCTTCGTTTCTGGGTCCCACTATCCGAGGCCTTGGGCATAGGCCATCAAGAGGGCAAAAGCCTGAAGATGCTGTTCCCCACTAACTCAGTACTTCTCTGCTCCTACCCCTTCCTCCTCACCCTCCTCACCTCAGGGCCCAAGAAACTGCCAGTCTTTCGTTGGGGGCTCCTTCAATACTGAGACAACCCTGACTGGGCTGATCGACTTGGCCCTTGCCGGGTGCGCCATTCCACGGGGGAAAATGGAACGGGCAATCAGTGCTTTCTCTATTTCAGTCTCTTGCTTATACTATCACAGTGACTGCAGACTTAATACTTGCATTTTGAGCTCCTGGCTTCACTGGTGCCTCTGTTGCCTGTCAGCTCAGCTCTCTCTCTAACAAACATCCTCAGCATGCAGTGTGCAGTCAGGTGACCAAAGAACAGGAGTAGCAAGAACTTTGTTTTTAGGCCCTGACTTCAATCATTGGCCTTGGTGGAATCTCTGGGAGCATCCTCTGTTGTCAAAGAGGCCCCAAGTACCAGCAGGCACCGCAGAAATGCTCAGCTGTTGTCTTCCAGTTATTCAAAATACCATCCTAAATCTGCCTTTCCCAGCTGATGACAAAAATGATACAGCATTTTCAATAGTGGGCCTCAGTCCTGGCTGTACCTTAGAATCACGTGGGGAGCTTATAAAAATACCAATGCCAGGCCTTTCCCTAGAGCATCTGATTGTAATTTCACTGACTTAGACCAGAGATGCAATTCTGCTCCAGAAATCTCAGCTCTCCCGCCCTCCAGCTACACTACCTTGACTGACTGACATCACCTAGAATTCTGAGCCTCAGTTTCCTCATCAGTGATACAGGGATGATAACACTTGCCTCCTGGGGGTGCTGTGCGTGCGGATTCAGTGAAAGAAGGTGCATGGAAGCACCCCGCATGCAGTGTCTTCATCAAGAATACTAACCAAGAGCTGTAATGTCAGAAGGAGCTTCCTGTGAGTCGATGGGCCTGGAAGGACTCCTGGGAAGGGGTAGACTTTGCATCTTCATAGAGGAATGCTGAGACTGGATGGGTGGACAGGCAAAGGGGACACTCTTAGTCATTGGCAACTGGGCCCCTGTGCTGGGCCCCTGTTCTGGGCCCAGCACTTTTTTTTTTTTCTTTTGAGACAGAGTCTCACTCTGTAGCCCAAGCTGGAGTGCAGTGGCACAATCTCGGCTCACTGCAACCTCCACCTCCCAGGCTCAAGGGATTCTCATGCCTCAGCCTCCCGAGTAGCTGGGACTACAGGCACGCACCACCATGCCCAGCTAATTTTTTGTATTTTAGTAGAGACGGGGTTTTGCCATGTTGCCCAGAGTGGTCATGAACTCCTGAGCTCAGGCGATCTGCCCACCTCTGTCTCCCAAAGTGCTGGGATTACAGGCATGAGCCACCGTACCTGGCCTCCTGCACTTTAAAAGACTGCACTCTGGCCAGGCACGGTGGGTCATGCCTGTAATTCCAGCACTTTGGGAGGCCGAGGCGGGTGGATCACCTGAGGTCAGGAGTTTGAGACCAGCCTGACCAACATGGAGAAACCCCATCTCCGCTAAAAATACAAAATTAGCCAGGTGTGGTGGCACATGCCTGTAATCCCAGCTACTAGGGAGGCTGAGGCAGGAGAATCTCTTGAACCTGGGAGGTGAAGGTTGCGGTGAGCCGAGATCATGCCATTGCACTCCAGCCTGGGCAACAAGAGCGAAACTCCGTCTCAAAAAAAAAAAAAAAAAAGAAAGAAAGAAAGAAAGACTGCACTCTGGCCTTCCTCTGTCTGTTCCTTGTCCTGTGAGGCAAGGAGTCCATAGGGACCAAGTGCCATGCCCCCCAGAAGCCACATCTCTCACCTTCTGGATTATGCATCAGGCACTCAGAACTCTGCCTGAACAATGCAAGCCCTATTCCAGTCCTCCTCCCCAGGCTGGTCCCCCAGAGAGACCCTGCTCCCAGCTTGCAACTCTAGTCCCAAGGAGTGGCTTCAAGGAGGCTGTTTGAAGGGCCTGGGTACGGATCCTGGACTGGAGGGCTGAGTATCTACAGCAGTGTGCATGAGGCCCCTCCAGGGGTGGGAACCAGGAGTGGGAAGAGAAAGGGGAAGCCATGGGCCAGGGTCCTTACAAATGCTCTTGCTCCCTGCCACACAAATGCTAGGGGCAGCTCTGACACCAGTGTTCATTTTGCAGCAATTCATCAAGTGGAATGTTAGTGTCGGCACTTTCTGGAATGTTTGTTTTTGTTATTAATTTAAAAATCATGAGGCCGGGCACGGTGGCTCATGTCTGTAATCCCAGCAGTTTGGAAGGCTGAGGTGGGTGGATCTCTTTAGGTCAGGAGTTCGAGACCAGCCTGGCCAACATGGTGAAACCCTGTCTCTACTAAAAAAATACAAAAATTAGGTTGGGGATGGTGGTGGGTGCCTGTAGTCCCAGCTACTTGGGAGGCTGAGGCAGGAGAATCACTTGAACCTGGGAGGAGGAGGTTGCAGTGAACTGAGATTGTGCTACTGCACTCCAGCCTGGGTGACAGAGCGAAACCCCTGTCGCAAAAAAAAAAAAAAAAAAGTCGTACTTCTAAAGATCAAAGAAATACTGAGTTTTCTGCCTGGGACATGATAAGTGCTTGATAAATATTAGAGTAGCAGTATCCAATGTAGTGCTCACCATAGCTCAGATGAGCCAGAACATCTTGCTTAATGCAGGGTTGGCAGGGGAAAGTGCTAATTAATGGAACATGGTTTCTTCTTCCCATTTAAAACAGCCTCTTTTGGATAAAGCTTCATTCCCTCGGATCTTCTCCTGCCCCATTCTTTTTCCCTTCACCTCAGGAGGCATCTGAGCGAGGGAGAAGCTGGCAGACATCATGGTGCTGGTGGATGGGAGTTCTATTCCGCCTGTTCTCTGAGGCTTCTGCTGACGCTGTGGACACATGGCCCCTCTTGCCTGGCCTTTGAGCACCAGCCTCCACCCTCGCTGCCTCTGCTGCAGAGGTGACTGCAGCCAGGCACTCACTGATGCTTGGGTTGAGTCCTCTCCCGTGGCCCAGGATGGAGCCGCTGACTCTGAAACTCAGTGGCAAGCTCCCCCCAGCTCCCAGCACAGGGCAGTCCCCTCAGAAGACTTGCTAAGTGTGTTCCCCACCCCCTCGACTCCAAGGCAACCCCTGGCATTTATGTAAACTTTTATTTATTTACTTATTTATTCTGAGACAGTGTCTCGCTCTGTTGCCCAGGCTGGAGTGCAGTGGTGTGATCACAGCTCACTGCAACCTCGACAGTGTCTCGCTCTGTTGCCCAGGCTGGAGTGCAGTGGTGTGATCACAGCTCACTGCAACCTCGACTGTGTCTTGCTCTGTTGCCCAGGCTGGAGTGTAGTGGTGTGATCACAGCTCACTGCAACCTCCACTTTCCTGGGTTCCAGCGATTCTCCTGCCTCAGCCTCCCTAAGTGCTGGGATTACAGGCCTGAACACTGTGCTGGGCCCGTTTTAAACTTTTTTTTTTTTTTTTTTTTAAGAGACGGAGTCTCACTCTGTCACCCAGGCTGGAGTGCAGTGGTGCATTCTCGGCTCATTGCAACCTCTGCCTCCTAGGTTCAAGCAATTCTCCTGCCTCAGCCTCCCAAGTAGCTGGGACTACAGGTGCACGCCGCCATGCCCAGCTAATTTCTTTTCTATTTTAGTAGAGATGGGGTTTTATTGTGTTGCCCAGGCTGGTCTTGAACTCCTGAGCGCAGACAATCTGCCCGTTTCAGCCTCCCAAAGTTGTAGGATTACAGGGGTGAGCCACCACGCCCGGTCTTAAACTTAATTCTCAGCCACCTTATTATTCTCTATTGACAGTAAGAGGTGGGGGGAAAAAAACAGGCAGAGCACTTAGTGCCAGGCTGTTGGCAGGTATTTTCACATTAAACACTGGTCTCCTCAGCCAAAGCTCACAATCCAGTAAGACAGTCATTTTAGCTGAACATTCTCATCTAACCCTAGGGTTATGCACCGAATTGTGTCCCAGAAAATTCACAAATTGAAGCCCCAATCCCCAGTGTTACTATATTTGGGGATAGGGCCCTAAGGAGGTAATTAAGGTTAAAAGAGGTCCTAAGAGTAGGATCCTAATCCAGCAGGATTGGTATCCTTCTAAACAGGGGAAGAAACACCAAAGAGCTCTCTCTTTCTCACTGTGTGTGAACAGAGGAAAGGCCACATATATGACACAGCAAGAAGGTGGCCGATTACAAGCCAGGAAGAGAGTCCTCACCAGAAACTGAATTCCAGCACCTTGATATTGGACTTCTAGCCTCCATCCAGAATAGTGAGAAAATGAGTATCTGTTGTTTAAGCCACCTAGCATGTAGTATTTTGTTACAACAGCCTGAGAAGACTAATATACCTAGAGACCCAAATGTAAAGGCTTCTTGGAACCCAAGCTGATAGTCACTGAAGCATTCCTGGCTCTGAGCAGGTCTGTTAACCAGGGTCACTGCTACTTCTAGGTTTCTTGGGACCCAAGGCCCACTGGAGTTACAGTCCGATAATTTTTTTTTTTTTTTTTAGACAGAGTCTCGCAGTGACATGATCTCAGCTCACTGGAACCTCCACCTCCCAGGTTCAAACGATTCTTCTGCCTCGGCCTCCCAAGAAGTTAGGATTACAGTTGCCCGCCACCAGCTATTTTTTGTATTTTTAGTAGAGATGGGGTTTCATATGTTGACCAGGCTAGTCTCGACTCAAGGACTCAAGTTATCCATGTGCCTTGGCCTCCCAAAGTGCTGGGATCACAGGCATGAGCCACTGTGCCCAGACTATAGTCCCATTCTTTTCCCTGCCATCATCCTCTAAAACCAGGTTCCAGCTCCCTTCCTGTATTCCCTTGGCCCTTATTCCTATATTTTTCCTGGTACTCACCATGTCATTCCATTGGCTCAGGAACTCATCTGCAATGCAGGGAAATTCTTCAGGAGATTGTTTTGTTGCCATTTCCTCATGAATGGTTCCCTCTTTGAGAAGCTTCAGACATGACTTTAAATTTCACTTGCGGCAGGAGGGGCAGGGAATGGGAGTTCCCATGCCAAGGAAGGAGGTAGAGTTTCCCCTGCTTCATCCCCCATGCTGGGGGGAAAAACCTTTAAGGAGCAATCAAGAGCTCCTTTATGGAGCCCATCTGGCTCTGAGGAGGGGCTGGGTCATGGGCCTCAGCTGCTGCAGAGCCCCTCCCTCCTGAGTACCCAGCTGCTTCTGTCTTCCCCTAGTGAGGAAACAGTTCCTGTTCCCAGGGAGTCCACCCCAGCCTCAGGGCTTCATCACAGCAACTAATAAATTAGCCTAGGATTGGAGAGAGGGCTTTTCAAGGCAACAGAACCAGCACAGACTTCAGTGAAAATGACATAGGTTTTGGAGTCAGACTAACAAAGCTGTGATTTCTGGCTGTGAGCCTTTCTGGGGGATCTTAAACCAGGCACTTTCATCTCTGAACTGCAGTGTTCTTATATGCTAAATAGGAAAAGTGATCCTGGCTTTGCAGGGTTGTAATGAAGATTTCCATTGTTTATGGAAATAGACATGTACGGCATTCACTCTCTTCTTCCTGAGTCAGTCTTGCTGATACATCTGAACTGTAATTCCCTTTCTGAATTTTGGGGTGGCGTAGGATGGGGGAGTGGTGAAAGAGTGGCAGCCTTTTCAAAAGTCTGATTTGGACCAGGTGCCATAGCTCACGCCTCTAATCCCAGTGTGGGAGTCTGAGGCAGGAGGATTTCTTGAAGCAAGGAGTTCAAGACCAGCCTCGGCAACAAAGCGAGACACTGTTTCTCCACAAACATTTTTTTTTTAAATTAGCCAGGTGTGGTAGGCTGAGGCAGGAAGATCACTTAAGCCTAGGAGTTCAAGGCTGCAGTGAGCCATGATTGCGCCACTGCATTCCAGCCTTGGCGACAGAGCAAGACCTGTCTCAAATAAAATAAATAAAATAAAACAAAAATAAAAAGTCTGATTTATCCTTTGTTGTTGTTCAAGAAGTATGCCCTCAGAAAAAGCAGACTAACCACAATTGCTGCCCAAGCACATCTTTAGAAAGGCAAATCCACCCTCCAAATGATACATTAGTGAGCAATCATTCAAAGACTAAATGTTGATGTGGGTCTTTTTGGCAGTTGGGAGTGTGTATGCATGCATGCATGAATGAATGAAAAGTCTGGCTTGGAGGGATTTACTGGGCCTTTGGGGCATTCTCAGCTTTCCTCGGATTACCCACTCTCCCTTCCCTTTGGGCTGCTTTGGAGAGAGACTGCGAGGTACTGAGACCAGCAACTTGGGAAGTGCAGGACATGCCTTGCAAAGACAGATACTTTCTGGGAGTAATTTGTCTGCCTGTTCTGCAGACACTTGGTGATACCACTTTGGGTATGTTATGCCCTGTAGTAGAGACAGTCTGCTAGCTAGACCCACATCTGCCCCGCATCTTGTTTTGCTATTGTGAAACCAAACAAAGGGGTAGCCCGGGGGGGACAGGGGAGGGCGAAAGAACACAATAAGGTCACAGGGCCCTGCTCTAAGTGTGTCCCTGTGCACATGCCATAGGGGTTGGGGACCAGAGACAAGATCCCCCTGGTGCTGAGGAAACAGCAATGGATTTAGAGCCCCGAAGACTGGCATTTAAGTTCTACCTCCTTACTGGCTATGTACGTTTGGGCAAAATAGTTTACCTTCAGAAGCCCTGTTGCTTCACATGTAATATGCAAGTGCTAACAAAGCCATCTCAGGGCTGGTGTGAGGAATAAATTTAACATTTATTTATTATTCACTTTAACAGTGAATGCAAAAGGGCTTAGTTGAAGAGTAAAATACTAAAAACCTATTGTGGTTAAGACTTTGGCTGTGAGTCAGATGATTGGTGTGTTTGACTATATTATTGTCCACCAACATTCAGTGTTTTTCCCGAGTCAGGCTGGGTCATGTGACTTGGCCAAATGTGAGCAGAAGTGCCCCATCAGTTCCAAGGGGACATTTAAAAGCTTTTATTAGCAATTCCGCAGCTCTCTTTCCTCTGCCCTAGGGATGGGGGGAGCATGTGTGAAAATGGGGCCCTGGGGAGTTGGAGACCTGAGTGATTAGAATGAGCACAGCTCCCAGGCTACTGCTGGATGGGCCCCTTATACCAGCCGGTTTAGGCCACTGGGATTTGGGGGTTGATTGTTACTGCAGCAAAACCTAGCCTGGCATCACCATACAGATAGGTGCCGTTTCTTTATGCAGTTTAATAGAAAAACAACAAAACAAAACACTCACAAAGAAAACACACAGAAAATAATAGCAAACACAACGCAGCCTTGGGGAGATGGCAGGCGAGCCTGAGCTGGGTGCTATTTGCTGCTGCTCTTGGGAAGAGGTCGGTAGACCCCGACCACCACAGCGTGGTCCCGCTCATAGGGCTCCAGGGTCAGCTGCTCTTGAGGCTTCAAGTTCTCCTGCTGCAACTTCCTCACCTCAGAAGCAAACACAGCCTCGGCGGATGCGGTGGAGTCGATGCAGTTGGCCTTGATGGAGATGAGAAAGTGGCCCCCATTGCGCAGGAAGGTGTGGGCGTTCAGGGCCACGATGCGGGACTGGTCCGGCTGGGCCACGTCGGCGAAGATCACGTCCACCATCCCGATGAGCATGCGGTACTTGAGCGGGTGCCGCGCGTCCTCCAGGACCGGAATGATGTTGGTGCGCTTCTTGGCCACGTTGACCAGATCGCGGCCGGCGCGGTGGGAGAACTCGACGGCGTAGACCAGGCCGTCTGGGCCAATGATGTCGGAGACATGGGAGACGGTGGTGCCCGACGCGGCGCCCAGGTACAGCACCTTGGACTTGGGCTTGATGTGGATCTGGTCCACCCCGCCCAGGATGGCCGCGGCCAGCTTAGAGCGGAACGGGTTCCACGTGCGGTACTCCTGCTTCACGCCGCCCTCGGTCACCGTGACGCGCCTCTCGCCGTACACAGACTGGCCCGGCACCATGTTCAGCGTGACCAGCGCGTCCTCCGCCCCGCGGTAGATGAAGACGCCCTCGTGCCGGTGCGGCTCCACCGACACCACCATGGCGCCCTTCCTGCGGCGGCTCTTGCTCTTGGCCACGCCGCCCCGCCGCTGTCCACCGCCGCCGCGATCCTTGCCGTCGCCGCCGCCGCGCCCCCGGCCCCGGCCGCCCCCGCCGAAGCCGCGCGCCCGCGCCCCGAAGCCGCCCTTGCCCCCCTGGCCGCCGCCGTCGCCCCCGCCGCCCTTGCCCGCGCCGCCGCCGCCGCCTCGGCCCCCGCCCCAGCTGCCCCAGCCGCCGCCCCCGCGGCCGCCCCCACCGCCCCCGCGCGAGCTCGCGGCCGACTTCATGGCACGCACCGGGGCGGGTGCCGTGGGTTACCGGTGCCTCGGGGCGGGTGTCAGGGGGCTCTGGTGGCTCTGGGTGGTCGTCCCGGCGGTTGTCCGCGGGTTTAGCAGCGGAGGCGGGCGGCGGGCGGCGGGCGGCGGGGGCAGGACGGGCTCTACCGCAGTGCCCGCATCCCGGAGCCGCCCCTTGACGCAGCGGCTGTGGCGCGATTGCATCACACCCGTCCCCGCGACCCTGCGGCCCGGAAGCCCCGCTTCCCAGCCCGCGTGCAGACGCAGCCTGCTCCTCTTCGCTCACCCTGCCCCTTCCCCATCTCCCGCCTTCCCAGGGATCCCTGGCACTTCCCTGGGCCACAGGGACGGGGGCGTCTCTGCTGCAGGAGAGGGGGAGGTAAGCATCAGCGTCGGTCCTGGCTGTGCCACCAGTTCTGGGACTATTGATCAGCAAGGAAGTGTTGTTGATTCTTCAGTGTGAATGGGGATACACAGAGAGCCAAAATGTCATGTTCATCCTCGAAGTCTAGTCTATGCTTCAAAGTCACTCTCTAAATCTGCAGCATTTTCTTGAGGAAAGAAAGAAAAAGAGAAAAAGAAAGAAAGAGAGAGAAAGAAAAGAGAGAGAGGGAGAGGAGAAGAAAAGAAAAGAATAATTGGGCAGCACCAAGGGCAGCAACGAGAAGAAAAGAAAAAAAGAAAAGAACAGAAAGAAAATAAAAGAATAACTCGGCACCACCAATGGCCCCAAGGCCGCAACGCAGAGGCTTTAGGGTTTAGTCAGCACCAGGGACAGCGACAGCAGTTGGGGCCCCCGTTTTGGCTACTGCTAGGGGCTTTGGGAACCACACAAGAGCTGGGGAAAGTAGGATAGGTGGTGAAACAACTGGCCAGCCTCCCGTTAGTTGAATTAAGTGTCTACTCGAGAGAGAGAGAGAGAGAGACAACGCGCACCTGAAGATCGGAGCATTTACTGAACACCTGGTATGTGCAGTATGACTTCCGTTCCATCCTGGACCACAGCTCTTCCCGTCTCATACTCATGGACGACAGTGCCAGGTCTGATTTTCCCTGAGGACTGGAGTGTCTCCTTAATGGGGACCAGAGTTTTATACACTGGAATGTGAACAAGGGATCAGTGAGTGAAATGTATGATTCCTGAGGTTGAATGGTTCACATAAAATACTCTACTTAGAGGTTTCCATTCTTGCTATAAGGTGAATATTTTCCAAAATGATGAACTACACTTGGTGTCTGTGAGGGTTAATTTTATGTGTCAACTTTACTGGGCCATGGGATGCCCAGATATTTGGTCAAATAGTATTCTGAGTGTTTCTGTGAGGGTGTTTTTTGATGAGATTAACATTTAAATTGGTATATTGAGTAAAGCTGATTGCCGTCTACGATGTGGCTGGGCCTCATCTAATCAGTTGAAGGCAGAAATAAAGCAAAATGCTGACCTTCCCCACGGAAGAGAGAATTCTCCTGCCCAAGGGCCTTTCAACTGGCACATCAGCTCTTTCTGCCTGACAACCTTTGGACTGGGACATTGGCCCTGCGGATTTTGGACCTGCTGGTCTCCACAATCACATGAGCCAATATATATCCTATATATACACACATATATATATCCTACAGGCCTGTGTCTTTGGAGAACCTTGAATAATAGAGATCCTGAGACAAAGCCTTGAGTCCAATTGGTTTGTGAGGTGATCCCAGGAAGCACATGTTGGGGAGGCAAAAATGAGATAGAGAAGATAGAAAGGTTAAGAAAGAACTGGGCACAGTGCCTCACACCTGTAATCCCAGCACTTTGGGAGGCCAAGGTGGGAGGATTGATTGAGCCCACGAGTTCAAGACCAGTCCTAGCATGATAGCAAGACCCTGTCTCTACAAAAATAAACAAGACTTAGCCAGGTGTCATGGTGTGTACCTGTAGTCACTGTAGTACCTGTAGTCACTGTAGTACCTGTAGTACCTCAGCTACTGAGGAGGCTGAGCTGGAGGGGTCGCTTGAGCCTGGGAGATCAAGGCTGCAGTGAGCTGAACTCACACCACTACACTCCAGCTTAGGTGACAGAGGGAGACCCTGTCTCAAAAAAAAAAAAAAAAAAAAAAAGAGGGTAGATTAATGAGTAGATGACCACAGTGGACAATGGGAGCTCAATTGCTGTGAGTATTCTGAGAAACTGTGTGGAAGGCATCTCAGAATTGTTCTACTGCAGGTTGGAGGCTGGGGCATTAATCCACTGTCTTAATTTGTTTCTATACCTGAGACTGGGTAATTTATAAAGAAAAGGGCTTTATTTTTTCTTTTTTTATTCTAAGATAGGGTATCACTCTGTCACCCAAGCTGAGTGCAGTGGCACAATCATGGCTATTGCAGCCTTGATCTCCCAGGCTCAAGCAATCCTCCCACCTCAGCCTCCTGAGTAGTTGGGACTACAGGTGTGTGCCACCACACCAGGCTAAAATTTTATTCTTTATAGAGATGGAGCCTCACTATGTTGCCCAGGCTTGTCTCAAACTCCTGGACTCAAGCAGTTCTCCTGTTTCAGTCTCCTAAAGTGCTGGGATTACAGGTGTGAGCCACAGTGGCCAGCCAGGTTTCTTTCTATATAGGTATAAACCATCATGCCTGGCAATTTTTTTTTTTTTTTTTTTTACTTTTTGTAGAGATGAGACCTCATTATGTTGCCCAAGCTGGTCTCCAACTCCTGGCCTCAAGCCATCCTCCTGCCTCAGCCTCCTGAGTTGCTGGAATTCTAGGCACAAGCCTCCACACTTGGCACCATGTATACTTTTGTTTACAATTGACTTGTTATTCCAGAAGATGTGCCCTAAAGTAATGATCATAATTACATCTGTGACTAGGCCTCAGTAGTAGACATAGTGCACATCAATCATTCCCATAGACTTAAAAAATGCATGAGGAATTTTGCTTATTTTCTCACAGAACCATTCCAACAAATTGCCCAAGGAGTAACTAGCCATGATTGACATGAAACCAGAGGTAATACTCTATAACCCCATCTCCATTCTCATTATACTTTAAGCATCCATGCATGAAGAAACTTGTTTTCTCTAAGCCATGGTCCACCTCCAAAGGTGACTGACTGTAGGGATCTGATCTCCACCCCAGTGACAGGTGCAGCTATATTTGCTCAAGAGGAGTTGGGCTATGATGCAGTAACATAGAACTCCAAAATCTCAATGTATTAATACAGCTATGTTTAGATTTCTTATGTTTTATGTCCACTGAGAGTCAGCGGGAGGTTTGCACCACACAGCCACTGAAGAACTCAGGCCCCAACATCTTGTGGCTGCAACATGAGAAAAAAGAGGGCCTCCACTGTACTGCTGAAGAATAGAGTGCAGAGAACTCACAACCTTTTTGTATGTTTAGTCTGGACTTTGACACAATCATTTCTACTCACCACGGATTGCAGCCTTGATCTCCCAGGCTCAAGCAATTCTCCCACTTCAGCCTCCTGGCTGATGACTGGCCAAAGCCAGTCACATGCCCTGCCTAGCTGAAAGGCAGCTGAGATATGTGGGTGCCATAACTGGGGAACAGTAAATGTTTTTACCTAGGTGTCTACTGCATAATGCCAGCTGGCACACCTGGATCAGTGCACCAAACACAAACACCTCAGGTGAAATTTACTGTTTGGCGTGCATATATTTAAATTTACTCGTCAAGACAAAATATAATACCTCCTTCCTAACACGACTAAAACTCACAATCTTAGTCAACTCCCAATAATATATCTAATATAGCTGGTTAATTAATTAGAAAAAGAGAATCTTCTCCCTTTTTGTAGCCTCTGGGACTTGGAAAGTAGCTAAAATCCCTTATTTGGGATGTCATTATTGTTTGGCCATTACTTCTGCTGGGGGACACTTCGTCTCTTGGTGGCTCAGACTCTTACTCCATTCCCCACTGTAGAATTAGTGGCTGCCATTCAGGAAATGCTCAAAAAGCTTAGCTGGCCTACTTTTGCAAAGGTCTTCTTTCCACAAGACACCTTAGAAATTCTCTGTAATTCTTCATTTTATAGAATAAGAATCTGAAATTTGGGCTGGGCGTAGTGGCTCATGCCTGTAATCCTAGCACTTTGGGAGGCTGAGGTGGGTGGATCACTTGAGCTCAGGAGTTCGAGACCAACCTGGAAAACATAGTGAGACCCCATCTCAATACATAAAAAAAAAATTCTGGCCGGGCGTGGTGGCTCACACCTGTAATCCCAGCACTTTGGGAAGCCGAGGCGGGCGGATCACAAGGTCAGGAGATCGAGACCATCCTGGCTAACACGGTGAAACCCCGTCTCTACTAAAAATACCAAAAAATTAGCTGGGCGTGGCGGCGTGCAGCTGTAGTCCCAGCTGCTGGGGAGGGTGAGGCAGGAGAATGGTGTGAACCTGGGAGGTGGAGCTTGCAGTGAGCCAAGATCGTGCCACTGCACTCCAGCCTGGGTGACAGAGTGAGACTCCATCTCAAAAAAAAAAAAAAAAAAAAAAAAAAAAAAAAAAAAAATATATATATATATATATATATATATATATATATACAAGCTATCAAACTCCTACAATCTAAAATCCCCACAAAAATTACAGTGAGTTTAACTGTGCTCCCCTTCAATCCATTACATTTTATAAGCACCATGTATATTTATGTAATTAAACTGGTATGAAAATGCAAAGCAAACCAAGCAACAAAACAAAGCAAAAAATTGTTTTACTTTAGATGACCCCATGTACTCTCATTAACCAGTGAAATTTCTATAATGCGACCAAGTATTTTTTTGATTTGTACAAATGTATGGGGTACATGAGAAGTTTTGTGACATGTATAAGGCACAGTGATCAAGTCGGTATTTAAAGTATCCATCATGGGAGTACAGTACATTTTTATTAAGTATCATCACCCTGCTCAGCTATCAAGCATTGAATTTGTTCCTCCTATCTTACTGTATGTTTGTACCTTTTTCTTTCTCTTTTTTTTTTGAGATGGAGTCCCCCTCTGTCACCCAGGCTGGAGTGCAGTGGTGTGATTTCAGCTCACTGCAACCTCCTCCTCCCAAGTTCAAGTGATTCTTGTGCCTCAGGCTCCACGAGTAGCTGGGATTAAAGGCACATGCCACCATGCCTGGCTGTGTGTGTGTGTGTGTGTGTGTGTGTGTGTGTGTGTGTGTGTGTGTGTGTGTGTGTGTGTGTGTGTGTGTTCAGGAGAGACGGGGTTTTGCCATGTTGTCCAGGCTGGTCTCGAACTCCTGACCTCAGGTGATTTGCCCATCTCAGCCTCCCAAAGTGCTGGGATTACAGGTGTGAGCCACCTCACCAGGCCTGTATGTTTGTACCTTTTAACCCACTTCTCTTCATCTTCCCTCCTGCCCCCATTCACCCTTCCCAGTCTCTGTTATCTGTTTTTCCACTCTCTACCTCCATGTGATCAAATTTTTTAGCTTCCAGCCAGGTGCGGTGGCTCACGCCTGTAATCTCAGCAGTTTGGGAGGCTGAAGCAGGTGATCACTTGAGCCCAGGAGTTCAAGACCAGCCTGGGCAACATGGCAAAACCCCATCTCTGCCAAAAATACAAAAATTAACCAGGCATGGTGGCATATGCCTGTAGCCCCAGCTACTCAGGAGGCTGAGCTGGGAGGATCGCTTGAGCCCGAGAGGTGGAGGTTGCAGTGAGCTGTGATGATCATGCCACTGCACTCCAGCCTGGGCAACAGAGCTAGACCCTGTCTCAAAAAAAAAATTGTTTTTTAGCTCCCACATATAAGTGAGAACATGTGATATTTGCCTGTTTGTGCCTGGCTCATTGCACTTAAGATAATTACCTCCATCAACTGAATATTATTTAGCCGATTTTCTAGAAAGGTTAATACTGGCCATTTTGGGCTGACATTGGCCAAGAAGCAAAGTCAAAAATGATGAGAAAATTAGCATAAAATTGTAGATGCATATTAACTTCTCTGTACCATTTATGCCCTAGTTTAAATCTGCTTTTAAAATTTATTTGAATAAGTGTGGGCTGGGTGCAGTGTGGTGGTTCACGCCTGTAATCTCAGCACTTTGGGAGGCTGAGGTGGGCAGATCACTTGAGGTCAGGAGTTCAAGACCAGCCTGGCCAACGTGGTGAAACCCTGTCTCTACAATACAAAAATTAGTTGGGCATACTCACTTTTGTCACCCAGGCTAGGGTGCACCGGCATGATCACGGCTCACTGTGACCTCTGCCTCCCAGGCTCAAGCAATCCTCCCACCTTAGCCTCCAGAGTAGCTGGGACTAAAGGCATCTTGAATAGGTAGATGTGGCAAGAGTGGACAACTTTGTTTCTGATCTATTGAGATGTTCATGTGGGGTATTTATTTCCCTCTTCAGTTTATTAATACGCAGTTGCTTTTTAAGAAAAAAGTTAAAAACAAAAAATGCATTACTATTGATTTTTATACTTCTACATACTTGATTTTATAATCTTTTACACTTTTAAAATATATTTTGTACTATGTACTTACCTTTACTGGTGTTGTGTGATTTTGTTAGTCTAGGGTCCTTACATTTCAACATTTAGCATTTCTTGTAACGATGGTCTTCTAGTGACAAACTTTTTGTTTATTGAGAAACATCTTAATACCATTTTCCTTTCTGAAGAATAGCTTTGCTGAATATAGAGGTCTTGATTGACAGTTTCCCCCCCTTTTGGCACTTTAAATGTCATTCCACTGGCCCTGTGAAGTGCCAGTGGAAGGTAGGACTGGCACTAGAATTCTCAGTGGGGGGGGTGGGATTGGGGAGAGTAACTGAATTCCAGCAAACCAGATTATCTTTGGATGACGGAAGTCTTCAGGCAGCCCTGTGTTTGGAAAAGCACTGAGTAGAGACCTAGGTAATGGATCTTAGCTCAGCAAACAGGTCCCTGCAAATTAAAGAATGGAATGAGGAGAATTTATATTTACGTGGAGACACTGGTCCATACCAAGTCAAACGTTTTCTGACCAACTTAATTTTCCTCATTCCTCACACTATGGTGTTTAATCAATTTTGGGATGTACATTTGAACATTTCTGAAATTGCGATGCATCTCACAGTCATTATTAGTCAGATGACGGTTGTGACATAGTCATCGCCGCCTTCACATGAATATCAGGACTCAGATAATAATCCTGGGAACTATAGTGGAACATCAAAGCGCTGCATCATCAATGTTTTTGGTAGCATAGAGGATGATATTGTCTAGAAAAGACAGATGTTAATGACTGCATCAAAAAGTGTCTCAAAAGAGTGGGACTCTGAAGTTTTAGGAGTATTTTAACCAATTTAGTTCAGTTGTATTTTCCTGTGCTAAGTTTGTACATAAGTGATACATGACACAAACAAAAGTCTAAAAGACTCTTTTCAGTATGAAAATTCTAACTTACGAAAGTTCTATCAGTTTAAAAGTTTGTCAAAATTTTTTAGTAGTGCAAAACAATAGTATCTTGCAATCTATAGTGTTTAGAGCTATTGATATATAGTATTGTAATTTCCTAGAATGCAGTAAATAAGCTTGAGGTCACAGAAAGATCATCCCATTTGTTAGGATAAATGAGTGAACATCTGAAAATTGTGTTTTTCTCCTTTTCTTTCTTTTTTTTTTTTTTTTTTTTTGAGATGGAGTCTTGCTCTGTCTCCCAGGCTGGAGTGCAGTGGTGCTGTCTCGGCTCACTGCAACCTCCATCTCCTGGGTTCAAGCAAGCGATCCTCCTGCCTCAGCCACCCGAGTGGCTGGGACTACAGGTGTGTGCCACCACGCCCAGCTGATTTTTGTATTTTTAGTAGAGATGGGGTTTCATCACGTTGGCCAGGATGGTCTTCATCTTTTGACCTCGTGATCCGCCTGCCTCAGCCTCCCAAAGTGCTGGGATTACAGGCGTGAGCCACCACGCCTGGCAAAAATTGTGTTTTGTCTATTAACCAATAAAAAATTATTTTGACTTTTTTTAGAGGTCAAATGAAGGCAAATTTGAGGGTCACAAAGGCCCACCGACTTACATGAGATTAAGGATTATCTGAAGTCAAACTGGCTTTGCTTTTCCAAAGGCTAGCACATTAAAAACAGGCTAATCAGCACAACCGTAGTCATAGCTACTACAGACTCAGGCAGGAGGATCACTTGAGCCCATGAGTTCAAGGTTACAGTGAATGGCCAGGCACAGTGGCTCACACCTGTAATCCCAGCACTTTGGGAGGCTGAGCCAGGCAGATCACCCGGAGGTCAGGAGTTCGAGACCAGCCTGGCCAAAATGGTGAAACCCTGTCTCTACTACAAATACAAAAAATTAGCAGGGTATGGTGGTGCATGCCTGCAGTCCCAGCTACCTGAGAGGCTGAGGCATGAGAATTGTTTGAACCCGGGAGATGGAGGTTGCAGTGAGCCGAGATCGCACCACTGCACTCCAGCCTGGGTGACAGAGTGAGACTCTGTCTCAAAAAAAAAAAAAAAAAAAAAAAGTCACAGTGAACTACAATGGCACCATTGCACTCCAGCCTGGAAAACAGAAGAGGACCTCGTCTCTATAAACAAAAACAGGAGAATCAGAACTATACTATTCCTAAGGAAAGGTTTCTGATATTATCTGTATTATTAAATGGTATTTATATATCTATAAACTATGGTAAGACAGTGTTTTAAAGATATAGTTATGGCCTGGGGTATCCGAGATGATGTTCCAGTATACGAACTTATCATGACCTTTGGTTAATTTAACATACTCCTGTAGTCTTTCATTATTTTCTCCTCCACCTCACTGAATCCTGTTTTTTCTTTTTTCTTTTTTTTGAGACGGAGTCTTGCTTTGTCTCCCAGGCTGGAGTGCAATGGTGCGATCTCAGCTCATCGCAACCTCTGACTCCTGGGTTCAAGCAATTCTCTTGCCTCAGTCTCCTCAGTGGCTGGGATTACAGGCGCCCGCCACTACGTCTGGCTATTTTTTGTATTTTTAGTAGAGACAGGGTTTCCCCATGTTGGTCAGGCTGGTCTCGAACTCCCAACCTCAGGTGATCTGCCCACCCCGGCCTCCCAAAGTGCTGGCATTACAGGCGTGAGCCACCATGCCCGGCTGAATCTTGTTTTTAATTCCTAAAGTCTCCTGAGTCTTCGGACCCAAGGGCTCAGTAGTCTAGGTGAACTGTCTTTGCAGTTAGTAGAGTGAGAGGAAACTGCTTAGCCTCCCCATGTTTGTTGGAGGGAGCAGCGATCTAATGTGGACATGTTAGACTTATACATACCAGTTTGTGAATGGAAGCTATTATTATAGCTCATTAAGATCCTCTCTAAGGTTCCTCTAAGCTTGGAGACTTTTAGAAACAGCATGGTATGATACAATTCATGCTCATTAAACATTCATTTTTCTATTGTGTTGGCTTTACATGGAATCTCATTTCAGTTTTGTGTTGGCAGATTCCATTAACTGCTGACTCAATAATCAGTGTGCGGAGCTGTACCCCAAAACCTCTCGCTGCCACTGCCAATCTCCATATTCTGTGCTGCTACAAAGATTCCAATTTCATGAAATGAGACAATATGCCCTGCCCAGGGGATGAATTGTGACTGGTCTAGGGAAATCACAGCAATCCTCTTCTTAGCTTGGACATTCACTCTAGGTTTCTACCTTCCTTTGCAACTGGGATTGGCATCTGGCCAATGAGATGTTAAGAGTTAATCTTGAGCTTCAGGAAAATTGCCAGTCTACATTTCCTTGCCCCCTTCCCCCGAACCCAAGTCTGTTATATTGCCAATGTCACCTTCTCTTAAAATGGAAATAGCCTGAATTTGGGATTTTAAACATGCACGGGTGTGAATCTTAATTTTGTTCCTGAGGATTCCAGGGCAAATTACTTATCTCTGTGCAGTCTCAAGTTTTGTTACTTGTAAAACAGGCTAAGTATCTCTCACAGAACAATGAAATGAGACATGAATGGGACAATGAAGAGGCGTAAATTCTTGGGGCCCTTTCAGGGTCAACAAATGGGATTCCTTATCTAATTAAAATTAATAAACCACATTCCTGCAAAGTCAATACACTCTCACTGTGGTGCATAAATCCTGTTATTTCATGGCCTCCACTAAGTCATTTTGGTTTAATGCTCAGCAAGATATAAGCATATTTGTGGAAGTGATTTTTTTCTTTTTAGAATTCTAGCTGTTAAAGAACCACATTTTGCCTGGTTGACAAATTTTCTTTACTTATGCTTGTGTCCACATGATTGTAAAAAAGCAAACAGTGCCAATGGCCACTTTGGTAAAAACACACAGTGTTCAAACCTATGAAGGATTACATCCTTTGGACAGGTTTTATTCCCAGGATATCAAACCCCTTGGCCATGACAGCAGCTACTGCTTCACATAGCAGCATACGCCACATGTTCACCTTCAATATTTTTCCTGAAAAGATAGAAAAAAGTTGTTAATTAACTTGTTTTCCTTTTTGAAAATCATTATTAAAGAATCTATGTTACTTGCAAATTTTAGTTAGAAGTGCATAGTCCAACCCACAGATGTTTTTGGGTTTTAACTAGAATCTTCTTTACCTTAAACTATGAAGACAAACAATTTAAAAAATAAAGGCATTTCTGTTAAGAAATGTGTTTTTAACTATTAAGAGATATAAGGTCTGCAATGATGAGAACAGTAAATTTTACCTTTCTTTTAAAAAATTTTCCTAGTCCTCACGGTCTGAAATAACTATAAACCTCATTATCACAGTGGTGATTTTTTTCCCTAATAAAGTTTCAGTCCTCAGGCATGACTTTAACAAATGCCTACTTGCCTTATAATACATTAATTCTGGCTACTTCATTAACTATGTAATATGACAGAGGGAAGACAGCCTAAGGTAAGAAAAGATAACAAGTGTTTTCCAAGAAGTTTCCATTATCAAAAACACCCAAAGATTCCTCCTGGGACCCACAAACACATTGTGTTTGTTGGAAAAATCCTACTCTCAGTCATCTTCCAATTGTTTTCTTTGGAGTCCTAAGGTTCCATCTCATGTGCCTAATTGTAGAAAAGTAGACTGATTGGGCAGAGTTCCATTTCTGGTTTAAAGTGCTACTTCACATTTTGTCTTTTATATATGATATGGTTCACTGTGCAACTGTTAGGGAAAAAGTGGAAGTTTCCATGAATAAAATAAATCTGAAAACCACTCCCACACAATTCAAATGCTTTAATGGCACCCCATCCCTAATATGGCTACTAAATGAGACACTTGGAGCTGGGTGCAGTGGCTCACACGTGTGTAAGTCCAGCCATTCGGGAGGCTCAAGTGGGAGAATCACTTGAGGCCAGAAGTTTGAGGCTTCAGTGACCTATGATTTCACCACCGTACTCCAGCCCAAGGGACAGAGCAAGATCCGTGTCTCTCACTAAAAAAAAAAAAAAAAAAAAAAAAGACACTCACCAGTCTGTCTATCTTTCTCCACACAGTAGCAGCTATCATAGAACTCTGTGAAAGCAGTTGCCAGCTCATATATATAATCACAGAGAGTGTGGAGAAATAAGTCATCTAAAATCTTTTGCAGAATCTCAGGGAACCGTAAAATGCACCGGCCTAGTTTCCATTCCTTCTCATGATCCAAAAGAATCTTGGTTTCTCGAGCAGCTTTTTGGAGCATTTCTTCATCAATATTGGCCAGACGTGCAATAGACCTTAAAAAAAACAAAAAAATCATCAGGCAATCACCACTGTTCCCTTTTTTTAGGCACACTCATTCTCCACTCGAAATTATCACCGATTAAAAAGAAGTTCCTATAAAATGAAGTATTTTATTATACGATATACTATTAGGCAAAACTAATAGCCAGATCTAAAGCATTTCATAATACTAAAAATGGAAATATAATTCTTTTAGGGGATCAGGTGACACTTTCTAGGTATTTAAACATAGAGCATCTAGAAGAGTATCGGCAAGTGCAGTTAAGGCCAGGTTTAGGGATTCTGGGATAACTTGCAATACTAAAAGAGGACGTATTTCCAAAGATGCTTGTAGGCAGAAAAATAAGTCTGAAAAGAACACTTTAGGCTGAGCGTGATGGCTCATGCCTGTAATCCGAGCACTTTGGGAGGCCGAGGCGGGTGAATCACTTGAGGTCCAGAGTTCCAGACCTGCCTGGCCAACATGGTGAAACCCCGTCTCCACTAAAAATACAAAATTTAGCTGGGCATGGTGGTGAGTGCCTGTAATCCCTCCTACTGGGGAGGCTGAGGCAGGAGAATCACCTGAACCCGGGAGGTGGAGGTTGCAGTGAGCCGAGATCGCGCCACTGCACTCCAGCGTGGGCAACAGAGTGAGACTCCGTCTCAAAAATAAACAAACAAACAAAAAAAAACACTTTAGAAGTCAGGTGTAATGGTGGTATGTCAGTAATCCCAGCTACTCAGGAGGCTGAGGTGGGAGGATCATTTGAGCCCAAGACCCCGTCTCATTTCAAAAAAAAAAAAAGAAAATATTTTTGAGTAACTAAATATGCTTTCATTTGATTCACAATAAAACAATGCCTACCCACAATTACCTGATTCTAGTGAAGGCATACAACAAGTAAGCAGCTGTATTTCCTCTGTCATCTAGCATTTTGTCAAAGGAGAAGATGTAGTCATTCAACCGGTTATGGGAAAGGTCAGCATATTTGATGCAGCCATACGCAACGGATGTCTGAGCAGCATTCAATTCCTCTGCAGTTAAGACCTTTGGGAAAAACAAAACAGTATTTCATAGCTTACTGACTGCTGCTTCTGCCCTGGTGTCTCATAGGCATAAGACTGGGGTAGGGAACATCTAATGGTATTCTTTTACCAATAAACTTTAATAAACACTGACACTGAGGCAGAAGGACATGGGCCAATGTACAAACAAAATAATGAAAATATAAAATGCGTTATGCACAATGAAGAATGTGTCTATGAGAAACTGAATTTGTAAAATGTAAAATGTCAGCATGAATACCTTTTTCCAGTGTATTCAGTAGATATGAAACCAGAAGCATCAATTATTAGTTTATATCCACTTCATACTATGAACATTGTGAGGTTATAGGAAACAGAGTAACACCAAAAAATACAAACAAAAAGTTAGCGTTAAATAATTAATTGAAATCAAGGGTGTATTAAGAGTAGATAAAAGAACCCATTCACTGTTTTGCTAATATTTGCTCAAGTATTCTAAAGCATTATTAGGCCACAAGTAAGTAATTAAGGATTTTTGCTTCTGGCCATGACAGAATACCTTGCAGCAGACTAACCATTCTACCAAAAGCAACTATTTAAAAGCTGGGTTAAACATATGAAACAACTGGTTGAAGTCACTAGAGAGCATCAACACAAGCAAAGTTGAAGGGACTATAGTTCTTAGAAGAATGAAAACATTGGGAAGGAGTCCATCATCACTTGGCTTTTTCCCCAAGGGCATTTTTCAAATCACTACATAGTGGACAAAGGGGACAGAACCCAAGCAGAAAGAAGTGGTCTTGCTGAGGTGAGAAGACAAGAGTTTAGAGTACGGGGCTGCCAAAGAAGCAAGGACACAATCCCCAAAAAGAAGGAGCCACAGAGGAGTCAAAGACTCTGTGAACACATTTCTTTCAAATGTCATATGGCTGGCATGCACAAGGCAAGACTCCAAAAAATCTATCAGGAAAGAGCAAATGGTAATTAAAGAGCTGAGCAGTGATTTCAGCAGCTGTGTGACACAAGGCAGTTCTGCAGCGGCAAAATGGAAGGGCATTAGCACACACGCCATTGAAGTATGGCCAGAGGGCCATATTTCAGGAGTAAGGACCTCACCCTAGTCATACAGGTAAAATTTAAATAGTTCAGCCCTAAAGAAGCATAAGGCCAATACAAACAGGGTCAAGATAATCAGCTGGTATGCTACCTGTGGGCTAGAAGAAAACATAACGGTCTCTGGAGGGAAATAACCTCAGCCATAATCTTTATAATTTTCTCTTCATAATGCCGAGCACCCAACAACAAATAAATCTTTCTAAAAAAGCAAGATGAGCCATGCCTGTAATGCTCATGCCTGTAATTGGCTCATGCCTGTAACGCAGCTACTTGGGAGTCTGAGGTGGAAGGATCACTTGAGGCCAGGAGTTTCAAACCAGCCTGGACAACATAGACCCCTATCTCTTGTGGGGGGAAAAAGATAAAAGAGCAAGATGAAATAACTAAATACTAAGGAGGGGGACTACAAAGAAAGGGCTAGGAGAGAATCAAGACAACAGAAACAAAAGAAAAAAGATAATAGCAACTTTAAAATCTGAAATTGTTTAAGATGAAGCTACTTAAAAAATACTTATTAATGACAAAGGGGGAAAATACTAACTTTACAGGGGAGAAAACTGATACTATCACCTTACCAAAGAGATCAAAATTATTATTATTAATTATGAAGCTTATCAATATCATGTGCCTCCTGATATGAACTGATAAGAACTCTACATCTATTCTTGTAAGACTGTATAACCTGGAAACAGAGTACAGCTTATAAGACTTATAAGACTGTATAACCTGGAAACAGAATTAACAGAACAGGAGCCAATATCAGACAAATCCAACTAAGTGATATTCCAAAAAAACTAACTGACCAGCAGACTTCAGAAGTGTTGAGGTCATGAAAGTCAAAGACAGACCAAGGAACTAACTGCCCAGATTAAAGAGAAGGAGACATGATAACTAAATGTAACATGTTATCCTGGACTGGATCTTAGACTAGAAAAAGGTCATTAGTGAGACCAACTGTACAACCAGAATAAGGACTGCAGATTAGTTAATGGTATTGTATCAATGTTAATTTCCTGATTTTGATAATCATACTATATAGCTATGAAAGATATTAGTATCTGGGGATACTAAATGAAAGATACAAAATTCTTTGTACTATCTTGCAACTTTTTTATGTCTAAAACCGTTTTAAAATGTTTAAAGAAAACTATGATTAACATGTTCAAAAAATTAAAAGGAAAACAGTAAGAAAACTGGAAGAAAAGATGAAAAATTTCAAGAAATACCTTAAACACAGAATACCAAAATATTCTCTGAAGTAGAAAATATTCAAAATAAAGCAAAAAGAAAAAAATGAATTAGAGCATAAGAAACACGTGAGATACAAAGTTCTAACATATGTACTTGGAGTACCAAAAATAACAGAATGCGGAAAAGTAGTAGCATTTGAAGAGATAGGGCCAAGAATTCTCCTAACCTGATGAAAGAACTCAACCCACAGATTTAGGAAGTTTGGCAGCCCCCAAAGGGTAAAAACAAAAATGACTCCCCAAACCACACTTAGGCATTTCTTAGTCAAAGTACTAAAAATAAAGCCTAAGAAAAATACTAAAAAAAGTCTGAGAAAAAGATACATACTTTCAAAGGAGAAACAATGAAACTTACAACTGATTTTCAAAGGAAACTATGGTAGCTGGAAGACAATGGAGTATAATTTTTATTTATTTCCTCCCTCAGCCCCACTGGTCCTCTCCAGTTCTGTGGAATGTCATCTCTAAAAATGCTGAAAGAAAACAGCTGCCAAACTAGAATTCTATACCCAATAAAAACATTGTGCAAAACTGAAGGCATAACAAAGACATTTTTGGACAAACAAAAATTCTGAAAGAATCTGTCACCCCAGCAGACCTGTGCTAAAAAAATAAAGACCTTCAGATTGTGGAAAAATAATCCCAGGTGGAATCAAAAAACTGCAGGAAAGGGCGAAAATATATAGATAAATGTAAGTACTGATTGTCTAATGCAAAATAATAATAATAATAATGATAAATGGGCAAAAGAGTTAACAGACTCTTCACAAGAGAAGATTATCTAGATGACCAATAAGCCTAAGAAAAGGCAGTCAGGCCAGGCACAGTGGCTCATGCCTGTAATCCCAGCACTTTGAGAGCCTGAGGCAGGCAGATTGCTGAGTCCAGGGATTTGAGACCCGCCTGGCCAACATGGTGAAACCTCATCTCTAAAAACAATACAAAAATTAGCTTGGTGTGTTGGCATGTGCCTGTAGTCCCAGCTACTCGGGAGGCTGAGGCAGGAGAACTGCTTGAACCCGGGAGACGGAGGTTGCAGTGAGCCAAGATTGTGCCACTGTACTCCAGCCTGGGTGACAGAGTGAGATTCTGTCTTAAGAAAGAAAGAAAGAGGCCGGGCACGGTGGCAGGGCAGATCACGAGGTCACGAGATTGAGACCATCCTGGCTAACATGGTGAAATCCCGTCTCTACTAAAAAAAAAAAAAAAAAATACAAAAAATTAGCAGGGCGTGATGGTGGGTGCCTGTAGTCCCAGCTACTCAGGAGGCTGAGGCAGGAGAATGGCGTGAACATGGGAGGCGGAGCTTGCAGTGAGCCGAGATCGTGCCACTGCACTCCAGCCTGGGCAACAGAGCGAGACTCTGTCTCAAAAAAAAAAAGGAAAGAAAGAAAAGAAAGAAAAATAAAGGTAGTCAATATCATCAATATCATTATTCATCAGAGGAATGAAAATTTTAACCACAATAAGTCACTATGCACTCACCAGAAAAGCTAAAATAAAAAACACTGACTAAACCAATTGTCAAGGTTAGTATGTCAACTTGACTGGACTGAAGGATACGAAGTATTGATCCTGGGTGTGTCTGTGAGAGTGTTGCCAAAGGAGATTAACATTTCAGTCAGTTGTCTGGGAAAGGCAGACCCACCCTTAATTGGGTGGGCAGCATCTAATCAGCTGCCAGTGAATATAAAGCAGGGAGAAAAACGTGAAGAGAAGAGACTGGCCTAGCTTCTCGGCCTACATCTTTCTCCCGTGCTGGATGCTTCCTGCCCTCGAATATCTGACTCCAAGTTCTTCAGTTTTGGGACTCAGACTGGCTCTCCTTGCTCTTCAGCTTGCAGACAGCCTATTGTGGGACCTTGTTATCGTGTAAGTTAATACTTAATAAACATCCCTTTATATGTATCTATCCTATTAGTTCTGTCCCTCTAGAGAACCCTGACTAATACACCAATGTGGGTAAACATATGGTGCAATGAAACTCTCATATGTTAGTAGTGGGAGTATACAACGGTCACCACTTTCTCCTTGGCAATTTTTAATAAAGTTAAGCGTAAGTCAGCCCTACAACCCAGCAATGCCATTCCTAGATATATATCCGAAAGAAAAAGCACATGTACCTCTAAAAGGGCTTGAACAACAATGTTCAAAATAGCTTTGTATTCAGAACAGCCAACAACTGGAAATAATCCTAATGTCCATCAATAGGAGAATGGATAAACAAAATGTGGCACCTTCATATATCAGAATATCATGCAGCAATAAAAACAAATGAACTACAGCTGGGTGTGGTGGCTTATGCCTGTAATCCTAGCACTTTGGGACGGCAAGGTGAGTGGATCGCTTGAGCCCAGGAGTTCCAACATGGCAAAACTCCATCTCTACAAAAAATACAATAATTAGCCAGGTATGGCAGTGGGTGCCTATAGTCCCAGCTACCCGGGAGGCTGAGGTAGAATGATCACTTGAGCCCAGGAGGTCGAGATGCGGTGAGCCATGATCTTGCCACTGCACTCCAGCCTGAGCGACAGAGTGAGACTCTGTCTCAAAAACAAAACAAAACCAAAAACATATGAACTACTGATGCACATGGAAAAGGGCACATACTATGTGATTTCATTTATTTGAAATGCCAGAATAAGCAAAAGTGATTTATGGTGATAGGAAAATCTCTGGGGTGATGGAAATATATCTTGATTGGTGTTCTAAGGCATATATATGTAAAAATTCATTAGGCTGTGCATTTTACTATGCACAATTAAAAGTAACTTAAAAAATTACTAGCTGGAGTGGTTAAAAAGAGTTAAAGCAATTTTTGTCATCAGGCAGACTAACAAACAGCTAGATGACTGAACTTACCACTTTTCATCTGACTGTGCCAGATGTGCCTAGACCAGTGATTCAGCTGGATCATGGGGGCAGATTCCTTATGGCTTGGTGCTGTCTTGGTGATAGTGAGTTGTTGTGAGATCTGGTCATTTAAGAGTGTGGCACCTTCTCCCCCTACTCTCTCTCTCTTGCTCCTGCTTTAGCCATGTGAAGTGCCTGCTCCCCCTTCATCTTCCCCCATGAATAAAAGTTCCCTGAGGCCTTCCCAGAAGCCAACTGATGTTGGTGCCATGCTCCTACAGCCAGAAGAACCATGAGCCAATTAAACCTCTTTTATAAATTACCCAGTCTCAGGTATGCATGACCTCTCCTCTACTGCTCTAAACTTAAAAAAAAAAAAAAAAAATTTTTCTTGTTGACTTTTCAATTCCTCCAAATTCCACACAAACTGAACCATAGTCTTTTCTAAGGGTGCCATGAAAGGCCATCATGTTGCCTGCTCTGAAGGTTCATCAATGGCCTTGGGTGGCAAGAACTGACTGCTATGACCACTCTACAAATGCTCCCAAGAAGGAGCATGGCACATGTAGACTCTGATGTGAGCTGACGAATCAAACCCCTTCAGTCTGCAATATTCTCCCATCTTTGGGAACTGCTGTTAAGCAGCACGGATACTAAGCTACATTAACAAAGGAGGAAAAAGCCAAGGTCTTTTTTAATTGCCAAGAACTATATTTTCTAAATAAATGCTCAGCAATTCACAAAATAAACTTACTGTGCAATAAAGTCAGAGCAATATAAGCCTTGTCCTAGGTGGGACTGACTCCTCACACTTCTCCTCAGTTCTCTCAATAAAAACAAAAATGAAAAATCACAATGCTTGATACACATTATGCCTATAAGGCTTTGAATTACCTTGTCTCTTTCTTTTTCCTTCAACTTGTCCATGGATCGTTTTAGTCCTTCTCCCAGAAGATCCATGAGGCGCACTGTTTCACCCGAACGTGTTTTAAACTTTTTCCTAAAAAATGTAAAACCCCCAATCAGATTTTGAAACAGACTTTTCAACTTAGAAATCTTTGAAAATGAAGGTTTGAGAGACCTGACCACAAAACTGCAACATATGTTTTAAATCTCTAAGGTACATATTGCCCCTGAGAACTATTAAGAGAGGGTTGATGCCAATGGTAACAATGCCTTATGCCAGTCATCAAGCAAGGAGAGTACTACATGAAACACTGTGCTTTCAAGTGTCTTTCATCTCTAGCCCTCAACTCAAAGCATCCTATGCTCTAGCCCTCAAAAGCACTCTCTACATATTTACCTTTAATAAGTTTCCTAACAGAGAAAGAAGATATTTGTTAATTTGTTTGCTTTCTTGGAATACTAAGTTTGGCTTAGATGTTTCACCTTTTTAGAAAAATTACTAATCAAAATATATGTTTCTAGAATTGTTGAGAAAGTCAGTAAATTCTTTGACAAAATCTCACTTGAATTTCTCTGTATACTAATTCCTCTTGTTCAGTGGTAACCAAGCCTTGATTCATACCAGAATCGCCTGGCAAGGTTTAAGAAAGATGCTTGAGCAGCCAGTTGCTTGCTTGCTTCATTCACTCATTTATTTATTTTTAGAGACAGGGTCTTGCTCTGTCACCCAGGCTGGAGTGAAGTAGTATGACCACAGCTCACTGTAACCTTGAACTCCTGGGCTTAAGTAATACTTCTACCTTACCCTCCCAAGTAGCTAATTCTATAGGTGCGAGCCACCATACCTGGTTAATTTTTTAATTTTTATAGAGATGGTGTCTCTCACTATGTTGCCCAGGCTCCTATCAAACTCCTGGTCTCAAGTGATCCTCCCACCTCAGCCTCCCAAAGTGTTGGAATTACAGGCTGGAGACACTGCACCTGGGCCAGTTCCTTTAAAAAAAAAAAAAAGAAAGAAAGAAAAAAGAGAAAAAAACCTCAGGATGCTAGGGCCCCGTTCAGATCTACTGCAATCAGAATCACTACGGATATGGCAAAAGCACTAATAAGCATTGCCCTGGGCAGTCGCTGTTAAAAAGCATTTTGAGAAAACTGAATTTTATGTATTAAACAAAAAAGTTTACATAACACCAAGGATATAATATCATTTTCCTTTTTTTGGTGGGGGGGGGGGGGTGTTTAAAAAATCCCTCAAATATAACAATGAAGCATGCTTTTCTAACACAAAGAGTACCAAAATGAATGTGCTACTTTCTGTTAAAGTTTTATTTCCAGAGCTTGCCCAAGCAAGAATCTACTTGCCCTGTAAAATTCTGCTTATACAGAATTAAAACTCCTTTATTATCCCACAAATACATTATATATTTCCATAGCTTTCTTTAGCCCATACACTTCTTCTTAAGTGTTCAACTTTCAAATCTCTGATAAAATGAAACTCATCATGAAGACCAGTCAAAATGCTAAAGGAAACCTTCCTTAATCTACTTTGCAATTACTGTTCCTTTCAGTTACTCCCTACCTGCGCCTGCCATGAATTTTTGTTTTTGTGTTGGTCTATTCTGACTAGTGGCTCTACAATGAGGGATGCGTATCTGAATACCGAGAGCTTTAAAAAAAAAACAGATGCCTAATACCCCCTTTAGACCTAATAAGTCAGTAACTCCCACAGTGGGGCTTGCATGTGTATTTTCACAAGCTCCACAGGAAACTGCTCTGCTCTAGATGATAGCCTCTTTCAGAGAGGAGCTCATGTTCCGTGTACCTGCATATACACATTGTGGAGCATCCAACCAACACCATGCACAGCACATCCTCAATAAACAGATGTACAAGGAATAGCAGGAAGATGATGAAATTAAAAAAAAATTATCATTCAAAAAATTAAAACAGAAAATGTCATTTAAAAATAGAATCTGTGAGCATTAAAGAAAACAAACCTTTTTCTTAAGTCCCATCCCCCTCTGTGAGAATTTTTTTTTTTTTTTTTTTTTTTTTGAGACAGAGTCTTGCTCTGTCGCCCACGCTGGAGTGCAGTAGCACAATCTCAGCTCACTGCAAGCTCCGCCTCCCGGGTTTACACCATTCTCCTGCCTCAGCCTCCCGAGTAACTGGGACTACAGGCGCCCACCACCACGCCCAACTAATTTTTGTACTTTTAGTAGAGACGGGGTTTCACCATGTTGGCCAGGCTGGTCTCAAATCCTCACCTCGTGATCCACCTGCCTCGGCCTCCCAAAGTGCTGGGATTACAGGTGTGAGACACTGTGCCTGGCCCAAAATTTAAAAAATAAAAAAAAAAAAGGCGGGTGGGATAGGATACTATAACTACATGCTGCTGAGTGCAGAAAAATTTTAAAAATTATCAAGAATCCTTTAGCCATTATATGACAAGTGAATTAAATGCCATAATAGGAGCACTAGTAATTTTAAGCAAGTGTCAGAATATCATCTAAATGTCCAAAAAACCAACCGTTAAGAAACTAAGATACTATTAAGTAATGATCAACTTACTGGTTTGTTTTAAAAAACTTTATGTCCATAAACACTATAATAAGGACTTAGTGTCTTCTTAGTTATTCTTTTTGTTTTTGAGACACAGTCTCACTCTGTCACCCAGGCTGGAGCCCAGTGATATGATCTCGCCTCACTGTAACTTCCACGTCGATGCTCAAGTAATCCTTAGCTGGGATTACAGGTGCATGCCACTATGCCTGGCTAAGTTTTTTTTTTTTTTTTTGGCAGATATGGGGTTTCACCATGTTGCCCAGTTTGGTCTTAAACTCCTAGGCTCACACAATCCTCCAGCATTGGCTTCCTAAAGTGCTGGAATTACAGGCGTGAGAGCCACTTTGCCTAGCCCCTAGTGTCTTTTGATTTCAAAAAAGCGCAGATCCACGGAGAAGAAACGCAATTAGAAAATGTTGTTCCCAACAAGGTCTTTGAGCTCCACATAATCTGTATCTAAGATAATACCTTAACACATCTCATCTGCCTTTTACATGTTCAATTAGGGCTTCTGCGCATTGGCTGGCCAAACATCTTGAGCTACTTCATGTGGTTTTTTAGAAGCATGACCACGTTTGTAGGATGGAAATATTTAGGCTTTGTTACCAAATCTAAGATGCCACAGATTTTTGGTAAGTGATCCTAAGACACCAGTGAATACAGGAGGTTACAACATGAAAAATGCTGTGCCTTTGAATTGAGGAATACTGTATGGAAACACGGTTGTATTTACCTTTTTATTTTATAAATATTGAGAATATAAAAAAATTAGAAAATAGAAAAGCTGAAAGTATGAATATTAAAATACATAGTTCTCAATAAACAATATTTTTGGAGAGAACATAACAAAACCAGTGAATCTTAAAACTTAATTGGAATCTCAATAACTTATACCTTTTGCCTATGTTCAACTTTGAAGGAAAAAACAAAAACATTTATCAAATGCATAAGCTATATTGTTGAATAGTGTCTGAAATCTGAGCAGGTACTGTAATAGATTTTATAATTTAGATTTGTGGGAGAGGAAACCCCTTATATATAATCTATTAGGTCTACAGTCTGGTTTTCACTAAACTTTGTACATACTATCTACCTAAAAGGCTACATTCCCTGGCAGTGATGATATAGATACAAAATCACTCAGCTGGGTTTACACCATTATAGCTTATGTGGACTAAAGGAAACTGTGGACTTTCTTAATTCTAATATGGTATCAAATGAAAAGTAGCCTCTTGGGATCAAGTATATCATTACCATCTTCAGATTTTCCAGACTTACTTGTCTTCCCCTAGCACCACACCAAATCCAGCATGGAAGACTCGAGTTACTTTAGGGTCATACCAACCAATCATTTGAGCAGCAGCAAATATTGTCTGGAAGTGCACAGACTACAACAGAAACGGAAAGTTACTTGCTAGTCTTCTTTAAAGAAAAAAAAAAAGACTTAAGGCTCTTTTGCTTAGGAATAGATCTGTAAAATTCAAATCGCTCATAAATCTTGTGAGACAAGTGCTATTATAAAACCTCTTCTTTTATTCCCTATATATGAGAAACACTAAGAGCAACACTGTTACATTTTCTACTATGTTCAAACGTTTTTAAAGCAACTGAATTAAGGGCAGGGTCACATGCAAAAACTTCAATTACATTTTAGGTCTCACAATAACCCTACTGATAGGAACAATTGCTGAAGTTCAGAGGTTCCAGTTTGTGGAGGCAAGCTGGAAAACTAGGAAGTGTCCAGTTTGGCTGGGTCCAAACCCTCTTCTTTCTTCTATGCTATACTGATGTCCTGAATCTTAGTCTTTGGGGAAAATTTACAGTCATCCAGTGTCAGATGTCACCAACCTCACCATACTGTCTTACCTCTAATCAGTCAATGTAAAACACATACAAATTTACAAACTCACTTGTCCATTGTCCACAACATAGATAATCATATCTGCTTTTTCCTCAAATAGTCTTTGTTTAATAGCAGCCAGGTCAGATGTATCATAGGTATAACCTCCATCTGATTTTACTATGGTTAATGGTATGGAACACCCTGGGACAAATACAATCTTTCTGCCATCATCCACCTGCACAAATCCTAGGGGGTAAAAAACACTTCATTAATAAAGTTAAAAGAACCCTGAAGGAAAATGAATGCTTACTCATTCTACTATGTAAATATTTAGTTATTCTAAGAATATTTTGAAATATATTTATTAGAGAGCTAAAGAAAGCACATAATTTTTTCCTCACCATGATCTATTAGAAACCTTGGAAAATGTTAACCATCAAGGTTGCCTGGATACTCAGGGTGCTATCAGAGCACAGGTCAGATGTTCTGGCAGTTTTCCACACTTAAACACTAAACTTGGTTCCCAACTGCTTTTTTTTTTTTTTTTTTTTTCTTTTTTGATACACAGTCTTGCTACGTTGCCCAGGCCGGTCTCAAACTCCTGGGCTCAAGTGATTCTCCTGTCTGGGCCTCCCCAAGTACTGGGATTACAGGTGTGAGCCACCATGCCTGGCCTCCCAAACTCTTTAGTTGGAACCCATCAGCTCGGTAGGACCAGAACATGAAAATCTGCTTTGCTTTCAAGCTGGAGCCATAACCTTCCTCTTGGAGAAAGCTGCAATTCTTATAGTGATCTCTAACAGCGTGCTGAAAAGTAGTTGACACTGTTTCAAGGTCCCGGAAACAAACAGGGCAGGATTTGGCATTTGGAATGAGAAGTAGGAAGAAAAATTAAATCCATGTTCATACACTCATGATAAAAAAGACAGAATTCTTGGATGCAAGAAGGTACAGGAAGAACATGATAACAGTAGCAGCTATTAAGAGTGCTACTATGTGCCAAGTACTATGCTAAGTCCTTAAATTTAACCTTCAAAATAACCCTATGCAGTAAATAACTCTATGCTTTCTTACAGTTTAGAAAATTGAGGCTTGGTAATGTAAAGGCAGTATAAAATAAGCAGTTAAAAACATAAGCTTTGAAGCCAGACTGGCTAGGTTTGAATCTCAGACGTATCGCTTATTAGCTATGTGACCCTGGGAAGATACTAACTTCTCTGTGCCTATTTTCTCATAAAATAAACATTTAAAAAATTGCATTTATTTATTTTTTTCAGACAGGGTCTTGCTCTGTCATCCAGGTCTTTCTCTGTCATGCAGTGGTGTGAACATGTTCACTGTGGCTTAGACCTCCTGGGCTCAAGCAATCCTCCTGCCTCAGCCTCTCGTGAAGCTGTCACCACAGGCATGCACGATCACGCCTGGCTAATTTTTTTTTTTTTGAGACGGAGTCTCGCTCTGTCATCCAGGCTGGAGTGCAGTGGTGCGATCTCGGCTCACTGCAAGCTCTGCCTCCCGGGTTCACGCCATTCTCCTGCCTCAGCCTCCCGAGTAGCTGGGAATACAGGCACCTGCCAACACGCCCAGCTAATTTTTTGTATTTTTAGTAGAGACGGGGTTTCACCGTGTTAGCCAGGATGGTCTCAACTCATGACCTCGTGATCCGCCTGCCTCGGCCTCCCAAAGTGCTGGGATTACAAGCCTGAGCCACCGGGCCTGGCATTTTTTTTTCTTTTTTTTTTTTTGAGACAGAATCTTGCTTTGTCGCCAGGCTGGAGTGCAGTGGCATGATCTCGGCTCACTGCAATCTCCACCTCCCGGGTTCAAGCGACTCCTCTGCCTCAGCCTCCCGAGTAGCTGGGACTACAGGTGTGTGCCACCACACCAGCTAATTTTTTGTATTTTAGTAGACACGGGGTTTCACCATGTTGGTCAGGATGGTCTCGATCTCCTGTCCTCGTGATTCGCTCACCTTGGCCTCCCAAAGTGCTAGGATTACAGGTGTGAGCCACCACGCCCAGCCACGCCTGGCTAATTTTTTAATTTGTAGAGACAGGGTCTCACACATTGTTGCCCAGGCTGGCCTCAAACTCCTGGACTCAAGTGATCCTCCCACCTCAGCCTCCCAAAGTGCTGAGATTACTGTCACGAGCTGCCATGCTCGACCTCTCTCTCTCTCTCGTTATTCTTTTTTTTTTTTTTTTCAGAGACAGGGCCTCATTCTGTTTCCCAGGCTGTAGTGCAGTGGTGTGAGCATAGCTCACTGTAACCTCAAATGCCTGGGCTCAAGCATAGCTAGAACTACAGGCATGCATCACCATGCCCAACTACTTCTTTTGTTAATTTTGTTAATTTTTTGGCAGAGAAAGGGTCCTGCTATGTTGCGCAGACTGACCTCAAACTCCTGGCCTCAAGTGGTCCTCCTGCCTCAGCCTCTCCAAGTGCTGTGATTACAAGCATGAGCCACTGCACCCAGCCAAAATTTTATCATCTTAAAAAGTATGGTCCCTAGGCCCTAGACTGTGATTAAAATACTACTCCCATTCAAGGAAACAGGCTTCCATAGAGATATGGTTGATTTCAGGTCTGAGGCAGGAAATGTACAAAATGGGCCTGGAATATTGTATACCAGAAAGCAATTAACTAACTACCAAAGGGGTTGAAAAAAACAAAACCACAACAAAAAATATGAAGTTACTTAGCCAAAATGGAACAATTTGAGCACTACAAAAATTATAAAGACAACTGACTGAAAAATATAAAACACATTAAAAGCCCACCACAATAATATCAAAATCAAACAACTCACTTTGAGATGCTAAGGAACAAACCTATTATTCTGCAATTGATAAAAAAATCAAGCACTTCTACTACCCTACCTGTTTTATATGAATTGTACCTGAGGATAACCAAAATAATTAGTAACAAAGTTCAGCATAAGAGAATCCCAAGTAACAAATGGAGAAAGAATGACAGAACACTACCATTTTCCAACCTCCAATGAAGTGGTGGATCAAAGTCATGGTCATAAATAGCTGATAAAGCCAATAGGGAAAAGTCTGATGGGGAAATTTATGGACAGATCCAGCTGACGATACTTGAATTTACTAATCAATCTTAATATGACAAAAACAGAGACAACCAGACACTGCCTCATTGCCTGCATTCTTGCAACTAAAAGAAAACAACAAAAAAAGGAATAAAACATAAATCAGAATCTAATGAAGCCTCTTTAGAGAAACACAGACAAGGAATTATGCTAAATAGTTCCATATGGGAAATTATTTAGGACAAATAGCCCAGTTTCTTCAACAATAAAAGAAATTTAAAAAGAGGGAGAAACCTCAGATTTATAGAACTTAAGATACATATCAAACAAATGTTATATGCATACTTTGAAAAAACTGTTAAAAAAAATCATGAATCCAACACTTTGGGAGGCTGAGGTGGGTGGATCACTTGAGGTCAGGAGTTCAAGACCAGCCCAGCCAACACGGTGGAACCCTGTCTCCATTAAAAATACAAAAATTAGCTGGGTGTGGTGGTGCATGTGTGTAATTCCTGCTACGTAGGAGGCTGAGGCAGGAGAACTGCTTGAACCCAGGAGGCGGAGGTTGCAGTCAGCCGAGATCACGCCACTGCACTCCAGCCTAGGCGACAGAGTAAGACTCTGTTTCCAAAAAAAAAAAAAAAAAAAATTCATGAATCAACTTGGGAAATTTGAACTCTATTTAATGGTATTAAGAAATTATTATTGGCTGGGTATGGTAGTTCATGTCTATAATCCCAGCACTCTGGGAGGCCGAGGTGGGAGGATCACTTGAGGCCAGGAGTTCCACACCAGCCTAGGCAACATAGCAAGATTGTTTTAAAAAAAAAAAATATATATATATATATATATATATTTGTTATTATAATGATATTGCGGTTTTAGGGCAGAAAGAAGGTCCTGTTCTTTCAGAGACATATACCAAAGTCATTATAGATGGAATTATATGAGGGAAGCAGTGTAAGAAGGTATAGATACAATAAGGTTGGTCAGTACCCATAACTGTTGAAATTGGATGATGAGTACATGAAGCTGGCATTACTATAAATTCTATCCACTTTTGCCTATGTTTGAAAATTTCCATAATAAAAAGTTAAAAGAAGAGTGCCTACCTCTATCTTCAAATTCCTTTACAATATCATTCATCCTATCTTGATAGAAGGATTCCCCTCTCTCTATTAAAGAGACGTCCAATGCATCATAGATTTTATTTAACTCTAGGGAAGAAAATAAAATGCCACCAAATAAAATGCATAAGAATTTTTTAAAAACAGGAAACATGCATCTTACATTGAAATAAATTTATTAATACAAATATTAAAAGGAAATTAATTACATAAAAAATGTATGATATAGAACATTATATACATGCTGTCATTTTGAAAAAGGGAAAGAAAATGGTAAGGTACACATCAAAATATTAACAATGGGTGGGACTATAGATAATTTTATTTTTCTCCTGTCTACGTTTACTTTCTTTTTATTATTATTTTTTGAGATGGAGTCTCGCTCTGTCAGCCAGGCTGGAGTACAGTGGCGTGATCTCAGCTCACTGCAACCTCCGCCTCCCGGGTTCAAGCGATTCTCCTGCCTCAGCCTCCCAAGTAGCTGGGACTACAGGCGTGTGCCACCACGCCCGGCTAATTTTTCCACTTTTAGTAGAGATGGGGTTTCACCATGTTGGCCAGGCTGGTCTCGAACTCCTGATCTCAGGTGATCCACCCGCCTCGGCCTCCCAACATTTACTTTTTTATATAAGGAACATGTCCTTCTTGTATAACTTTTAAAAAAATTAATTCTTAAAAAATGTAAATGAGAAGAAAAAAAAGCTCTTCCTATCTAGTGATCAATATTTACTGAATTTTCTTCTGGTTTTTCCTGATTTAAACCACTTACCTGTCTATGTAGCAATACATCAATGACACAGTATTACTTACTGTAATTATAAAACATTTTATTACCTAGTGCTGCAAGCCAGTCATCATTAATCGTCTTTTTCAAAGATCTACTGGTTGTTCTTTACCCATTTACTCTTCAAAGAAATCTTTAAAACTATTATGTCAAGTTAGAAAACTTGAAATCGCCTTAAAATCATAAATAAATTTGGAGAACTAGGGAACTGGGTCTGGCACTCTATCCAAACATTCTATTACATCTCATTGTACACTTCTCATCATTTTGGTCCTACACATTTCTGAATAAATTCATTCCTAAGTGTTTTATAGGTTTTGTTGCTACTGTGAATAAGATTTCTTTTTATTTTCCACTTTATTTTCTAATTAATTTTTGCTGACTTCTAAGAAAGTTAAGATTTGAACCTGCCTGTCTTATGGCAGGTTCAAAATTTATTGGTTGTTTCAGAAATACATTTAAGAAAAAATCTATTTGCCTGTCCTTAGAAGGTTAAAATATCACTCAAAGTCAAATCAAAATGAAGACTCCAGGAAATGATATACATAGTATTTGCTGGACGAAGGAACAAAGCCCAGAAACTCACCTTGGCGGGAGACATCACAGATAAGCTTCCAAGCTTTTGTAATATCTGGGTTTTTACCCTGGAGCAGAACTACACACTGATATGCTCGCTTCTTAAATTCCTCCTCAGTATCAAACCTCTTCTTAGATTCCTGTATATATATATATTTTAAAAAGTAAGGTGTGTAAAAAGATCTAATCCTGTATTTCTAGAAAAAGAACTTACACATTTCTACACACACAAACACAGTGAGAAAGTACAAACACGAGAACAAGTGCTCTCCCTCAATAGTTGAGAATACTGTTACAAATGAACATGCCAAAGAACTTTGAAATCATTTCTCTTAAAAAATACAAAAATCTCACCACAGTTTTCTTTACACTTTTCCAATTCACAAAAGTCTACTTCAGCTAATACTTTTGTGTTCAAGGGTTAGTACAGAATAGCTAACAGGTAGGACTGAATTTTCTGTGTTCCAATCTCCATTTTGGATGTGGTCCTGAATGAATTTTTTTTTCGTTTTTTTTTTTTTTTTTTTTTTGAGACAGAGTCTCACTCTGTCTCCCAGGCTGGAGTGGACTGGAGTGGCTGGAGTGGCATGATTTCGGCTCACTGCAACCTCCGTGTCCCGGGTTCAAGTGATTCTCATGCTTCAGCCTCCAAGTAGCTGGGATTACAGGCACAAGCCATCACACCCGCCTAATTTTTGTATTATTAGTAGAGACAGGATTTCACCATGTTGGCCAGGCTGGTCCCGAATTCCTGACCTCAAGTGATCTGCCCACCTGGGCCTCCCAAAGTGCTGGGATTACAGGTGTGAGCCACCGTGCCTGGCCAACTTATTATTATTATTTTTTAACTAAAACGAAAGTTGCTTTCATTGTTTTATTTCTATTTTGAAAGCAACACTTACTTAAAAATAATTAATCTCACCTTGAATTAACTGGTGTTAACATTTAATGAACAAATCTAGATATTTCTTTGCAAATACACATATATGTTTTATGAAAAATTGGAAATGGCTTTTTTTTTTACTGTGGTTTGTAAATTTTAACAATTTATTTATACAAACAATTTCTTGCATTAATAGATCTGCTTCATTATATTCGAAGTACAGAACTCCAAAAGATGTTTATAACATTACTTTTCCAGTCTCATATCAGTAAACATTTAGCTTATTTTCAACAGAAAACATTTACCAAAAGTAAAATGAAGCAAACAAAAACAAAATCCCCACAAATGTTTACTTTTTAATACAGGAATCCTATTCTTGAAACATTCTCCATCATAAAGAAAATGCCTAAGAATTTAAACAAACAGAAAACATGCAACTCACATTAAAATAAATTTATTAATCAAAATATCCGAGAGGAAATTATGATCTTTATGATCCTTCCACCATAGGGAATTTTTTTTATGTTTATTTTTTTAAGACAGGGTCTCACTCTGTCACTGAGGTTGGAATACAGTAGTAAGATCACAGCTCAATGCAGCCTTGACCTTGCCAGGCTTGGGTGATCCTCCCACCTCCGCCTCCCAAGTAGCTGGAACTACAGGAGTGTGCCCGGCTAATTTTTTGTATTTTATGTAGAGACAGGGTCTCTCCATGTTGTCCAGGCTGGTCTTGAACTCCTGGACTCAAGCAATCTGCCTGCCTCAGCCTCCCAAAGTGCTAGGATTACAGGCATGAGCCACTGCACCCAGCCCATAAGGAAATTTTTAAAAAACATTTTTAATTTTTAATTTTTGAAGAAATAATTTTTTTTTTGAGATAGGGTCTCACTCTGTTGCCCAGGCTGTATAGTGCAATGGTGTGATCACAGCTCACTGCAGCCTTGGTCTCCCTGGTCTCAAGTGATACTCACATCCACCTTAGCCTCCCAAGTAGCTGAGACTACAGATGTACACCAACATGCCTGGCTAACTTTTGTATTTTTTGTGGAGATGAGGTTTTGCCATGTTGCCCAGACTGGTCTCAAACTCCTAGGCTCAAGCATTTTGCCCACCTTGGCCTCTCAAAATGTTGGGATTACAAGTGTGAGCCACTGAACCCAGCCAGGAAATAATTTTTAAAGAGGGAAAAAAATCCAAGTGTACAAAGCTATTTACTGAATAACAACACCTCTAAAATAGAAAAAAATCCTAATAAAGGATTAATGTAAACATTGGTACACTGATCCAACAAAATGTGCAGTCATAAAGTAACACAAAAGTTTGCAATATTAAATATAATACAAAAACTATATTAAAATCATAAATGATTAATACATGTTGATATACAGATTAAGTCAAGGATTCAAAGAAAGTTGATCACAATAGGCATTTTAAAATTATGGATGATGTGAAAATTTGTCTTTAAAATTGTTTTTACATACATTTAATCATATCAAAATACATAAAATTAAGCATCAAAAAATTTTAAGTCCTATAATGCATTGATTAATAAACCTCTAAATTCAATGTGGTATAATTCATTTTTTTTTACTTTTTTTTAATATAATTTTATCTTTTAAGATAAGGTCTTGCTCTGTCACCCAGGCTGGAGCGCAGTGGCATGATCATGGCACACTGCAGCCTTGACCTCCTGTGCTCAAGCGATTATCCCTCCTCAGTCTCCCAGGTAGCTGTAACTACAAGTGTGAACCACCATGCCTGGCTAGTTATTTTTGTATTTTTTGTAGAGATGGGATCTCACTTTGTTGCTCAGGCTGGTCTCCAACTCCTGAACTCAAGCAATCGGCTTGCCTCAGCCTCTCCAAGTGCTGGGATTACGGACACGAGCCACCGCACCTGACCTAGAATTTGATTTTTAACATACGCCAATAAACAAAGCAAAGATGACATATTAACAGGTGGGGGATGGCTGTTTCTATGCATACAACCAAATGTAGGGTATCTAGTAGCGGTTCTACATACACGACCAAATGTAATGAATCTGGGGGTAGGGGATGGCTGTTTCTAAGGCACACAACCAAATGCAATGAATGTCAGAATAAAAAAGAATTCAGTTTTTCAGATAGGTAAACTAAACGAAAGGGCTTGCCAGTGTAGATGAACAAATTTTATATGTTTATCAATTAGTCTGTTCCCATTTTGCCTTCCACCATAAATAAAACTCCCTGAGTCCTCCCCAGAAACTGAGCAGATGCTAGCGCCATGCTTGTACAGCCTGCAGAACTGTGAGGTAATTAAACGTCTTTATAAATTACAAAAAAAAAAGTAGTTTAAGTTCAAGAGAATGTCATTTATACAGAGACATGTATTACTAAGGCTGTTAGCAACTTTCACTTAACTCCATAGTAGCTTTAAAAACCATTTTAAGTTTCCTAAGGAAAATGGATAATTATGATTAATGGTAAACACACACATAATATAAAAGAAATGGTATCAAACCTTATAAAAGACCTGAAGATCCCCAATAGGAGGTGAAACTGTTAGATAATCTGGAAATTTGTCTTGCAGGTGAGCGATGAGCATGCCAAACTGGGTCCCCCAGTCTCCTACATGATTTAACCTAACACCAATCAGAGAATATATAATCATTTTTTAAATAATAAAGATGGTTAAGTTAAATTAGAGGAACTATATTCCATTAGGAACCACTAATATTTACATGCCAGTACATCACCATTTAGTAATATCTGTTTACTTGGTTGTTTCTTCAACTGGTCTGCAAACTCCACAAGAGATGAAAACTATGTCTGTTACATTCAGCTCTGCATACTCAAGTACTAGAGGCTGCACAAGGCAGGCATCCAGAATTTGCTGAATGAATGTGTTTTCTGTCAGTGGACTATAATCTGTTTATTTTGTAGCTAATTGAGACAATGACAGCTGGGCCAATGTTGGTTATTCCCACAATTTTATGAAAATTTAACATTTTAACCATTATCTTAATATAATTTAGACCAATGGTTCCCAAATATCAATGAACAAAATTCTTGAAAATATATGTTGAGGCCGGGTGCAATGGCTCACGCCTGTAATCCCAGCACTATGGGAGGCTGAGGCAGGCGGATCACTTGAGGTTAGGAGTTCGAGACCCGCCTGGCCAACATGGTGAAACCCCGTCTCTACTAAAAATACAAAAAATTAGCCGGGTGTGGTGGTGGGCGCCTGTAGTCCCAGCTACTCGGGAGGATGAGGCAGGAGAATGGCGTGAACCCAGGAGGTAGAGCTTGCAGTGAGCCAGGATTGCGCCACTGCACTCCAGCCTGGGCAACAGAGCAAGACTCTGTCTCCAAAAAAAAATGTTGATCCAACCCACTTCTCTCCCTCTCTGCTTTTATCTAATCCAAACCACCAGATCATCTTTCAAGTGGATTATGATAGCCTCTTGACTTACTGTTTTTTTTTTTTTTTTGACAGAGAGTCTTGCTCTGTTGCCCAGGCTGGAGTGCAGTGGCACGATCTCAGCTCACTGCTATCTCTGCCTCCCAGGTTCAAGCAATTCTCCTGCCTCAGCTTCCCAAGTAGGTGGGATTACAGGTGTGCACCACCACACCCAGCTAATTTTTGTATTTTTAGTAGAGACAGGGTTTCACCATGTTGCCAGGCTGGTCTCAAACTCCTGACCTCGTGATCCATCCTTCCTTGGCCTCCCAAAGTGCTGGGTTTACAGACGTGAGCCACCGTGCCTGGCCTAACACTTACTGTTATAGTCTCCCTTCTTTGTCTAGCTTCTTCACAGTAAGTAACCAGAGTAATCTTTAATTTGTATTATTTAAAAATTTTTATTTCTTTAAAAATATAAAAAATAGAGACAGGTTCTTGCTATGTTGCCCAAGCTGGCCTAGAACTCCTGGCCTCTAGTGATCCTCCCACCTTGGCCTACCAAAGTGCTGGAATTATAGGTGTGAGCCATGGTACCCAGGCTAATCTTTAATTTGATCACCCTGCTTCACAAACTAAAACTCTCTAATAGCTTCCCAGTACACTTAGAATAAAATCTCAATTGCCTCTCACAGCTTACAAGGCCCAAAACAACCTGTTTCTTTACTACTTCTCTCCCTGCTAGGATATAAACCCATTGCATACAAGAGGTCCTCAAGAAACATGTGTAGAATGAAGGAGTTTTGTCCTTGGTTCCACTAAGAGTCTAAAAAAATAAAATAGTAAAAAAGGTTCAGAGGAAAGGCTCAGGACATATTTTAAAAGCTTACTGGGTGGTTGTAAAGAAGAACTAAGCTGATGAACCACTGATTTAGTCGAATGTTCTTTCTTGAGTGAGATATTCCATGTTCTATAGAATTTTCCAAACAAGAAAATAAGGAAAGAGAATAGTACGCAAGGCAAGAGCACATACCTGAGCACGTCATACCCTGCAAATTCAAAGAGGCGGCTTATACTCTCTCCTATGATAGTTGACCTCAGGTGGCCTACATGCATCTCTTTAGCTATATTAGGGGAGGAAAAGTCAACTATAACCTGGGGTAGACAAAAAGAGAAAGGCTGTTAAGAGGGGCATAAACATAAAGAGAGAAAGATTTTTTTAAGAGGAGCATAAACATTTTGTTCCAATGCATTCATTAATAACACATTTAATAACAAACTCAGACTTAAACATTAATTTGGGCCGTAATTCAACCATGTTTGATTTTATGATGGATCTGCTTGTATATTTTTAACTGAAAAAGAATCAAATTCATGTATACAAATTATCCATTCTATTTCAGTGATATCTGTGTATCAATTGGCTACCTCAAATGCCTTGTGGAATTAAGTGAAAAAAAAAAAAAATCACACAACATGCTAGACCCAGGGGAAAGGCTACTTCATAAATGTTCATAATCTCAAATGTGAATGATTAAATTTCAGTATAAAAGTGAAATCCATTCCCGGTTTCAGCACTTTCCATGCAGTTCGTTTTTCTTTTTCTTTTTTAGAGATGAAGTCTCATGATACTGCCCAGGTTGAAGTGCAGTAGCTATTCACAGGTGCGATCACAGCACACCTCAGCCTTGAACTTCTAGGCTCAAGCAATCCTCCTGCTTCAGCCTCCCAAGTAGCTGAGACTATAGGCACATACCACCATGCTTGGTTCCACGCAGTTCTAAGATACTAATATATTAATAGAAGAGTGTACATATACCTTTTTATTCTCTCCCAGAGCAGGTAGTTGAACTCCATTCACTAGAAGACTGGTCAATTGTTCTGATACAAAATCCTTTCTTAAGTGGACATTAATAAAACCTAATGGATAGAAGAGAAAAAATATCAGATACTGTCTTATCTTGAATAATCACTCGCTCCTAAGGATTTGCTCCAGACACTGACCTGGCTCTGGCAAAATTCTTCCGGATTCCAATACCAGTTGTGGCCTTGACTTAAGCTGTCTTGTAAGCTCCTGTCTCACCGTCTACTTCAAGCCTTCACCACTCTCCTGAAACCTTCCTACTTAACTCAGGGCCCTTTCACTTTCAGCAAACAATCTGTTCGCCTCTTAACAGAAAACAGAAGGCCCTTGTGCCGAAGACTTATCTGCCATTATCTATCCTCATTTTGCTGATGAAAAACTGAATCACAGAGAGGCAAAGTAACTCATTCAAGATAAGGCAGCTAAAAGTGGTAGCTGAGTCTAGATTAAAACTTCAATTTCCTATATCACAATCCACAGTGCTTTCACCATCTTGTTCAGTATACAAAGTTTAACCCTGTAATTAAAATGTGTGTTCTTTTTTAACTTCAAAAAGGACTCATGTTCAATACAACTATTAAGAAGGATAACATTATGTCATACCAGGACCAGCAATTTCAACTTTTTCAATACATTCATTGTCTGGGAGGTGTTTGGTAATGTTTTCAGCAATTTCTCTTGGATTAACTTTCTGTTCCTTGGTTTTGAGCATCTACAACACAATATAAAATGATTCATTACACAACAGATTTCAGCAAGTTACTCGCAAATGCACACCTGACAAGGCACGAGATGCATTTTACGTTAAGAACCATCAAAAGGCAGAAGCAGAGAAGTCCAATCACATTATGAATGACAGATTAAAGTATCAATAGTGCCAAGAGGCATAGAAAGTGCCCACACTACATGATCTCTATTTCCAAATACGTTACACACAAATACCTGGAACTATTTTTTTTTTTTTTTTTTTTTGAGATGGAGTCTCGCTCTGTTGCCCAGGCTGGAGTGCAGTGGTGTGATCTCGGCTCACTGTAACCTCCGCCCCTGGGTTCAAGCAATTCTCCTGCCTCAGCCTCCCTAGTAGCTGGGATTACAACACCTCGAACTTTTTAATGATGACATAACAAAGTCTACAGTTATGAAGTCTGGTTCCAGCATATTTACATTTCTAATTTTCAAGCCATGAAGGTGTGCAATATTCACACTTGAGAAATAAACCACACTGTAAGACCTGGACTCTTCAGAGTAACCCCTTCCAATTCAGCAAAGAAAGGAAAACAGAAAGACCCAAGCCAGATGCAGTTAACCATAAACACATCAGACAATGCCTCTATTTAAAATGGGGAACTCCTCTGCTTGAAAATGAATATATAAGCCTGGCTCAAAGATCACAGTTACATCAAATATTTAATTGGGATGCTGACTGGTAAATGGCTTATTTTAATTTTTCACCTCCCAGCACTCATCACCACCACACAGCAATCCTGGACACAGCAGGAGGGAAATACCTAAACAAAAGAGTACCAATGATTGCCCTTAAATATTGAGAATACATATAAAATTTAACCAAACCTTAAAAATTGTGCCTAAAAAAGTTAAAACATATACCCCCCCAACTCCTTTCTCAAGTTTTTCAAACTGTGGCAAATGTCCTTTTCACTAAGGATACAACTTGTAATAGTATTATTTCTGTAAATGGCAATGATGATAATAATACTTAAAAAAATCAAACAGCCAAGAGTCATGACAATACATCACCTGAGAAATACCCATAGCACTATTACACTGATAGTCCCCAAACTTGGCCTGCTGACTTGGTGTCACTAGCAGAGGAGGATTTTCCAAATCTGGATATGCAGCCTTAATTGCATGACCAAAGACCTCTTGTAGGCGGCTAATAATGTTAATCATATTTTTAGTTGGTTTGTTCCTTTCTGCCTGAAGACTCTGTAGGAAAAGAATGGAAACATGTCAATAATGTACGTAAAACCATCATCATACAAGATGTCTCCAAATATTTTGAGTATAAACCTCCAAATATCTTAAGAACCAAAAGGGAAAACGTACTTATGGTGTGATGCCCTCAATCTGGGATTTGCTAAGACATGCAGCAGGACAAGTCCATCCCACGGCATCTAAGACATCCATGGGAAATGCCCTGAGGTCTTACTTTTTGCATTTGTTTTAGCAGAACAGAAACTGGGAGGAGGGAGTTAAAAGAGCTGATGGAATCCTTTTCTCAGCTTCTCCAAATCTCTGAGAAAATAATTTATTTCACATCAAATATTGGAAGTGAAAACTCAATGGACAAAAAACAAACAAAAAAATACATGATGTCCATCAAAATGTTGACCTCTTCAAGGCATGAAATAAAAGGGAGCAAAGCAGGTAATATTAATATACCAGAAAAGCCAGTAGTTTTGTTTTACTGTTATGAGACCTACTACCTCCTGTTTTCCCATGGAATATAGTCATTTAAGATGGCATATAATTATCTCTATTACTGCACTTATCATACCCTCACAAAACTATCTGTCTCTACCACTAGACTGCTGGATGCACACAAAGTGCTTAATTCATGGCTCTCTTCCCTGTCCCTGGCATCTAGCACTGTACTTGCCATACAGCAGTTTAGCAAAAAAAAAAAAAAAAAAAAAAAGGTGAATGACACATATGCTTTTAATAGAAGATAAACATGCTGCCTATACACCTTTATGTTTGTCAATTTTATGTTCATCAACATGTTCATCACAATTTTATGTTCATCACAAATTTATATTCATCAAAATGTCAACAGTATAAAATAATGACAATAACAAAAGTTAATACTTGAGTATGCAAAGATTTGAACCAAATGCTTTATTTATATGCATTATCTTATTCCATCTACATAATAAAATCGAGCTTGTTACTATTATCACTATTTCTATGTGGGCTACAGATAAGTCACTTGTCAAAGACAAGACAGAATAAGTGGAAAAGGCCAGATTCAAACTCAGGTCTATTGGAATGGACAGTCCAAGTTTTATGCTCCCCTCATCAGCCCTCTCTATCATATGAAGAAATTATATTCTTAAATTCACTAAAAAACCTGATTTCAAGTTTGTAGCTAATCAATAATTGACTCCTCTCTGTGGTAACATACTTAAAACAAGGAAGATACATTTTTCCCAATCTAAAGATTTCCAACAGCAAATGCCAAATTTACTTGGATATGATCCTTTTCTCTTCTTTGTTGGGGGTAACAGACAAGATCTCACTGTGCACTCTGCTGAGGCTAAAGTGCAGTGGCATGACAGCTCACTGTAACCTTGAACTCCTGGGTTCAAGACATCCTCCTGCCTTGGCCTCCCAAAGCATTGAGATTACAGGCATGAGCCACCACACTTGGCCTAGATTATGATCTTATACCCAAAACCTGCTATAATAAATGTCAATTTTTTGTTTATTTTTATGTATTTATTTTTTTGGGACCGGGTCTTGCTCTGTTGCCCAGGCTGGAGTGCAGTGGCACGATTTTGGCTCACTGCAACCTCTGCCTCCTGGGTTTAAGTGATTCTCATGCCTCAGCCTCCCAAGTAGCTGGGATTACAGGCCCATGCCACCATCCCTGGCTAATTTTTGTATTTTTAGTAGAGACAGGGTTTTGCCATGTTGGCTGGGCTGGTCTCGAACTCCTGACTCCAGGTAATTCACCTGCCTCGGCCTCCCAAACAGCTGAGATTACAGGTGTGAGCCACTGCGCCCAACCTCAATTTTTTATTTTTAAAGGATAGGAGTACCACCATGTACATATGTATGTGTGTGTACCTACACACACGAAATCTACTGTGCTTAGTTTTGGCACTATGAAAATTACTATCTGATTATAATCAATTCAACAAGTTGTCTCTACCAGTTTCATATGTGATGCTTTCAAGTCAGAGCATGTGGCCAAAGTGAACCAGGGAAAAACGACAGGGTGAATGGCCATCACACACAGTACTTTATTACTCTGTGGTTTTTAGTTCTGCTGTGTACCTTGTGTTCAGCTGCTCATTCAGTAGGGCAAAGTATTTGTCAAAGAACCAATATGCCTCCCACAATACAGTGAGAGCATTCTCCTAGCTATATAAGAGCTAATCTGCATTACAGAAAAATGTGTAGTAAAATATGCTGTACTTCCATCCCAGCTACTTGGGAGGCTGAGGTGGGAGGATTACTTGAGGCGAGGAGTTCGACAAAATACTGTACTTCCTTTTGTATCTTTTCCCTTATAGTCTCTAGCACATATTAGACATTTAATAATACTTTTGAATTAAAATAAATATAACAGAGAATTAAACATATATAAGTGTAGAATGAATGACATAACGAGAAAGGTGAGATTCTTTTGGGAAGATTCTATGGAAAAGGAATTTTGTGATTCTAGAAGACTCAAAGACAAGCACAGCAGATCACATATAGGTAATATGAGACTCGAGCATAGCAGATCACAAATAGGAAATATGGACACCGGGCACGGTGGCTCACGCCTGTAATCCCAGCACTTTGGGAAGGCGAGACAGGCAGATCACCTGAGGTCAGGAGTTCCAGACCAGCCTGACCAACATGGAGAAACCTCGTCTCTACTAAAAATACAAAATTAACCAGGTGTGGTGGTGCATGCCTGTAATCCCAGCTACTGGGGAGGCTGAGGCAGGAGAATTGCTTGAACCTGGGAGGTGGAGGTTATTGTGAGCTGAGATTGTGCCATTGCAATCCAGCCTGAGCAACAAGAGTGAGACTCCGTCTCAAAAAAAAAAAAAAAAAAAGATAATATGAGAGATGTCATGGGAGTGGGGAAGATAGAGTCTAAGGTGAGTAAATGGATCAATCAGCTTTGGGAAAAGGATGTAATGCCTGCAGAGTTTGTCTGACAGTAATATATACACACAGGAGAATAATTATGGGAATGAGGTCAACACTCTGGGATATGTCATCACCAAATACGAAAGGCAGGCCAAAAAACTGCAGCAAGTTCATTTTTTTAAAACAAAATTGGTAAAACACTGTTAAATCATGAGACCATTAAATAAACATAGCACAAGCTTCATGGGGAAAAAAAGTGTTTTGAAATACCAGGTGGAAAAAACCCCAAATGATTATGTAAGATATAAAACTGTAAAATAACCAACTTAGGGCAGAGAAAATATGCAGGTGTATTTTCAAATATTTCCTTTATGATAGAGGCAATGATTTAAAAATCAAACATGTTTTTTTAAAAAAGGCATGGGCATAAACTGTTGAAAGAAATGCCTCAACCTTGCTGGGTGCAGTAGGTTATACTTGTAATTCCAACACTTTGGGAGGCCAAGACAGGGAGGGTTGCTTGAAGCCAGGAATTCCGAGGCCAGCCTGGCCAACACAGCAAGACCCCATCTCTATTAAAAAAAAAAAATTAGCTGGATGTGGTGGCACACGCCTGTAGTCCCAGCCACTCAGGAGGCTGTGGTGGGATGACTGCTTGAGCCTGAAGGTTGAGGCTGTACTGAGCCGTGATGATGCCACCACACTCTGGCCTGAGTGACAGACACCCTGTCTCAAAAAATAATAAATAAATTTTTAAAAAGAAATGCCTCAACCCTACCTAAATCCTACTTTAAGTTAGCCAAACAGTTAGCAGGATGAAACATTTCAAAGAGTCCTGAAGGACAGGACAACACCAACTTGTCACTATTTGCACCAACTACCTCAGTCCTAAGTTGTCTAATGCAGGGAAAAGAATAGGGTTTCTATGCTTCTTTTCCAAATTCCATAGGATATACTTCCAGAATCTTTGGTAACAAAGGCTTTAAAAAAGCTATAATGATTCAAACTGGAGAATAAAACTGGAACCCAAAGTACTCACCTTTCGAAGAATATTCAGTCGATACTTTAATTTTAAATTTTCTTCTTGTAACTGCTCCAAATTTGGAGAAGCTCCTAAACAGCCACAGTTTTTCAACCGGTCAATTTCAGCAGTCAGAGATTTAATCTCTTCTTCCTGTG